>NC_000011.10:45817575-46120606 GCF_000001405.40 Homo sapiens | reverse complement strand
CGAAAAAAAAGACAATGGGAAAACCTTGGCTCCCCCCCCTCCCCTCTGCCCTCCACCCCTCCCCAGGATAAATTGGAAGTAAGTTTATGAGCAGCCTCGGAAGCCTGGGCGCAGAGTGCAGGGCCGGAGCCGGTGACAGAGGCGGCGTGCCGGGGGCGGCGGGGAGGGGGCGTCACATTGTCCCGGCGGGGGGCCGGCCGGGGGCTGCGGGCGGGGGCGGGGGGCACGGAGCCTCGCCCGCCCCCCCTCGGCTGTCCCTCGGCCGGGGAGGTAGCTGGGGCTCCTCCATCCCCCCCACCCCACCCCGGGATGCTGTCGGGGGGAAGTTTTTATTATGATTATTTATTTAATTAAAAAAAATTTTTTTTTGGAAAACCATCTTGTTTGTTGACTGAGGGATCTGGTTTAAAAAAAAAAAAGCTGCGGCTGCTGACGCTGCCGGGCCCCAGTGTGTGTGTTTGTGTGTGTGTGAGTGTGAGTGTGTTGGTGCATTTGTCTTGGGTGGCCGGAGCAGCGTTGGGGAAATTCCGCTTATTCTTCTTCTTCTGCAACTTGTTATTCCGGAGAGTCTGCCTGCACCCCTCACCCCGGGGCCGGCCCTCCCGCATTCGCCCCCGCCGCCGGCGGCCGCGGGGCGCCCCCGGGACCCCGAGCGGGCCGGGGCGGACAGGCCGCTCCGAGAGGGGCCGCGGCCGCCCCTCCCCCGCCCGCGCCCCCGCCGGGGGGAGGGGCGCGCGGAGTGGGACTCTTTCCGTTTGGTCCAGCCCCGTCGTGCACGCAGTTCCCAACACTTCTCGTCATCCTCTCTTTGGTCTCTTTATTCTGCTGAGCGGTGCTGTTAGGATTTCTTTTTTTTTTTTTTCCCCTGACCACGTTCGCGATGGTGGGTAGCAGCAAGGTGGCCCTGGTAGGGGAGGGGTTGGTATCGAGATTGGGCACCGGAGGAGAACGCCTTCTTTCAACTTTGTCTGTGGCTTGCACCCCCGGAGAAGGCCACAGGCCGGTTGTCGGGTGCAGATGTGCCGAGAGTGATTTCTAAGTAGTTGAGTTGTTGTGATGAGGGTACGACTGCTAATGGTCGGCAGGTTTTGTTTTCATTGGTGAATCTGGTGTCATCATATTCCGGTCATATGTTGAAATATTCTTTGTTTAGGTCTGGAAGTAGAGGATCTCACTCTGCACGTCCACATTGTGTTGTTTTTAAAATGATGTCTCTGGGAGTCTGGATTTCTAGAATTTCAAATCTGAGTGAAGGTCCGGGCATGTGTGGGCCTCATCACCTGGCCTTGACAGTGAACTTTGTGGCTGTGTTTCAGATTTCAAAGATTTGCCCCATAGCTGGGGAAGGAGTTGTGCATTTTTGCTAATAGTCGGTGTCAGGAATGTAGATGCTCGAGCTGGGAAAGTTAGAGAGGGAAGAACATTTATATATAAATAATGGATAGTTGAATATTAGAATCAGATTAATTTGGGCTGATGAAAGTTTTTTTTTTTTAAAGCAGTTGTGCACTCTGGGAAGGAAGTCTTTTCACAGGTTCACTTGATAGGGATTCTTTAAGGCGAGGGGCTGGAATTATCTCCTTTTTGAGCGAGTTCTCACCAACATCTGTAGCTTTATTGAGGGCCTGGTAAGGGTACTGAAATTGAGGCTAAACCATGTAAGCGTACTTTTCAGTGTTTATGATATTTGTTTACATCTGGTGTTCACTCTAAGCAATAGAAATAAATAGGTCAGCTTTGCTTTTGGTCTTTGAAGACTGGCCCCCTCCTTCCTTTTTTAAGTTTCACAATTTATTTGGTTTACAGCATTGTTGGAAACTGTTACTACATTTTTACTGGAAATACTATTATTCATTTTAATTTTGGTAAGTTCCTTCTTATTCTCTTCTTCTGTCTTTACTTGTTTATGGAATCGGTGTTGTGGGCTTAAAACTAGTTTATTTTAGGGGGTCATTAAAAATGTCTGAAAAATACATTTTCAAATCCCAGGACCTATCTTTTCATGGCAAAGAGGAAATTTTGTGTACAGTTATGCTAATGTTTATAAAAAAATTTCTGTACTTAAAACGTTTGTAGATGTACAACTATCCTTAAGTGAAGAGCATAGTAATAGTGCACAAAGTTCTCAAAACACAAACATCTGGCTAACATGTTACGAATATTCCAGGGGCTTTTTTTTTTTTTTTTTTAACATCAGACTTTTGCTTTTGGTAACATAATAGTATTTACAGTTTGACTGACATTGCTTGGCTGCCCATAATAAAGTGTTTTGCTTGGGTGCTATTGAATGCTTTTTAACTTAGTTTTTAGACAATTTTGCAGGCTTTATTTAAGCATGTTGTATTTTGGACTGAGGCAAGTCTTTGTGGAACTGGAGTAGTAATAGATGAAAAAGACACCTACCTGGGCTAAATTGTATTTTTAGAAGGTATAAGTGATGGATGGGGCCTATTTCTTTTAGCTTTGAAGGGTCCATCCTTTTTCCTATTCAGTCTTCTGGAAGGAGCTGCCTCTGAAATACTCTTCTTCTGCTTACATGAAGATCTCTAAATGCTATCCAGCAGGAGGTGCTACAGCAAGATAAAGGAAATTTTTGAATTTTGAGGGTCTTGCTACTTATTACAGCTCTGCTTAGCTTCAGCTAAGCAACAGGATTAACACCTTAAAGTTCCAGAAAGATTTTGAGTAAGTCCATTTAAAAATTCCATTCATAAATAATGTTTGCTACTTGAAAGTGAAGTCTTTGACTGTACAAAGTAGATGTGCGATTGCGGATAGTATAAGGATTCTGGCCCTTGGTACAGAGCACTGTTTAGAATTATTTTATTTGGAAGGGGAATTAGTCTTGTGTTGATGAGTGGGATGTTGAGCATGTATTTTAAAAAATTATTTGTAATTGTTATAAACAAAAGTAGTTGGTATGATTTAGGGCTTTAAGCCTTGTTATCATCCCTATAATATTAATACAAATAGGATATAGAGTAGTTGAGATTTTGGAAAGGGGTATAGTGTGTTGAAAAAATTTTAGACTTCTTGTAGTTTTTTCCCCTCGGATTTACAGACTATGATTCTAATATAGATCAATTTTTAGGCACTCGGCTTTATAAATACATATGGTTGATGTACTTAAGTTAGCCTGCAAAGACTGAGATTCTTGAACTGTAAGTCAAGTTGTATCAGTGGTAGGTCATTGTTGATGTAACAGTAACTGCATAAAGATGAATATAGCTACTTTAACAGTTTCATAGCATTTATAGCACATGGTCCTTTGAAACTCTGTTAGTGTTAGGTGAATTGATTATCACTGAAAATATCATGCCACTGTGGTTGCTTGTAAAGTTTTGTGTCGAAGTTTTAAAAATTTGGGGATGCTAGAAAGTTTGATAAATCTGCTTTGAATTTTGTCTATTTTGTAGGCAAAATACTGTTTTCTCAGTAAGACCAAATGAGATAATACATATAAAAGTTCTTCATAAATGGTAAGAAAGCATGCAGATATTAAGTTGTTGAGATAGGTAACTAATTAATACATGGACAGAAGCTTCTGTCTTTAAATGCTAACTTTTTCCATATCAGTTGAGAAAGTAATACATTTAAAGTGCACCCTGGACACTATAGTTTTTTTATTTTTTTATTTTTTGAGACGGAGTCTCGCTCTGTTTCCCAGGCTGGAGTGCAACGGCGTGATCTCGGCTCACTGCAACCTCTGCCTCCCAGGTTCAAGCGATTCTCCTGCCTCTCAGCCTCCTGAGTAGCTGTGATTATAGAGGTGTCCGCCACTACGCCCGGCTAAGTTTTGTATTTTGAGTAGAGACGGGGTATCACCATGTTGGTCAGGCTGGTCTTGAACTCCTGACTCAGGTGATCCACCTGCCTTGGCCTCCCAAAGTGCTGGGATTATAGGCGTGAGCCACCACGCCCGGCCTAAATTTTTGTTTTTTAAATACTGCTGTGGTTACCAAAAATGTCTTTGTTATAGTTTTGAAGCTGCTTTTGAAAAAATGCTGCCTAGTCAGTTTCTCATAATTTAAAAAAAAAAAAAAGATCATTTTCCCTTTTGAAGATCCTGTGAATTGTATGTCCCCTATTACAGTTTTTCTTCATTTCTCCATTGATGTGATGTGATAGTAGTTGATTTTAGTGAGTATGTAAGTTCCCTGATTCTTCTATAGACTCTTATTGACAGAGTAACAGATGTCATGGTTCAAGTTTTGAATGTTTTGACTGACTCTGCTAACTTTCTGAAAAATTCTTACTGCCTAAAGCTTTCAAGCTTGTTTCACAGTGAAAAAGATGTATATCTGTATGTGTTAGTATTAGGTATATATGGATATATCATTTTTGTTTTTCTATTTTAGAAGGATGCACAAGGAAATGACTACTCAAATCTAGAGGAGTGCACTGAAATATTTTTGTGTAAAAATAACCCAAAAGTTTAAAGCCTTGAGTTTCAGCTTTCTTATAAACTCTGCTCACAAATTTGGAATAGAAACATTTTAAAGTAAAATATAGATAATTAGGAACCCTGTGTTTATGAGCCTATCAAAAGGTATAGTATCTTAAATTTTAGAAGTGACTATTCTTTTGAAATTGCCCCCTTTAGAAAGTAAATATAGAAACTTGCTTCTGTGAACGGTGAGAAAAACACTTAACTGTTTAGATAAAAATGAAACCTCTCAGGGTGTTATTAACTTTTTCATCCTACAGACAGTGAATAGTAAAGCTTTCTGTGAAGACATACTGAAGTTAAGCTTATATTAATGTGCTTTTAAATTTTGTATCCTTAGTATTTTATTGCTGAAGGCTTTTGTATTTAATTACTATTCAAACAGAGAAGGGAAGGAATTAAAGTTTTAGGTCTCTGACCTTTAATGGAATTCTTTTATATCTATATCTAGAACTGATTTCTTGAAACATGTTTGAATTTTCATATTATTTTGTGCTGGGAAATATTAATGATTTATGTTGACTTCTCAGGAGCTTTTGTACATGGGCTTTTTTTATAGGCCTAAGAATTCTTTAACGTTTTGATCACATTAATTTTCTCAGGTGTATGTTTTTGCTGCTTTGCGATTTTTTAAAAAAGAGATAATATGTTAACATTGCATTGAATTTATTGTAGATAATTATTTCTTAAATAGCTTATGTTTTCTACTTTGTATGTTTGTGTGTATATGTGGCCATACTATTTTGTAGGCTTTCGTATAATTCTTATATGTGTGTTAAATTTTTGAATAGTTATCTTTTGTAAAAATGTTGAAGTAGACTTTATGAATAACTTTTCTATTACTTGTCCCTCAATTCAGTCTTAAAATTATGGTGAACTCTTCCAAAGCTTTTAGAAATTATATGTGAGGTTCAGCCATCCTTTGGACTCTTCTAAAGCAACTTTCTTACACTAGACTTGTGTGGCAATTTGAATACTCCTCCACTTCTCCCTTTCAGTACCCTGCAAGTCTCTCCCCTCTCCCTGCCTTAAAAAAAAAGTAAATAAAAAAGACTTTGGTGAAAATATCTCAGTTGAAGGCAACTATTCTTTTCTATACTTTGGAATCAGTTACAGAAATGTTTTCTGCCTTTTCTAAGTAGTCAAGAAAGTGAACCAGTATGGAGGGGATAGGAAGGGGATGAGGCCTAACAGGTTGATGATCTAGGCTTTATTTTGACTCTGTTTGTGGGCCTAGGGGAAAAATAACTTAAACACAGAAGCCAAAAAGATGGGTTTTGTTTTATTGTTTTGGCTGCATTGAGAATACAAACTGTCAGTACTTGAGGAGAAGGAGCAGCAGAAAGGAATTGATTTTTTTTCTGCTGCAGATCCAAGTATTGTTAACCATGTGCATCTCCAAAGCGACATACTTACAAATCAAACAGTAGTTGATTATTTCACTCAATTAACAGTCAGAACCCTAAATTGTGTGTGTTTTTTTTAAATTTTAAATAAGTACCCAAAACTTTGGGGTAATGACAGTAATTTCCTGATAAAAGTGGGTATAGTAACCATGGCAACTGCTATCTCTGGCCTTATGGACAGTATGTTGTATTGACGAAGCTTCAAATCCTTTATAGTAGCCCGTCACTTTTATGGTGAAATGTAGTAGCATGTGTTGCAGATGATTTTTAGCTGGATTGCGTTAAATTTGTGTGCCAGCTTATCTTTCCTTGTTAGGAATTTCTTGGACTATATTCCAAAACATGTTTGTGAAGGTGCTGTTGCCTGAAAATAACCCACCACCTGTGTTAGGCCTCCTGATGCAGATTGCACTTAGTTCTTTCCCAGCCTCCTTCCACAGACTTGCAGAAAATAGGAGGGTGTGTAGCAACTGTATATATGTAAATTCTAGCTCAAACTTATCAGCTTGTGTTTGGACGTGTTACTGATAGCTTAAAAAATCTTTTGTGTTTTCAGAAGAGGTCAGTGGATGAGAGAAGTGGGCTTGTAGTTGGAATACTGTTTTTCTAAGTGTTCTTTGTAGAAGCGTGTGTGTGTGGGGATGTGTGCGTGTGTGTGTGTGTGTGTAGGGAATTAGAGGTGAGGAATGGAGGGCATAAATATTGAGTAAGGACTTGACAAAAGCAGAACTTCAGTGTTTTTTGTTTGTTTTTGTGATGGGGTGTGTGCGTATTACTAAAAAAATTATTTCCTGGTGGGCAATATTAGAATATGGGGAATGTTTGCTTCTGAGAATTTTCTTCAAGAAAAATTATTTATAAAATACATCTTGAATAATTGTTAAAAAGCAACCTGTTAAAACAATTAAACTTTTTTTTTTTTTTTTTTTGAGAATGAATCTCACACTGTCACCAGGCTGGAGTGCAGTGGTGCGATATTAGCTCACTGCAGCCTCCACCTCCCAGGTTCAAGCAATTCTCCTGTCTCAGCCTCCTGAGTAGCTGGGACTACAGGCGTGCGCCACCACGCCCAACTAATTTTTGTATTTTTAGTAGAGATGGTTTCACCATGTTGGCCAGGATGGTCTCGATCTCTTGATCTCGTAATTCACCCGCCTCAGCCTCCTAAAGTGTTGGGATTACAGGCGTGAGCCACCGCGCCCGGCCAAAACAATTAAACTTTTTGTGGGGGAGGATTAGAGAATGTTGAAATGGATCCATTCAAACTTTAAAAAACTATTTCAAAAATTATATTTTTTATTCATCAAGTTTTTTTGCTTTTTCAGCATTTTTTTCTGTGCTTCTCCTACGTAAGATTTTTCTAATGTGAAAATGTTGGTCTAAATATTGATACTTTTTCCGGTATGTGCTAGAGAAACTGTGTGCCACATCAGAGAACATACAAATTTGATTTAAATTTGATTAGACTCTGATAATAAGATATAGTCAAATTGTGCTAGATAGTTCAGACTTTCTTGAAACTTGCTGTGATAACGTGGTTTACTTACTACAAGTCCCAGTATGCATTGCAGTTTTTGCTTAACTTCAGATTAGAGCACTGCATGCTGGGACCTGTAGTTGATTTAAACAGTACGGAAAACCCTTCCTTCTTGTCTGCTCCATTTTATTATACACAGCTTCCCAGCCCTCTAAGAACTTTCTGCTAAGTAGTTTGATTACTAATATTATGATTATTATGCTGCTCAAATTCTAAAGTGAGTCTTCAGAAACAACCTAGTGTTTTAGTTTACCTTAGATTAGTTTATTGTATTTTTTATCAGCTACTATAAGGTTTACACACAAAATAATATATTGAAAACTTGACTTAGCAGATGTAAATTATTTTTATGCATGTGGCGATACAGGTCTCTTTATAATTATGGCATCATTCATTGCTAGTGTGGGCATGAGAAGCCTCTTATTATCAAGCCTGATATATATGCTGTTCCTTTTTTTTTAAAATGGGGATAGTTGTTCCGTAAGGTTGGATGGAAGGTTTTCTGTGCCAGTATTTAATTTCAGAGTTCTGTGATTCTTCTGTAATAATTGTCAACATCTTGAATATCTGTACGCTTTAACTGGAATTCCTGAAAATAAATGTGGTTTTAGTGTAAATTTAATACTTGAAAATGTAGTCTGAGGCAGAGAAAGAGGTGAAATGTCTTTAATAATTTATTTATATTTTTATTTGGAAAGTTTAAATTTTTTTGGTGAGGATTCTACTTTAATTTTATTAACTAATATCAGAGGGTTGTTACAGGGATTAATTGTTAAAATCTATGACCGTACCTAGCACGGTGCTTGGCACATAATAAGGGCTCAGTAAACGTTTAGAATTAGCAGCAGCAGCAGTAGTAGTAGTTACTGTTATTTTAAAAAATAGCACGCTTCACATTTTTTTCCTCTCTTTTTACAATATAATTTGATCAGAAGCTCAGGCTGTTCTAAGACCTTGAGATTTTTGGCTTATGGTAATGATGTGACAAATTCCTGAGAATGTTTTTGCTGTGTGTAAAATGTCCTTGCACCTCAGTTTCTCCCTAAGTGATGTATGCCCCCAAAAGGACTATCACACCAGTAACTGAATATTTTGACTAGTATTCAGCTCTGCCTGTCTAGTACTCATTGCATCCATACCACAAGCCTTTGGTTGACTTCAGAAAGTTCAAAAGGTAATGAAAATTTATTGTTTACAATGTTTGCACTGTTAGAATATCCAAACTAGTTGATTAAGGAAAATAAGATGCTGCAAAATGCCCCTTTTGTTACAGTGTATGTAACCTTGGAAAAATTCTGTTGTGTTTAGAAGCATGTACCAATCTATCACTGTAGTTCACAGTGTTACAGGATTGATGTATTGGAGGCCAGTAAACAGCCCCAGAAAGAAAGTGTAGTTTCAAAAAATCTTAATTCTTTACATTAATTTTCTCTTTTAGGACACTGACTTCTTTTAGGCTCTTGAACTTGTATTTTTATTTGCATGGCTGGTTCCTTTTGGCTGTTTGAGAAGGGAAAGGGATGCCTGGGGATATTGGAAAATGTAAGTGTAAGCTGCAATGTATATGTCTTAGTTTGAATGTATGCAGAAGCAGGGCAGTGCCTTTCTTACTTGCTTAGCCAGTATCTTATTCCAGCTTTTTCTCTTGCGAGGAGTTCTTACAATATTGTTGCTGAGGGCTACCATGTTTATTTAAGAAAACTCTGCCTTTAGTTTTATTTATTTATTTATTTATTTATTTGAGACGGAGTCTTGCCATGTTGCCCAGGCTGGATATGGAGTGCAGTGGCGCAATATCAGCTCACTGCAACCTCTGCCTCCCAGGATCCAGCAGTTCTCATGCCTCAGCCTCTCGAGCAGCTGGAATTACAGGCATGCACCTCCATGCCTGGCTAATTGTTATATTTTTAGTAGAGATGGGGTTTCACCATGTTGGCCAGGCTGGTCTCTTAACTCTTGGCCTCAAGTGATCTGCCCACCTCGGCCTCCCAAAGTGCTGGGATTACAGGCGTGAGCCACCACGCCTGGCCCAAGAAATATTTTTTAAAGTACTTGTTTATATAGCAAACCAATCTGCTGTAATAATACTAGCCTCCCCCCCCACATAGTTGTGATTTAAAATTTGTTAATATGGCCAGGCGCGGTGGCTCACGCCTGTAATCCCAGCTCTTTGGTAGGCTGAGGCGGGTGGATCACCTGAGGTCAAGAGTTCGAGACCAGCCTGGCCAACATGGCAAAACCTCATCTCTACTGAAAATAGAAAATTAGCTGGGCGTGGTGGCAGGTGCCTGTAATCCCAGCTACTCGGGAGGCTGAGGCAGGAGAATCGCTTGAACCCAGAAGGCGGAGGTTGCAGTGAGCTGCGGTTGTGCCATTGCACTCCAGCCTGGGAGACAGAGCAAGACTCTGTCTCAAAAAAAAAAAAAAATTGTTAATATGTAGATTAGACATTAAATAGATTCCTTAGATGTGTCCAAAATGTATGGAATCTGGTCTGATATGCTTCTACTTTATAAGCTGTTTTATTTATATGACATCAATTTGTCTTTTCAAGACCTAATATTAAAATGAAATAAATTCAGCAGTTACAAAGGAGTTAATACAAAGGGCTAAATATAAGGAGAAAAATAGTCCCTGGTGTTAATGGCCAATATAGAAAATATCAGGTTTGTAGGAATTCTCATTCCATATTTTTATCATTATATGTACCCATGTGATTACTGAAATACTAAAGTTGGAAATCAGGAGAGGAAATAAGGAGAGTAAAACTGGGCAGCCATGTAGATTCAGTATAGAGACCTTTGACACACCTAAATTATTGAACACAGTTTTCTTTTTTAATGAAATGCCCCAGGCCAGTATAAAGGAAACAGTTGTGATGATGTCAGAAGACTTGGTCTTAAGTGTACTCCTGTCACGTAGCTGTACACTCTTGGGAAGTTCATCCTTGCTGGGCTTTAGTTTACCCAGTGGTAAAATGGGGATAATAATAAGGGCCTGCTTCACTATGATATTAAAAGGATTAGATAAGATAATACTCATGAATGTACTTTATATTACTAAAGTTGTGTATGTAAATTGAATTTTTAATCAGCAATAAGGGGCTGGGTTTTAAGATATTTATCTGTATCATGTTAATAATATTAATATTATACAATTTTAAATAATGAGTTAGAACCAAAAAATTAGTGATCCACCCTGCTCCCAATAGACCAGTACTTTTTTTTTTTTTTTTTGACACGGAGTCTTGCCCTGTTGCCCAGGCTGGAGTGCAGGGGGGCCATCTCAGCTCACTGCAACCACTACCTCCTAGGTTCAAGTGATTCTCCTTCCTCAGCCTTCCCGAGTAGTTGGGACTACAGGCATGTGCCACCACACCCGGCTAATTTTTGTATTTTCAGTAGAGACGGTTTCACCATGTTGGGTAGACTGGTCTCTAACTCCTGATCTCAAGTGATCCACCTGCCTCACCTTCCCAAAGTGCTGGGATTACAGGCCTAAACCACCACGCCTGGCCCAATAGACAAATTCTTGACATGTGTTTACGTGTGTGTTTATGGTGTAGTTCTTAACAGTATACACATTGGTACATTTGTGTGTATATTATAAATATAAATGTACTGGTGTGTTGTCATGGGAATGAAAAATTTTAATTATGAG
Organism: Homo sapiens; assembly: GCF_000001405.40. Taxonomy (NCBI): domain Eukaryota; kingdom Metazoa; phylum Chordata; class Mammalia; order Primates; family Hominidae; genus Homo; species Homo sapiens. The sequence goes on along the minus strand of NC_000011.10, from coordinate 46,109,556 downwards.
CTTTTGTGTTTTAAAAATTTTATTTTACTAACTATATAAATTTTATTTTTATGTGTTAATATACAAACTTACATAAATATATATATTTGTGTTTGGAGAAGTGACATACACACATTTTGGAGAAATGACATAGATTTTAAATGTTTGACAAGTTGTGAACGGTTTTTGTACCTTAGGTTTATCTGTTGTCATCAATAATAAAGAGTGTTTATTATGTATAGTGCTAAGCCTTTTTACACATAGGATCTTATTTAGTTTTAATCCTCACAGCAATATTCTGAGGATTTACTATTATTATCCTACCTCCATTTTACAAATGAGGAAGTAGAGGTTTCCCTCGGATCACATAGGTAACAAATGATACAACCTGGATTCAAGCCCAGGTTTGATTCCTGAGCCCTTGCTCTTAAATGTCCAAAATGCTATACTAAACTATGTAATTCCCATAGATACCTAGAAATGAATTACTAAAGAAGTTTTCAATTTACTGAAATGGCCACAGCTACAGTGTATCATTTTGAGGCTGTTTCATGTTGATTTTGGTTGGGTTAGGTTGAGTAGTTTGAAAATAGTAAACATTGGAATGGGATGGAAATGAAGACATTTGGGACAGTGCCTGCTTTGTTTATCCTTGTATATCCATTGCCAAGCATAGTGCGTAGCATGGGGTGGGGTCTAATAGCTATTTCTTAAAGTTTGGAAGTTGGGCACTTTATAAAGCACAGTGTAAGTTAGTTTAATACTTTTTTTAGTAGGTGCAAATGGTTTACATTCACTATTTCAGTCAGTCCTTATATAACGATCAACGTTTTAGAGTGTTAGATAAGTGTCCTTTCAAGAAATATTACAAAAGCTGTGCATCTAAGTTAGAAAGTCATTCTAGCAATATAGATACGTATAAAGTAGAAAATTAGTCATTCCGTTCTCATCCTACTTTTAAACTTTTCCTGTGCATTTACATATGTATTTTATATATATATATATATATACACACACACACATTTTTAAAGAAGTTTAATTATACCATAATACTCTCAAAGTTTACTTTTTTCCAGGTGACTATTTAAAAAACTTGTTTATTTTTGAAAATAGGGCTCATGTGGGAAGTGGGAGTAAGGTTGGAGGAAGAGAGGTGGGTAAGATTTATACATTAAGATTCCAAACCTAATGCCTTAGATTGATTGTACCTCATGCTTTAGGAAATGGTCATTGTTATTTTTTAAACTTAAAAAAAAATCAGTTTAAAATGACAACATTGTTTTCTGTCCTATATAAGTAATTTAGGAGGCATCATTTCTGAATTAAATGATTCTAGTTTATTCTAGTAGCTACTTATAAAGAGAGCAATTGTGTTTTCAAATAACATTTAAAAAAACTGGTAATCTCTCTTCTTGGTTGTTAGGACACATTTATTTCACATTTACAAAGTAAATAGGCAAGAATTGGGGCAAACCTGTAAAAAAGAAAAAATAAAAAGTAGGATTTTAAAACCAAGATAATACATGTAATATTTTAATTAATAGAAACTCAAAGTAGTACTGCTTAATCAGCGTAAAGATACCCTACATAGGAATTAGTCCTGGTCTTCACAACTTCATGTGAGTAGTGTGGGCTGACCTCATCCCCATCACCTATCCCTACTCACTCAACCACTACCAAATGCTATGCTGATAACTCAGTATTTTTTAACGCAGTTAAAAAAAAAAAGTAAGTTATTTGAGTGCTGTTCATTTTTTCTGGCATTATATTTAGAAAGACATACTAAAGGCCTTATAATCTACATTAAATAGAACTCTTGATTCCAGCTTTGAGAGTTTTAACTTGTTGCTGAGATTATTAGTGATAATTCACTGTTGTAATTTTTAAATTAAAAAATTTTGTTACACAGGTAATAAAAAGTTTTCGTTATAAAAGTTTTTAAAAAAGCCTTTCTAATCCTAGAATACACTCCTTGCATCTAAGGTGCTTTATGCTTCTTTAGATCCACGAAGTGCTAAAGCCTTGCCGTAAAATTCTAAGAATTGGACCTGGTAGAATGTAGCAGTTTATTTAAACTATAGAGTAGTCAACGTTTTTTACCAGCCAAGTTTAGTTTTTCTCATTGGTAGCATTCATAAATATGCTTTTCCTTTTGAGTGGCTCAGACCATGTCCTACAGAGTATTTTATTCTTGTTCATTCTAGTCTAATAGTGTACAGAGGGCTCAATTAATGTTATGGATGGTGAAACTGAGAGACAAGAATTTGACTAAGTTAGTGGTAGAGCCTAGTTTTCCTTTTTTATTCTAGACTCAGTCATCTTGACCAGTACTCTCTACACTTTTAAAAATTATGGTTACCAGTTAAATGTATGATAGTCTAAACTAGTGTTTTATGCATGTTGTCAAACATATAGGAAATTTGAAATTTTTAAAAGGATGAGATTTTAAAATATAAGTTGTAATAATTTCTTCCCAGTGGCTCCCTTCCTCAGGGTACCCACACCCACTTGGAGATGAGTGCTCAAGATAGGCCATTCTTCCTGCAGAAGAGGCAGCCGTGGGGACAGCTGGAGGACAGTTGGTAAAAGGTGTGGGACTTTTAAGTTGGAGTGATCTTTTGCAGCTTTTTAATTTTAAAGAAACAGCCTTTCTTTCTGTGAAAGGCTGAAGGATTCAAAGTATAGGCCTGGAGAGAGGTGAGCTTTAAAAGACAGAAATATAAACCTTACTTGTTTTCCTCAGAGTTGACCAAAAGGGAAAGGGCTGCCTGCCCTGATAGCTTCTACTCCCATTGAGATGGCAGTGCCTTTTTCTGTTGTTAGGCAGTTTATAGAACGCAGGATAGCTTGGTAAGCGTCTTCTCTGTGCCTGATGTGACGTAACATTGTGGAGTATGCAGCATGCATGTTAAGTACAAGTGGTTGTATTTGGCTTGTTGCTACAGCATTTTTGAAGATGTCTTAAAAAGCAATTATCAGTGGATGGAGTTGGATATGTGCAAATTATTGAAATCATCATATCTCGAAGACCAAACTTTGTAACTTGAATTATTCTATTTAGTATTTGTTTACTTCCCCCAACCCCCAACACCTCAGAGCAGAATTCTTTTTCTGAAAGGAACAGATGCCGTTAACTTATCAGGACTTGATACTAAAAAGCCTACAAAAATCTTTGTGCTGTTTATTTTCTTTATTTAATCTATATGCAAAACATATTGTAATTATTGCTGTTAGAGAGTTTTAAGCTGATGGTTCCCCCCCACCCTTTTGTGCTCAGGGGAGATAGATTAGGAATGCCAAATTGACAACTTGGTATAAAGAAATAATGACCATTGAAATAAAACAGGAGTTCAAATAAAAAGCAAATCAGATACAAATGTAGAATGAAAATATCTTTTAGTAAAATGTTAGCATGCTGTACTTGGAACAGATGCCACATTAATTCAAAAGAGAGCCCAGAAAATGTGGCAACTTTACGATGTCAATGGAGGGAGCTGCAATAGTTCCTGTTTTCATTGTGTCAGGTTCTCAGTACCTTTAGGTCCAGTCCTGTTCCTTGTATTTATTTTCTGTATATTACATGTTAGTATACAAATATTAAATCCGTGCCTAATACTTATATTTGTGTAATTAAATACATTGTCATGCTATTAGATATTAGTATAAAAAGCCCAATAACTTATACTGCAATAGTCATGTTTTTTGTTTTAAATACACCTATCAAGATATTCAGAATCTGAAGCAAAAATTCTCTGCATCCTTCAAGGCACATTTATGATAAGAAGGTAGTCTAAGAATTGAGTCTTTCAAAGAGGCCTAGTGCTTTTTAAATGTAAAATTTGGACAAGTTACAAAATTATGAGAATTTTGCTTTTTTCTCATTTAAATTTGTAGTTATCATTGGACATTTGTTATGATTTTTAAGTAGCTTAGACTCATTCATTCCTTTTGTGTTTTTTTTTATGGTGTTTGGGAAGAAGAAGGGGTGATGGAAGGGTACTGTACACACTGGGATATTTTCAGAGTGACATTCATTTTATAGAAGATTGCACAGGGACGTCTCTGAATTGCCCATTTCTTGCAGTTCCTGGTTAGTGTGGGTCTGAGTGTGGAGAAAGGTGGGCTGGGGGCTCTTAACCAGATTTACAGTTGTGCTACTTCCTGAGTCGTGCAGTGATCTAATCATCAGGGGCATGTCCTGTGTGCCTGTAAAGACGTCTGGCACACATGCTTGGAAAGCACTACTAGTTTTCTCTCAGTGAAGCTTACAATTTAGTAATTTGGTAAAAAGGTTAAAAGTTTTGTTTTCATGTAATTCGAGTGAAGGGGAGTTTATAGCGTGTCAGTAGAACACAGAGGTTAAGAATGTTAGTGCAGGAGCCACTTTGCATGGGCCCAGATCCTAGCTTTGCCACGTATTAGCTCTGACTGTGGCCAAATGACTTCCTGCTCTGCCTCTGCCTCAGTTTCTTCACCTGTAAAATTTGAATAAAATGAAGTGGTTATGAGGAATAAGTGAGTTAATGTGTAAACTAGTAGAAGTGCCTGACACATAGTAAGTACTAAATAAATGGTACTGAAGCTTAGTTTTCTGCTCCTTTCTTCTCTTCTCAAGGATTGAGACAAGTATTAGTATAAGAGCCTGAGCTTTGGCATCTGACTCCAGTATTTGAATCTCAGTATAACCACTTAAAGTTTAATGTGTGACCTTGGACTAATTATTTAAGCTCACTCCAATAAAGATGTATCACATACGTGCTGCATACCACTGTGCTGGTCACTGGGACTTCAGTTTCTTCATCTGTGATACAGAGATGGTAATACCAGCCTCCTAGGGTTCATGTGACAATAAAATGAGGAAATCTTGAGACACTCAATCATGATAGCTGCTCTTATCATTATTATTGTTATTATTACAGTCCCACTAAAAGTTCATGGGAAAAGAGTAAATTTGGAACAATTTAGCTGGAGAGGTTTTTTTTCTCCCTTGAAATGCGTGGTGAGAAAGAGTATAGATGATAAAAGTGTTATCTAATGAGTTCTTATTTGTGAATACCTCTGGGAAAAATAGAAAATACATGGGAATATGTCAGTTTTAACAGAGCCTGCTAAATATTTTAGGGGATTTAATGTTTATTAAAACCCATAGTGATATAAGCTTTTCTTTTTTTTTCTCAACAGCTGGTGAGACCAGCACCAAGATATTGATGCAGTTTATAGTAGGTCTCTTAGAATCAAGTCAGTAGTAGACTAGGCATTGTAACTCTCAAGTCTTAAATACTCATCAGCTGGTCAGTCCATTGGGTCTGGCAAATTATGTGTATTTAACCCTTGAGAACTCATGCTTGGGTGTAACAACTAGTGGAAACAATTGTAGAACCCCAGAGATATAAAAGTGGCATACAAATGCTTTCTAATAATGATGGGCACAGTTTATTTGCTTTCTGATTTTGGGCATTTTGCCTTTGTGAAATTTCCTCTCATTTGGTGCCTGATGTTTTCTTATGGTAGTTGTTATTTTCTTTCTATATTTAATTGTCATAAGCTACCTATGTTGAGCCTAGAAACTGAGCCTGAGAACAAGTTGATTATGAGAAAAGGTACAATGATCTCCTCAGATTTGAGGAGTTTTGGGGTAAATAATTGAGTTAATATATCCATTAGAATGTATATATGTATCTGTCTTACGAATGTCTCTATCTTATAAGTGAAACCAGTAAATGAGGTAAGGGGAAAGATCATTAAGTGTAAAATATAATTAACTTTGTTCATTCACTACTGATCAGGATCTGAACGTTTTTGGTCTTTGATCCTTGATATGTTTTTTTCTGTGATTCAACAAATGTATTTGTAATAGCTTACCAAAACATTCTGAATATGGTATATGTTACCCTTAGCAAGAATTTAAGTTAAAGTAGCATAATGGCTCCTATTAACTTTTTGTTCTCACTAACCCAGCTGTACCATTTGATAAAGGTCTAGTAGGTGAATAGGTGTGTTTACTATAGGTGAATTGGTGTATATTTTATTTTGTCCCTGTTCCTAAAACATTGTATCTCATTTCTGAGGAGAAATTCCAACGAGTTTTTTAAAAAATAAAGTGGTGTACTTTGGCTCGACAAATATTTTTAAAACTAAGCAATTTTATAATGGGTTGTATAGTTATCTTTCAATTAAATAATTGTAATCTTACTTTGCAATAGAGTGACCAGTAGGTAAAGCATTATAGTTTTAAAATTAGCATAGCAAATATATAGTATTAAGTTTTCTTTACTTTAGCTCTTTGCAGAATCTGTAAAAGTTGTTTCCGTTGGTTGAATGGAATTGTGGAAACTTTAGAAGTATATTTCATTTTGATAAATATGTGTTAGAAAGAGATTCTACAAGCGTTTGGGGGTTGAGTTAAAGAATTATACAATTTTGAAAATCAGTTTGTCCCTGCTTAATTTGTAAAAAGTGGTGCTGTATGTGACGGGGGTGCAGTCCCATTTCAGCTCTGCAGGACCCTGTCCAGCCGGTGGTGCTCCTGTGTAGAGATGCCGCCGGTGATTGCCCAGACTCCCTGTGTTGCCTTTCCTCTCCTGCTTCTCTGCTTACCCTCTTGATGGTCTCTTTCCGTCCCCTGCCTGTTATTCATCCTTCCCTTCAAGCCACCACTGTTTTATTTCTATTTCTCTTAAAAACAAAACACTGTTGTAATTATTAGTTTTTAAACAGGGAGATACTGAGCTATTATCAAAACCTTAAGCTTTAACAGTTTGTGGGGATACCCCCTACTTTGGGCCCTCAGCTGGAATTTGGAGAATGGATAGCTTAAAATCACTTGCACAGTAACTGAATATTTGTAAAATACTTTATATCTGGACTAAGAGAGAGAATAGAAAAATACCTTTTTACCTCAGAAATTGCTGTATTTTCTGGTTGGGGTGAGATAGAGGCAAAGTTGAGGAAGAGGCAGGCATGTTACTTAACTAAAATAAGCATTAATTTATTAGACTGCTCTCTAGTCTCATGGACCTAATTGGAGAATTAAAAAATGGAAATTTTGGTGTTGTGAATTGCTAAAATATTTTGATTTATTAATTGAGAAGACTAGGCTTTCTTTCCTTGATTTGTAAATACAGAATACCACTGATGCCTTATTATATATTGATCTTTTACATGTCATTGGTTGATAGTTGCAAAGTAGCAGACCCTTTCCTTTTTAGATTTCTCCTAGTGGTTTTAAATTGTTAACATAATTGTTTGGTAAGAAAAATAAAACTTGGAAATTAATTATGGTTACATGTTGAGTTAATGTCTCTGCTGGATTTAAAATCAGTAGCTCCTGGTTAGGTGTAGTGGCTCATGCCTGTAATCCCAGCACTGTGGGAGGCCGAGGCTGGTGTATCACTTGAGCTCAGGAGTTTGATACCAGCACAGGGACAGGCGTGGTGGCTCGCGCCTGTAATCCCAGCACTTTGGGAGGCCGAGGCGGGTGGATCACAAGGTCAGGAGTTTGAGACCATCCTGGCCAACATGATGAAACCCTGTCTCTACTAAAAATACAAAAATTAGCTGGGCGTGGTGGCACATGCCTGTAATCCCCGCTACTCAGGAGGCTGAGGCAGGAGAATCGCTTGAACACAGGAGTCAGAGGTTGTAGTGAGCCGAGATTGCGCCACTGCTTCCAGCCTGGCGACAGAGCGAGACTCCGTATTTAAAAAAAAAAAAAAAAAGAGGGAGACCAGCACGGGCAACATGGTGAAACCCTGTTTCTACAAAAAATACAAAAATTAGCCGAGTGTGGTGGCATGTGCCTGTAGTCCCAGCTATTAGGGAGGCTGAGTTGGGTGGATTGATTAAGCCTGGTAGGTCGAGGCTGCGAGGCTGTGATTGTGCCATGCCACTGCACTCCAGCCTGGGCAACAAAGCGAGACACTGTCTCAATCAGTCAATCAGTTCAGTAGCTTCTAAGATCTATACCAGGCATTTCATCTATTATTTAATTATACTTAGAGAAAAACATTTGAGACAAGAGCCTTTATAGGATTTTAAATAACTTCTTCTTATGGAAATTTAAAAACATTTATAAAAATAGAGTGAATAATATAACCCCACGTACCTATTCCCTAACTAACAATTACCAGCATTTTGCCAATCTTTATTTATAGTGTGTAAAACATAACAGGAAAGTAACTTTGTGTTTTCAAAACATGCACTACAGTTAGATACATTGGTATACTCAAAGGAAAAATGTGTATGAGAATGTTCTTTTCATACATTGTTAGTTTAATACTGGTAATCCCTTTTAGGATAATATTTTCATTTGTCTTTTAACTTACTGAAGATGTCTGAGCCACCACTAACTTAGTGAAGAACGATGCCTGCTGGACAGATTTTAGCTTTTCTTACTCCTGCTTTTAGAAGTTCTGAGATTATTAGTTTTGAGCTTGTGTTCTTAGGAGTTGCATTTTATTTTATGTACACTTTCCTGTCTGTGATGGTTGTATGGACCACCATTTCTTAGCATAAGCAGGACAATATATAAGTCAGCTTAAAGTTGCAGGTCACAAGTCTTGTTCCGCACTTCCTTCTTGTGCATATTCTATTTCTATTTAACCCAAATGTGTGTATTGGTTAAGGAATGCTTGTTTCACTTATAAAATGGTTTGTCAAGGAGGGACTTTTGACTACCTGCTATCTTTAGACGTGGTAACAGTGGTTAGAAACTTGCTATGTGCTCCCTTGTTTGCTCTTCTTTGCACTGTAAGTTGTACATATGTCTGCAGTTGTGGGGCGTGTTCATTAGGAGTCACTACAAGGTAATGGTAGACTTATTTCTGAATTTATTTGGTTGCATTAGTTTAAATTAGACCCACAGGTGTAATTATTCCATCTCAATGCATGGGGAAGCATAGTCAGTGAAAGTTGTGCATGTAAACCCCTGTGCATTGAAAATGTGTCTTTAATGTTATGATGTTATTTGGCATCTATCATTTAGTGCAAGGAGTATACTTACTTAACAGGACCTTTAATAAGTTCCCTCTACACCAAAGATATATATTTTAAAAATTATACTTAAGAAGACTTTGTGGTATTCCCCAGAAGAGTTCGCCTATAGCAGCAAAACCTTTCTAAAATAAAACTTATTCTTTTAACCGGTATTCATTTAAGTGGGTTTCTCTCTACTTGGTTTCCATGGAAATAGCAAATAGCTAACGTTATTTATAAGGTGGAAGTAAAATAGGGTGCCTAATGGGACCCCATGCTGCTCTGATGAAGAGACTTAGGAAAAAAGTCCATGCTCATGGGATTTTTTTTTTTTTAAACAAGGTTAATGGAAGCCCTGATTTCAGTCTTCTGTAACATAACATATTTTTGGTCTTAAAGGCTAGCATTAATATCAAGCAAACAACTTCTTTTTGAGGTCTGTATTGCTTTCACTTTCAAGTTTTAGGACTACTTACTTATCAGCGTGATTGAGGCATGTTTCAGACTCCTGTTTCTTTGTGGTTTTTGTTTCAAAAGTTAAAATTCCCAGTGTATTGTAGCTGTTTCCACTTCTCATTGACATTTCAAAGTACTGATAAAAAGATAAATGTTCATTAAGGATAGCAGTGGTGAGAAAGGATCAATATGTTGGACTACAAAGATTTTTTAAAAAATGTAAATTGTATGGAACCATTTTTAGTTTTTAGGCCTAAAGTCAGGGTTCTTTTTTATTTGTGTTGTGGAGCTAAACCTGTATAGTCAGAGAGAAGAGATTCTAATTTTCTTTCAGGCTGGAAACAGGGAAAATCTTAATTTCTCTTTCCTTTTTAAAAAATGGATTGTTGCCAAAACCTTTTAACTGAAATAAATGTTAATTCTTTTAGTGCTTGAAATGTGGATTTGGAATAAAGCTTGGCTTTTTTCTCACTTCTTCGGTAAGGCCTACTCTGAGTTTTCTAGGCCTGCAGCAAAGCCTTGCATTTTTTAAGCCCCTTCAAGTGAAAGAGTATCATTCCCTTTGTGTTTGTGTTTGTGTTTAGGGTGTGTGTGTGTGTGTGTGTGTGTGTGTGTGTGTGTGTGTCTAATTTTTCTATAGCCTGAAAGGCACCTGCTCATTTTCCAGCCTAGTGAGTACAGCAGTGCTATATTGAGAAGTGAGGCAGGATGGAACACAATAAGGTGCTATAATTTTTATTTAGTTAGTTTTGCTCATCCTCGGCAGCTTGTGATCACTGTCCATTTATCTGGAAGTACTCTGATTATTCTTGGCTATCGATGCAGCAGGAGTTTTCTTCTGTGTTTAAAGCAAGGACTGTAGTATACTGAGGGCTCCATCAGGGAGGAGTTGAGTTTTGTTTTGTGTGCATGTGTTTCTCTGGATAAGCTTCTGGCTATAGTTGGGTTTACTGTGCTTTAATTTTTTAAAATTTGGTTGTTTTAATCTTGTTGAATTTATTTTTGTGTGAGATATTTTTCTCTAGCAATTCACTAATTTCTTCTGTGTATGTTGATGCTATTTTATAAAATTTTCTTAATGTGTTGTTCTTTTAGTTTAACTTCTTCTTGTTTATTTTTAAAATCTGGTATCTAGCATTGACCTTTCTTAGTGACTTTTATTTGAATTATCTTGTGCTTTAGAGACATAGGAATTTGGGTCTATTATCCCATTTCTGAGCGAACAACTCCCAGTAGTTACAGTTAGTGCAATAGAAAGGGTTCTCACAGATGCAGTGCTGGGCGTTGATCCTCCTCCTTGGTGCTTATGGTTTACACCCAGAACTCCCATTAGTGTTAATAGGAGGCACTTCCTTAAATCCCTGTACACCAAAATAAGCTCAAACTCTTTTATAATGCCTTATAGATACCTGAGTTGTTTTTTTGTTGTTAATGACAAGAGTTTTAGTCCTGAGGTTAACTGATTATTAAGATAGAGTTTGAGTTGTCTTGGGATAAGGAGTGATTTACTAAGTCTGATCTATAATTAAGAAGTTTTCGTTATGATCATTAGACTCAGAAAACAGCTTCGTGAGAGCTATGGAAGCTTGTGAATAAGGATTTTTGTACTTTATAGAGTGAGGAAGCAAGATTTCTTCTTTCTATTTATTTCTGCTATTTCTTCTCAACCATAAAAAATGGTTCTAACAGTTTTTGTTTATATTGTAAGAAGACTTAGAAAAATTGTTTTGTTTTTTATTCTACTTAAAAGCCTTCCTGTAATTACCCTCTGGCCTCAAAGTCTTTTATTAGCTAGTGTGGCTCACATTTTTCAAGCATATAGAAGTTAATATGCACTGTTTTAGAACTTAGACACTACAACCACTGGTCAAGTAATAGATAATCAGTGTTTACTACACCCATCTGTGAATTGTGGATTTTTATTACTTCCATTTATTTATGTACAGTCTAAATCTTTGTAGATTTTAGCTAGTCATCTGGACTTCTTGGACCTCTGTTCCTCCATGAAATGAAGGTATGGATCTGCCCTCTGAGGTGTCCATTCTAGTTTTAGGCTGTTTGAAGGCCTACTTTCCTAGGTACTGAAGGAAATAGAGTACTGTAAGGCAGGCAGTGGTTTCTAATCCTGGCTCCCTATTAGAATCTTTTGGGGGAACTTAAATACAGATCTATGGGTTCTAAATAAGACATAATATATTCAATATCTTTAAGGGTAGGGCCTGTGAACCTGTATTTTTTGAAGTTTTATGTGTTATCCTGATCTAGGATTGAGAACTACTTGTACAAGGTATTCTATTCTTTTGTGTATGTGTGTGTGTGTGTTCTAGTTAGGGAGATGTCATATAGGTCAGATTAAAATGTGAGGCAGTGTGTGGTTAAACTTGAAAATGAATGAGAAAGAGGATAAACACTTTAGGAGTTTAAACAAAGGAAGAATTGGGAATTAGGATGGTTTGAGCAGATCTCTGTTAATCAGTGAGTCTTTATCTGGACCCTAGTGTGTGGGTGAGATTTGGATAGTTAGAGAGAGGGTAAAAAGGTATTATTCTTGTTATAAGGAAGAGCATAAGTAAAAGTTGGGGAGCGGAACAATTCTGATTATAGTTTTAGTCTTTATTTTAGTATTCTTTTGCTCCTGAAACTGCTGTAGATTTCCTCAATAATTTGAGGGAGTGAGCCATGAAGATATTTGGAGGAAAAGAGTGTTCCAGAGCCCCAAGAAGGGAACTTGCCTGGAGGGTCTGAAGTACGGAAAAGAGGCCAGTGTTGCTGGAAAGGATTGAGCGATAGGGAGATGGGACGGCTTCGAGTGGCAGAGGCCCAAATCACTCAGTGCCTGTGGGCCATTGAAAGGAACTTCATCTTTTCTCGGAGTATGATGGGAAGCCACTGGAGGGTTTTGAGCAGAGGAGTAACAAGATCTGTCTTGGATTTTGAAAAGCTTACTCTGGCTTGCGAGAGAATATACCTTAGCGGGGCTAGGGTAGAATTGGGGAGGCCAGTTAGGAGGCTGTTGCAATTATCTAGGTGAAAGGTGAAGGTGACTTGGACCAGGGAGGTGGTAGGAGAGTTGAGGCAAGGGGGTCATGGTGGATATATTTTGAAGGTAGAGGCACATGGTTGGCTGTCGGAGTAGATGTGGAGTGTGGTAAAAGAAGAGTCTTAAGATGACTTTTAGGATTTTTTCTTCTGAGGGGGTGGAGTTACCATTTACTGAGATGGGAATGACTCTGAGGAGGAAGTTAGGGGAGAGGTAGTCAGGAGTTTAGTTTTGGATGTGTTGAGCTTGAGATACCTATTTGACCAGTGTTGAGTGGGCAGTTGGGTATATGAGTTTGGAATTCAGGGGAAGGATATGTGCTAGAGATAAACATTGGGAATTGCCAGTGTGTAGATCCTTCTATAGCCATGAGACTGTGTGAGATCACCTAAGGGGAAGAGTTCCAAGAACTGAGTCCTGGGACAGTTCCACATTTTAAGGTGTTGGAGGCAAGGAGGAACCAGCAAAAGAAACCAAAGAGAGTAGCCAGAGAGTTGGGAAAGAAAATCAAGAGAGGATGGTCTCCTGGAAGTCAAGAGAAAAAAAATTTTGAGGAGGAAGAAATGAGCAGTGGGTCAAAAGATACTGGTCAAGGAAGTGAAGACTATTTTCTGTTGGATTTAACAACTGTTAAATCATTGGTGATCTTCACAAGAATGGAGGGAGGCAAAGGCCCTAATGGGTTGTGTTCAATAGAGATTGGGAGGAGAGGAATTAGAGGGAGTATGGTTACCTCTTTCAGGGAGTTTTGCTATAAACGTGAGCCTAGACGGGGACAATAACTAGAGAAGGATATGGAGTCAAGAGGGTTTTTTTTTTTAATTATTATTTTTTAAGATAGAAGGAACAAAATGATCCAGTAATGATGAGGGGAAAATTGATGCTCCATGAGAGTAAAAGGAAAAGAGCTAGAGGAATGTCCAGGAGAGGGTAAGAGAGGTGGGTACAAGAGGGATGGTTATTAAGATGTTGGGGCCCCAAGGACTAAGCCTATCAAGCGGGATTCTGCTTTTTCTTCTAACCACTTATCTGCATTTAAATTTATTTCAAACTTACTTGCTTTCTGTTGGAAGTTAGGAAGGGTAGATAAAAAGCAGTAAAGCCAGTGGTGTATAAAACTCAGTTTGGGGGCCTCTATCAGCTTGGTATAGTAAGGGGAAGAGAAGAGATTGAATCTTCTGGGTAAGGTGACATTTTAAAGTGTCTTTGAATGACAATTATCTGTGCTATTCTAGTCCCTTATCAAAATTTATGATTGAGCACAGGCTATAAACTTAATCATTTGAAATTTGTAGTAGGGTGAATTAAATTTTAGCCTAATTTAAAACATGATCTAGTATTAAACTTTTTCTCTGCAAGTTTTGTTTAATACAGATTCTTCATATCGCAAGGGTTTCAGATATTTTACAAAAGGTATTTAAATAATTATTAATTGCTTTAGATTTATTTATAATATTTAAAATATTATAACCATATTAGAAATCTGGATGATTTGTTTCTTTACCAGCTCTAATTAGAGCAGTTACCTGTGAAGTTCTGGAGAGGTGAACAATCTTCCGTTTGCAAAAAATTGTATGACATTATATTAGCAAGATAGTATAACACCTCTAAAAGCAAAAATAATTTCATTTACTCTAACTTAGGTGTTTTGGATATATTTTTCAAGAACAAATCTATCTTTTAAAAATTTAAGCAAATATGGTTAAAATTTTGAAGTACCTTAGTTAGAAGTGTGAAATGTATGTGAGAAACAAACTAAGTGGCTTTTAACCAGCTTAACATGAAGAAATCAAACTTGCATTTCAGACTTAAATATGTTTTACATATGGATAGTGTAAAAAGCACAAACGTGTGTATAGATCTTGCTTTTTGCTGCTCAGTTTTCTTAAATTATAGAAATAGAATATTTGCTTTTTTTTTGACAATTTCCAAATGGTAGTCAATTAATATTCAATCTTCAGAAGAAACACTTTGGGATTTCTGATGTGCACAGTGTTTAAGAATCATTAGTCTAAAAATAATTTCCTCTTTTTGGGTATGTGAACCTCATTGTGAAACCAATTAAAGCCGTGGACCCTCTTCCAAGAAAGGTGTACCTATGCTGATATGTATAGAATTTAGCATATAGTAGGAAGCAGTTGACAGACCCCTCTGAAGCCCATTCATGGGGATCCCTTAGGTTTAAAGGATTTCATGATTTGTCTTTTTTTGGGACGGAGACTCACTCTGTCGCCAGGCTGGAGTGTAGTGGCGCGATCTCAGTTCACTGCAGTCTCTGCCTCCCGGGTTCAAGTGATTCTCCTGTCACAGCCTCCCGAGTAGCTGAGATTACAGGTGCACACCACCATACCCAGCTAATTTTTTTTTTGTATTTTTAGTAGAGACTTCTACGAAATAATTATTATTCACCATGTTGGCCAGGACGGTCTCGATCTCCTGATCTCGTGATCCACCCACTTTGGCCTCCCAGAGTGCAGGCATGAGCCACTGTGCACGGCCAGGATTTCATGTTTTAAGATGGCTTATGTGATTTTTCTTTAAAACTTTATGTGCAGACTTTTCCAAAAATATTTCGCTAGTGTTTATTGTAGTTTGTTTTTTAGAAGAGTAACTCCTGCAGCGGGTTAAGAGAAAGTGAGGTCTAGTGGAAAATGAACTCAGCCAAGGAATCTCGGGCCCATAAGCTCTTCTCCAGCTTCACTATCAGCTAGCTGAGTGACCTTTGGGGAAATCACTTAACTTTTCCGGGTTTGATTTTCTATGCGATTTCTGCAGTCCCTACAAATAGTCTTATGAGCAGTTTCATGACATCATGATTTCAGGATATCATGGCAAAATTCTTTATCAGTTCAGGATTGGCCCTGCTCCTCATTTTTGGAGAAAATGCCTTGGAGATAAGATATATGTACATTGTGCTGCCTTTTGTTGAATATGACTTTTCAGCAGCATTTATTAATACTTTCTCAAATGCTGTATAAGTTAAAATCCCAGTCCCATCCTCATCACTTTGAATTTCAACATATTTTATATATTGTGGGTATAAGCCTGTGTTGATTATACGTAATATAATTATCACCTCCGATTCTGTGGTTTACCTTTTCACTTTCTTAATGGTGTTTTTTTGATGAGCAGAAGTTCTTAATTTTAATTTTGTCCAATTTATCAGTCTTTTCCTTTTTACTATATTTTAAAATGGTAATATTTTACTTCCTAATCAACAACTTGGATGAAAACAGTTCCAGAAAGTCATTCATTTAACAAATAATGCTGCTGGAAATCGATGCATAAGAAATTATCCCCAGCCTAAAAGAGCTAACATGAAAGCCCTAATAGGGAAGATAAGCCCTCAACAGACAGCTTAAGTGTCTGTTTAGTCAATTCATTGACTTAACAAACATTTATTGAGCATTTACTATGTGCCTGGTACTGTTTGAGGCAACCTTTTGAGTGGCACAGAGTCCTGTAGATATCAGTAGTGTTAAGAATCCACTTTTTAATAACTGCATTGTTCTACAGATTGTTGCATGATTTCTCTTTTGGTTGAGAGTCATCCTAACCTTGGTGATTAAAATTGTTATTTGCATGGGCCTGAGAACTTTAAAAAGGACAGCTGCTAAAGAAAAGGCAGAATAGAATAGCACATTGACTTTCTTTGGAAATGAGTGCTAACTGCATGAACTGGGGCCCTTTTAAATAATTTTATCGTATGTTTGGTATAACTGTACATGGTTAAACAAAGATTTACAATCTGGGAGACATGAAGCTCTTTTGAAATATTCCCTGAGGCAATGAGACACTATTGGAGTAATATCAGTCAACAAACACCATATTTAAGGCAAAAGGAAGACATGTAGTTTTAGAGCATAGCATATAGTGGAGTTTAAATAATTTAATACTAAAATATTAAGGGAAAAGTTTTAATTTTTGTTTCCTAATATTGGATTGGGATCCCAAAACCTAAATTTTCTTTCTGGCTTCATCACTGATTAGATATGTGGCATAGAAACAAATAGCTTTTGTGTATGTGGTTTACAATCTAAAGTGGTAAGATGTGGCCAGGCACAGTGGCTCACACCTGTAATCCCAGCACTTTGGGAGGTTGAGGCAGGGAGGATTGCTTGAGCCCAGGGGTTTGATACCAGCTTGGGCAACACAGTGAGGCCTGACTCTACAAAAAAATAAAGTAATAGCCAGGCATGGTGGCACACTTGAAGTCCTAGCTATTCAGGAGGCTGAGGTGGGAGGATTGCTTGAGCCTGGGAGGTTGAGGCTGCAGTGAGCTGTGATTGTGCCACTGCACTTGAGCCTGGACAACAGAGTAAGACATTGTTTCAAAAAAAAAAAAAAAAGGTGAGACACATCTAAGAATGTGAAAAAAAGTTTAATTAAAATTCTGACTATACATTATTATAAAATGCTGTGATTTTAAAGCCTTATATAAGGCAAATACATTTCAAGATTAATTGAAAAAAATGCCTTTTATGAGGACCAAACTAAGAACTAGTGATGTTACCTTAATTTGTTAATGTAAAACAACTGACAGTAGAGGTCACTTGTTGGGGATGAAGGAGTAGTTGTATGTTATTTAAATGAGGTGCATTTCATTTCTATGTGTCTCTTAGGAAAGGAAAATTATCAACTACTTACTTTTGCTTGTCTTGAAAAACTATGGAAAAGTAGCAATTTAACTGCTCTTGAGTTCTTTTCTTTGCTGTAAAAATTACCTATTGCTTCTTTTTTTCTTTTGGGTTTTAAAACTTTGGAAACTTGTGTGTGTTTTGTTTTTTCTTCTTAAAATCAGTAATCTTTGAGTCTTCAGCTTTTAATGACATGTCATAAATATGTGTGTGTTGTCTAATTCCATTTTCCCGTTCTTCTGTTATAGGGGGCTAGAGAGCTGAAGGAGAGCCAGTTTCCCCAAAATTGGTAAGTACTTTGACTAGGTAGACATCGTGTGCCTGATCCTGATGCTAGCTGGATAGTTATTCAAATATTGTGATTTTTTTTTTTTTTTGGCAAATAGGCTCTCTCTCAGAAATGGGGCTTTGCTATTTGCACTAAGTGGAAATGAATTGTCTAATTTCACGTAGCTATACTTCAAACGCATTTGTGTTTCTGCTAATACAGCTAGGCCTGCATGTTCCACCGTTCGATAACCTGTTAAAATGTAAAAGTCCCGTTTTCCAAAAATGTCCTTAATGCAATGGTTCTGGTTGAGAATTCAAACGTCAAGAAATTCAAAAGTTCAGATTCCCAGCCAGGCCCAGTGGGTGTGTGCCTATAGCTCCAGTTACTTAGGAAGCTGAGGCAGGAGGATGGCTTGAGCCAATTCAAGTCATCCAGCTTGAAGCTGGCAACAAAACGAGACCCTCATCTCTTAAAAAAAGATTAAGATTCCTATAGTGTTTTGTGTTACTTAATATGCTGTTCTATTTGATGGCCTTAGTATATGTGCAGAGTGGCTTAGGTTAATTTAACTGTGGAAACTTGACTTTGAAATTTGGGACTCGTGTTTATTTACATTCTTAAAATTAATATTGGATTAGTTAGCTTCATGTCTGATAGTACATTTTTAGCATGTGTTGTTTTATATAATTCTTCAAAAGGAAAAAGAGAGAAAAAGAGAGAGAAATGTAATTGTGGGGCATACAGGCAAACATTTTTTCCTAATATCTACTTTGAGAGGTTTTTTTAATGGCTCTTCATCATTCTTAAACATTTCTTTGAATGCACAGGGCAATCTAGTGACTAGCCATCAAACAAATATTAACTTTATTAGGAGAGTGTGTATTATGAAAAAAATTACACTCAAATAAGATAGCTGGAATAGGGTAGTCGCCTAGTGCAAGACTACTCCTTTTTAAAAAAATTTTTAAATCCTCTCTCAAATAGTAATTAACTTGGTGGGTGGAGTAGATATAGTAGATATTTGGCCAAGGTTTCCTTTTGATAGTTTATGGTGCTTGTGGTGTCTCTCTTCCTTTTGGGGACTGGGATTTGAACATGTTTAATGGAGGCACTTGAACTAGTTAATCCTTGCATTTACTACCTTTTTATTCTACTTGCCTTTCTCTCATTAAACCTTTTAAAATAAATAATCAAGATCCTATAGCTCTTTACTTTGACATGGGATGGAATCTTAGAGAAGCGACCTTAACCCATTTATACCAGAGGTTGCAAATTTTTTTTGTGAAAAATCAGACTTTGGCAATGAACTTGAGCAGTAGGATATAAATAACTCCCACAAGCTTAGTGTTCCAATAATGGAACACTAGGTATAAATGGGTTAAGGGCCTTCTCCTCCAGTATTTTACCTTGTGTGGCAGTTTCTTCTAGATCCCTGACAGGTTGTTATTCAGGTACATATTGAATACCACATTTAAAAAAAATGTAGCTCATTTTCTATAATGTATTCTGAGGAATTCTACTTCCACAAAAAATAAGTATTATTGAGGTGGGGTGGGGGTGGGAAAAGGCTTCTGTGGTCAAGTAATTTGGGAAATGCTGCATTAAACAAAGTTAAACAGGTTTCTTTACTGCAGGACTTCTCAGAACCTTTAATATGCTAATGTGCATTGTGAATCTCCAAGAGGGGGATATGATATGCAGCATTCTTGAATACTTCTAATGACAGGGAGCCCACTACCTCATAAGGTAACCCATTCCTTTTTTGTACGACTCTTATCCTTAGTTCTTCCTTTTCCTTATATTGATCTGAAATCTATCTCCCATAACTTCCACTTCTATTAAGTATTTATTGGTTATGCTGAGACTACCACACCCACTTGCATTATCCTTTGTGTGGTATATATTTGTAAGATTCTGGCCAGGCTTGTCTGGACAGTTTTTTTTTAAATAGTCATTAAATATTAATAACATTCTGGTAAATGTGACAACTAGTTCTAAAACCTTGGCCTCATTGTCACTATGCTCTCATACCTTACTCCCCAACCTCCTCCATTTTCAATTTCTGTGTATTTTAAAATTTACTCAGTTTTCCTTTTGTTGGATGTGGTTGGGATAATCTAGTAGACGTGCCTGATTTTTGTAAAGAAAGTTAGGAAATAGAAGAATGTGTATATTCAGACAGCCTGGACCCCAGGAAGCAGAGGTAGAAACTGTATATTGGGCTGAGCACTGATGATGGTAGGGAGGGGTCCAGGACACTACACAGACTTGTGAAGGAGGGTGCTATGGGGAACCCTGGCCTGGCCCAAGGCACCATAATAGCCTGCACGTTGCAGTGGAGGTATGACCTGTGTAGAGATTCCTTTTTTAAAAAATGAGGACCCGCCCCCCACCCCCTCCAAAACAAATAGAGATTAGAAAGATATTTTATACTCACATACATTCAGACATTTAGATATCATAAATGTAATGATATGTATGCATATTTTTTTATTTCATAGGAAACAACATTATTAAATATAATTTAATAGTATAGAAACATCCAACTAGCTAAGGAGGTCAATAGCTGTCACACCAGAATTTTAACATAGCAGCCTTACCACATTCAGAGGGTTCGCCTCGAAAATCAGGGTTGCCAAGCTCTTTGTGCAGTAGTATTTTCTGTTCACCTGTGGAGTGTCATAAAAGAAACACTGTGATGAAAATAAATCAAGATGTGTTGAAAATTTGCTAAATGATAAGAAAATAGACATTACATTATGTTTTTTAATGTTGTCATTTGTATTGATTCATGTTAATAAATGTTAAAGTTTTTAATAAATAGTATTAAAAGAATTTTATTATTTTTTGCATTCATGGTAATTTTAGCACTACTGCTAATAAAGATATTATTTTATCTACCTACATATTAGATACATAGTAGGAAGTATTTTGTACAAATTGAAACCTGATATTCAAATATTAAGCATGGTACAAGAAGTAAAGATACGTAGATGACTGTCAAGACCTACTTTTTCCTATTTAAAAAAATGAATTAAACCTACTTTAAACATTGTGTCTGAGAATATAGATAAAAAGCAGAGGAGTTTCACACCAAATAAATGCATGGTATAGAGAACATGGAGTTGTCCTTTTTAGGGACAGTTTGGGGCACACTGTGTCATGGACTTATCGTTAGTTAAAGAAATGTTGGTTGATGAGTCAAGTTTTGATTGGAAAAAGGTTTCTGTCAACTCAGTAACAGCAAAATATTTCTTAGCAGTAAAATTGGAGTTATAGCTTTCCTTCGAGTTATTAGAATCGTAATGAAAGACCTGCAGGTCACATATCTTCAAGCAGAAGTATACCCAGAGAAATAGTTAGAAGAACCTCCTTAGAGAATTTGAGAACAGAAAAGCCTACAGTCTTCTAGATATATACTATGTAGAGAAGTTCTATTAAAAAGTCTGTATAGAGAAAAGAATTAAGTGTATTAAAACTATCATAAAACTTTACAGTTTGCAAAGGGCTTTTCATATAATTTTGCCTTATTTAAACCACAACAGTCTTATGAAGTAGGTGATATTGTTTCCATTTTCCTGATTTACAAGCAAACAAACAAATGAACCCTGGGGATGAGAGTAGTCACACAGTGAGTAAGTAGAATTAGCATTTTTTGTTTTTTGGGATGGTGAATGTGCTTTCCAGATACCATGGCTGACCTTTTTAGTGGGATTTTATTATTGTTTTTGTGTGTTTGGTTTGTGTGTTTGGTTTTTATGTTTTGTTGTTGTTGTTGTTGTTGTTGTTGTTATTGGAAAGTTAGAGGCCATTAGATATCAGAATGGTTTGACATGTACCGTTTGGAAGATTGCAAATGCTAATATTTTGGGCTAGGCAAGTGGCCTTGCTGATAGTGACTTGTAGAGCTGTTGGATGGTGAGAGTCACTCATTATGGTGGAATGCAGTGTGTTACTGTCTTGTGAGTCTGATGGTATTCACTTTGCAGCAACTGATTTGTTATTTATAACTTGTTAGAATTGGTCAAAATATGTTAAATCATCTTTTACAAATGTAGCCAATAATTCTTTTGATGCTATAAACTGCCTCCCAGTGGTATTCAGATGACTGCATGAGATGTCCAAGACCTCAAAATATTTTTTCAGCTGGGTGCAGTGGCTCACACCTGTAATCCCACACTTTGGGAGGCTGAAGGTGGATGGGTCACTTTAGCCCAGGAGCTCAAGACCAGCCTAGGCAACATGGCGAAACCCTGTCACTACAAAAAAATACAAAAATTAGCCAGGTATGGTGGGGCACACCTGTAGTCACAGCTACTCAAGATGCTAAGGCAGGAGGATCACTTGAGCCCAGCAAGTTGAGGCTGCAGTGAGCCGTGATCGCACCACTGCACTTTAGCCTGGGTGACACAGTAAGACCCTATCTCAGGAAAAAAATTTTTTCAAAATATTCAGCATGTATTCGTGACCAGCCTGGGCAACATATGAGACCCCTTCTCTACAAGAAAAAATAAAATTAAACAAACAAGATTCAACATGTACCTGCCTTGTTTTTGTAAACTATAAATACATGTCTGTAATTTGTTTCTTTCCGCACAGACCAGTCTCTTAAAATTACTATCCAGAAAGAGATCTTTCTGAAGAAAAGAAAAAGAATTTCAAATGAATCTTCTAATCCTTCATATGTTTTTCTACAACTAGTCCTAACTTTTTTAACCCTTTTAGTTTTATTTTGAAATAAAATGAGTAATTGGCATTTAGAGTCCTTGCTGAATAAAACTTCATGCCTTTGTGTATCTCTGAGAAGCAGACAACAATCTGATGGAGAAAGTAAAAGCCATCGGCTCCTCATTAACTTGAGTTGCAGGCTTATTATTGTGCGAGGCACTCTTTGACATTTACAGTCTTCAAGTTAAACCCTGGTTTTAACTTTTTCTTTTCCTGAGCATTTTGTTTGATAGTATAATGTTTTCTGATGCTTTATCTACAAATCCTTGGTTAATGTCTTCTTGTTTAAAAAGATGTGCATATTTTTTATGGAAAATTTTGAAAATATCAATACCCCAAAAAGAAGAAAGTAAATAACTGACAGTGCTACTACCTAGAGATAACCATCAGCAAATTGCGAAGTGGCACCTGACACAAATTCTAGACAGCTCAGAGTATTATTATCTTATAGGTCTTCAGTTTGATAGACAAAGCATATAATCTTAGTTATATTTCTGTGTCTTAAAAGATGGAAGTTTTTCATGTTTGTTGGTCATTCTTATTTCTTCTGTAAATTGTTTTTTCATAGATTTTTGTTATCAATTTTTGAGGGCCCTAAATATATAAACTGTATTAGCCCTTTGTTATGTATAATGTTAAGTTCTTTGTGTTTTAACCTGCCGTTCATTTCCAGAGTTTATGTGAATTGAATTGAACTATGGTTTTATGTTACTGTCAGTAGAATGAAGTACGAATATTTGAAAAATACACCTTCAACTTCAAAGTGATTCTTGACAAAAATTATAAGGAATCATTTTGGACACATTTTCTGGTAGAGCCTTGTAAAAATTAAAACCAAGTGTTGTTTTCAAGAAGAACTGTAATACATAATCAGGAATTTGAGTAGGGAGATTATTTTGTTATTTAAAATTAAAGTGGCTGTGTAGTTTTAACTTTAGTATTGCAGGTAGAGTAAGCTTACATGATAACAAAAATCTTGGTCTTAGTGACTTAATGATTCTGATATTTATTGATTGATTGGTTATCATTCCAAATATTTTAAAAGATAATAGCTGGCTGGGTGCGGTGGCTCATGCCTGTAATCCCAGCACTTTGGGAGGCCAGGACGGGCGGATCACGAGGTCAGGAGATCAAGACCATCCTGGCTAACACGGTGAAACCCCGTCTCTACTAAAAATACAAAAAAATTAGCCGGGTGTAGTGGCGGGCACCTGTAGTCCCAGCTACTCAGGAGGCTGAGGCAGGAGAATGGCATGAACCTGGGAGGCGGAGCTTGCAGTGAGCTGAGATCGTGCCACTGCACTCCAGCCTGGGCGACAGAGCGAGACTCTTTCTCAAAAAAAAAAAAAGATAGTAGCTAAAACTACCCAGATTTGTTCACCATAGTATGTCTCCCTTTCTAAATTGTTAATAACTCCCTTAAATATACTGCCTTTTAAAATGTTTTGTTTAACATTATCATTATACAGTAAATTTTTCCTATCCTTTGCAAATGTGAATTTAAAGGAATTTTGCACTTTTGGAATTTATTCTTTTTTAGGTTTGAGTATTTTGATGTTATATAATCTAGTATATAAGCCCTGAGAGAGAGATTTCTGCTGATGTTTTATGCCTAATGAGAATAAGCAAATATATTGAAAACTCATATTCACAAGAATATACTCCCTAGTTAATGATTCCATTATAACTCTGTTAAACCAGTTTTCAAAGGACTCTTAGAAAACTTAGGTTGAATATAGACTGTACCCATAGGTAAATAATATTTAGAAATATGAAGATCATGAATCTTATTGTATTGGTTTAAGGAGTAGTGGTTCCTCTAACTTCCTGATTGTTCCATTCCCCAATTTATATGAATGCTAAAAAGCTGCTCTAGCTACAAGCTTTATAGGTGCAAAGAAGAAAAGAAATTTGAAGTAAAATTTAAATTTATTCAGGCAAAAACAGACTTTTGCTTTGACAGAGTACCTAAAATCATGTCTAAGGCCACATTCAAGAAAAGAAAACAACAATAAAGGATAAATTAGCCATCGAAATAATTTAAATTAGAGCAGTGATGACTGAGGGAGATAGGAAGGTCAAGCTGGGTGTCATATTAACAGATTTAGACTTTTGACATTATCTCCACATGCCATTATATGTATAGTCAAAGAGATGACTGGCAAGCTTGAAAGAAGATGATTTTCATTGTAAAGCTGGACATGTGTTCCATTACTAGACCACCTCAATTACACACGATAGATACATTTTAAAATATCCACATCATAAGTTCGTGGATAGTACAGTTATATTGCATTGTATTTGTCTGTTTTGAGTATTAATTTGTTAAATGTAAATGTTTAAGTTATACCAGAATTTCCCCATTTTGAGTTTCTCTGTTTTTTATGTAGAGTAAGAACCCATCCAAATAAAACTACCCTGGCATTCGTTAACCTCCGAGAAACCCTGAACTCTCCAGTCCACTCTGTGTGAAGTTTAAAAATGTATGATTTTGGCTCAGCGCAGTGGCTCACGCCTGTAATCCCAGCACTTTGGGAGGCTGAGATGGGTGGATCACGAGGTCAGGAGATCAAGACCATCCTGGCTAACACGGTGAAACCCCGTCTCTATTAAAAATATAAAAAAATGAGCCGGGCGTAGTGGCAGGTGCCTGTAGTCCCAGCTACTCTGGAGGCTGAGGCAGGAGAATGGCGTGAACCTGGGAGGCAGAGCTTGCAGTGAGCTGAGATTGCACCACTGCACTCCAGCCTGGGCGACAGAGCGAGACTCCATCTCAAAAAAAAAAAAAAAAATTATGATTCTGTTGTTATATGTCTCTTTCTGAGGACAGTGTGTCCTGGATGGTTATAGTCTCATTGAAGACAGAAGTGGTCTTACTCAGCTCTGTATCCTCAGTATGTAGTGATTAACACAGTGCTGAGCATGTAGTGGGTGCTTAGATGTTTCCATGACCAGATTAAACCCTTTTTTTGGTTTTTCATTTCTTAGTTATTTGAAGTGTTCTTTAGAGGAATACTTGAAGAATTGTTTTGAGGGAAAAAAAATCTCTTTGGGAAATTTCTTGCCCTGCGTTAGAGAATCAGATATTCTTTTACTAACATAATTTATTTAACATAAATATTATATTTATTCCAAATGTAATGATCCAAAACATTTTATGATCTTTACAGCTGCAGTGAGAAGAGGAGTTTGTTACTTTAAACAGAGGCTGAAGAAACTATAGAATTAGCAGAGAAAGTGGAGAAGGTAGAGGATGGAGTTGCAGACTCTACAGGAGGCTCTTAAAGTGGAAATTCAGGTTCACCAGGTAAGTTGTATTATTGGCTTCTCCCACACTGTTGTTAAGTAATGGCTAAGATTAGTAAACAAGTCCATCTCTGGTGTTTAGTATAGTTTTTAATAATCTTTAAGACAATTTTGTCCAAGAGTCATGTCGTTTGCCTTTTACCACTACTCGACAAAGTCATAGATACTGCTTTTAAGAACTTAAAGTATTCCTGACTTCCTTTCTAGAGAAAAGAACTGAAAAGATTTTTTTCATATACCAAAGGTGTTAACAAAAAAGAAAGAAATCTTTTTTCTGCTTTTTGGTTCATCTGAAGGACTTTATTCATGTGATTTAACTTGCATGTTTTAAATAACAACATGTCTAACTCAACTACCATATGTACTAAAGTTTTTACAGATCATATGACTCAGCTTTATGCGTTGATTCCAATCTTAAAGAAAATGTGATTATCTTCACAGATGTTTAAATTTCAGATTTCACAATTCTTATATTTTACAAAAAGCTATCTTTATATAATTACATAATTAAAATTTGTTATGTAAACAGAGTACCACTGTTTTATATCTTTCTAGACTTTAGCTGGACATCAGGCGGAAGACACACATACACATGCATGTATCTAATCCTTGGTACTCAAAAGTGATAAAGGATGATGCATTGACTACTTTTGAATTTGTAACAATTGGGGATATGGGAGCGGAGAGAAGGATAAGTAAAACTACTTTCTAAAGATGTTTGTTCTTAGGTATAGTTTCCTTTGTTTATCTGAGTAGTCTGAGGTAACATTAACTTTTGAAATCGTTGGGAGAATATCTTGGGCCTTTGGTAACTACTAGATTTGCACATTGCTCAGAATTAGTGTGGGTGAGAACTTAAAGGAAGCTTCAAAAGCACCTGTTCAGAAATCCCTGCTGCTGCTCCGGATCTCGTTAAACTCTTGTTCCGCTGCAGAGTTGGCCCTATGCACGTGGGCTTCTTTAAGTAGGTAATAAGCTGTGTACTTTTTTTTTTTTTTAACTTTGCTTCTGTTACTAATTGAGGAGAGCAGAAATTTGTTACAAAAACAAGCTCGTCTTTTTCTGAGTGAAATTAGTTTAACATAGAGGTGTGTTGAATACCCAGTTTGGCTGAATGGCAAGTGATAAAAATTAAATTCACATTTTATTCAAAGCTGACATCATCATAGAATGAATTTTGGGAGTACAGTAATCAATCTGAAATTTGTGTGGATCAAGGATAATTTTATGATGTTGTGTGTGATTTTTGGAGTTTTTCCTCCTCTGAAGAAGTATTGAGATGGCAAAGTTAACATTCTGCTTTAGTTCCTCTTCACAAGATATGAGCAAATCCCAAATAATCCTTTCTTGAAAGGCTCATGACCTAAATTAATTGAAGTTAATTACTAAATATTTTGTTTCATATTCTGAATTCAAGCATACCAATTTTATAAACATCACAATTATGAAAATACTTAATATTTATTATTCTATTTTAAATCTAATTAAAATTTTAAATTTACATTTGTTGACTCAAAAGGGATATAGTTCTTAAAGTTATTCTAAACACTCTCTTACTATTCATATTAACTGTCAGCTTTGAGCATAAAATTAATAGCTTTTATATTCATCCTTTATACAACATTTTGCTTGTGTGATTATAAACATTTATTTATATGTCAATAATATTTTAACAGAGAAAGCATATATTTCACTCCAGTTATATCTGTAATACTTTACTATTTTTGAAAAAATAATTTATATGGTGTCACCTACACGATTGTTGATCATGACAAATTGAGGCATGCCAGAAATGACATCAAGGTAGGGGTGTTGGTTACTAGGCTGAGACCAAAGCCAGAACATACATTTGACGAAATAGTGGGACAAAAGCCACGCTTTGTTGCATTTCCAGTTAGGGAATGAGATTAGGGCTGAAATTGAGCTTACTGGATAGAAAATGTGTTCTGAAACTATCTGGTATTGTGGAGTGAAAACATATTTTTGTTCTTTGTGTTTTCTTTATGAATGGTGAGATAGTTATGAAAGTAGCAATGTACACATAGTTGATGTTCAGTAAATATTTAAATAATAATGTCCTGTGATGGACATCTCATCTTTTTGGGGAAATTGCCTTTTTTCCTCCTCCCTTTTTTGATCTTATTTAGATTTGATGGAAGTCACATTTAAATTTTCAGGGTATTTACTCCATATGGAATGGAGAATAGTATAAAGCAGAAGTTAGCAAATTTTTTTGTAAAGGGACACACAGTAAAATATTTCTGGCTTTGTGGGTAATTTATGGTTTCTGTCACAACTACTCTGCTCTGCTGTTGCACAGAGAAAACAGCCACGGACAATATATAAATGAATGAGTATGGCTTTTTTCCATAAAACTTTATTTGCAAAAACAGGTGGTGGGCCAGATTTGGCCTATGGGTTGTTTTGCTTACCTTTGGCATGAAGTATATCCTCAAGAAATATTGCCGCATTCTGGCGGAAAGTAACCTAACTTTGTTAACACAATGTCAGCTTAAAGTTACTAGGGATTTGGATGGTCCAGTAAGTTGGCCAGCTCGTCCTGTCCTACCCCTGATTGTCTGAAATGCAGTTTAACTGCTTACAGATAGAAAAATTGGCTTATTTATTTCCTCTAGAGGTGAAGACTTCATGTGGTTATCAGTGAATTTTTAAATTCCAGTGTCTGGAAGAAAACCTTTTTCAGCTTCTAAAACGTTACAGCGTAGTAGCCAACCCTCTGGTAACCAAATCAAAAAGGAAAATCAAGAGCTTTTTTCATTGAAGACTGTGGCTAGCATTAATGTAAAAATGTATGTGTATAAAACCTTGTGTTTCAGTCCCCTTTAAACTCTTGGAATATGTATTGTTTCTATTTTGTAGGTTAAGACTAGGATATAGAAGAGCTACTACCATTAAGTATGAAGTCATATAGTGACACATACCTTGTGTATTTGGAGGTCCCATGGTTGGCAACTTCAGTTATCTAAAATGTGTCTTAGCATCAGGGAGAAAGACTTTTGATTAATTAGAATAAATGTCTGAAGTGATACACCAAAGATTATACATTTTACTAAAGGAGGGTTTCTTAGATTATTACAACCTATTCACTCGTCTTTTTAAAATTAGTCCAGTGAGCGTACCACACAGCAGGTCTGAAACAGCAAATTTGAGCTGGGTTTCAGGGTTGTTAGAATAGTAGCAAGAGCTGCGCATGGTGGCTTACGCCTGTAATCTCAGCTACTCTGGAGGCTGAGGTGGGAGGATTGCTTGAGGTCAGGATTTTGAGATCAGCCTGGATAACATAGTGAGACCTCATCTCTTAAAAAAAAAAAAATGCTGGATATGGTGGTGTGCACCTGTAGTCCCAACTACTTAGGAGGCTAAGGTGGGAAGATTGCTGAAGCCCAGGAGTTGGAGGCTGCAGTGAGCTATGATTGTGCCACTGCACTCCAGCCTGGGTGACAGAACAAGACCCCATCTTTAAAAAACAAAAAACAAAAAAAGAATAGTAGCAAAATGTGCTGGCTGACTACTTGACGTTAAGGAGTGGACTGGAAAACTACAATGTGGATTTAAGAACTTTAACACATAGTAGTTTGGGACCTTTTTTGTAAGGAACCTATTGTTTATAGTTTAGTATATTAATATAATCATTCCTCTAAGTATCAATAAAAGCTTGATTTTTAAATTTTTTTTCTTCTTTTTAAGAAGTTAGGGCGGGTGGCTCACACCTTAATCTCAGCACTTTGGGAGGCTGAGGCGGGAGGATTCCTTGAGCCTAGGAGTTCAAGACCAGCCTGGGCAACATAACAAGACCCTGTCTCTACAAAAAATTAAAAAATTAACCAGGTGTGCTGGTGTGCACCTGGGGTCCTAGCCACTCGGGAGGCTGAGGTGGAAGGATAACTTAAGCCCAGGAGGTTAAGGCTGCAGTGAGCCATGATCACACCACTGTACTCCAGCCTAGGTGACAGAGCAAGACCCTGTCTCAAAAAAAAACTAGTAGTTAGATAAATATATAGTATATTTTAGAAAGGTTTTATTTTACAACTAAACAATTTAAAAGTGCCTTGTCACCAAAAGAGAGTGACAAATTTTTCCATTAGATGAAAAATTGACTTGGGTAATAGCTTATTCCCAGATACTTTAGGACTTCTGATGTTCCTTTATCCTTCATATTCTTCTGTCTATGGTTATTGTTAACTTTGGGCAGCGATGTCTTTAGAAGTTGGGTTAGGTCAAAAGACATTCATTTTTCTTCCTTTCCTTTCCTTTCTTTTCCTTTCCTTTCCTCTTTCCTTTCCTTTCCTTTCCTCTTTCCTTTCCTTTCCTTTCCATTTGTTTGGGCTTCTGTTTTCCCTAGTAAAGATCTTTTCCATTCAGTATTGGGTAGCACTCTTTCCCAGAGGAATCGAGTTAGATAGAGTTTTGTATTGTTCCTGCACTTCCTTGTTCTCAAAAACTGAGCATCACTGCCCCACTGAACTTATCCTCCCCTGCACCGAACTCCTTCTTGAGAGAAGACAGTGGCAAAGTCACATGGGACACTAAGCTCCTTCTGTGGTAAGAAACAAACCAATAGACCTGCCAAATCTGTACTTTGCTCTGTGTATGAACAGGCCGGTTTTGTGTGGGGCCAGCTTCTTTCCAGGCCTTGTTTGGGACTCTAGACATTGACAACATTTGAAAGGGATGCTTGGCTTTTGGAGCATCCAGCTTGCTTAAATTCCTTTCGGAAGCCACTGTCACCCGTCTCTGTCCAGATTTAAAAATCAGGCACTTTTTCATTTCAAATATAAAGTGGTGGTTTGATTTTTTTATTAAAGGAAGTGTCTCCTGAGCCTATTACATGGATCACAGAAGGTTTTAGTCTGTTCTGATTGTGGTGTTGCTCTTTTTTTTGTGTTAACTTAAAATCCTAGATTTTTTGGTCCAAACCTGATTAGCCATAGGGAGTTAATATGTAAGACTGATGGCTCTTTTTCTCTCTTTATTACCAGAAACTGGTTGCTCAAATGAAGCAGGATCCACAGGTAAAACTACTATTGTTATTCATTTAATTGTTAAATTTAAAAATAATTTAAAATAAAATCACCATAAAATACTTAAATATAGATGGTACTTAACTTTTAAGAATTATTTCATTTCTAATAGCAATTATTTTTAATACATTGATCTTCAGGTTATAAGGGTTTAGAAAAATTCATTCTATTTTAATATAGCTATTATTTCATCTTTGTTACTATTATTTTGGTGTCATATTAATTGGTTTGAGTATTTTAGAGAAAAATATTGAGTTAATACTTGTCATATAGCTTAAATTCATTTCCATGAACCCACTTATTCAAAATCAGAGTTTTTGAGGCTTTCTGTCATCCCAATATTATGAAAAGAGACCCCAAACCATTTTTATTTACTTGGAGTTTATATTATAGAACATTTGAATAGTACTGAATTCTCCATGTTCAGGGTAAGAATTTTAGAGTATTTTTTAAAAGAAGCATTTTAGAAAATTTTATTTTTGAAAGAACCCTTAAAGGAGGGTTAAAAAGTACCTTATGTTACTTTCTAACAGAAAAATTAACAGAGAATGTTAACTTTTCTTTAAATTCTCATAGGCATTTTTCACTTAGGCATTTTATTCTCTATTTCTGAAGAGATGTTTTCCTAAAAACTTACCTTGTCTTCTGATAATTATATTTATTATTGGGCATTGTCTCTTTTGTAACCATTAGATACTAGGTCATAAGTATGGAGAGTGTTTATCAAATATCAAATATATCTTTATCTATATCTATATCTATATCTGGGTTGATAAACAGTACATACAGGCTTCACTGTAAAGTAAAATCAAGTTTTTGATTGAAGAATGGTACTGAGGCACATTGATTTTTGGAAGTAAAAAAATAACACTTATCTCTACAAATTGAGAACTCAGGTCTAACTATTGTGTTTTGACTCTGAGAGCTGGCATTGGTAGCCCGTACTTATTCCTTTTGAATGATCCTACTTCCGTGAGAAACTTCTCCTTTTTTTTCTTCTTTTTTTTGGTATAGTCACAATTTAAATTGGATTTAGATACAAAAATTAGCCAGGCATGGTGATGGGTGCCTTGTAAGGCCAGCTACTCAGGAGGCTGAGGCAGGAGAATCACTTGAACCTGGGAGGCAGAGGTTGCAGTGAGCCAAGATCTTGTCACTGCACTCCAGCCTGGACGACAGAGTGAGACTGCATCTCAAAATAAATAAATAAATAATAAATTAGATTTAGGGAACCAAGAGGTGGTAGACTTTAGATTAACAGGTCCTTTCCTATTTAATGTGGTAAACTACATTATCAGCAACTGTGAAATGTTACTAGAAACTATCATTTCTGTTATAGTTGGTGATCATGTAACAGAATTGTCTTAACCTGAAGAATCTGAGGTAGGCAGGACAGTAACTTGTTGGACAACAGGTGTGGGTGATCTCATTGGAGAAGCCTTATGTCAAATACACTAATAAAAAAGTCCACATGGAGTAAACCAAATTTAATAGACGAGGAAGATGTGTTCCCTAACCCTGACAGAAGACCAAGCAGGGTAAATTGAAAGAATTGTATGTGAGACAAATCAAGTAAAAGCAGTCTCTCATTAGGGTGGTGTTCAGTCTGCTAGTAGGCTGTCCTGCTACATTAAGCATTTGAAAACTTTAATTTTGGAATTTTTTGCCTACTTTAGTAAAAGGCAATCATGCTCTGTGTATCTCATCTAAAATAGTATTCTTTTTTTGATTCCTAGAATTTTAGAACTGAGAAAATGCCCTGGTAGTCAGTGTGTTAATTTGAATGATGTAGTGTTAAGGCAGTTGCAGTACTGACAGCTTTTCAGATCTAGGCTAAAATAACAAATGTACTTTGCTAAATAAGGGAGAGGGCAAGTGGAGAAAACCTCTTATCTTTGTTGATAATGCTGTAAAGCATGTAGTGTGTGCATACTTATAACCTCCATTTTCCTACTTTTGTGTGATTAGTGGAGCTTTGGGTTTTCTGTCAATGGATACTTTCTATAAAGAATAAGAATATTTTAGTGGACAGGTACTCTTACCGTACAAGATGCTCAAATATAAAACTTCATGTAATTTAAAACAGTTGCAGAGGAGCTGCTCCTGTTTTGGTGCAAGGAGCCTGTATTTAGGATCTGTGCATTAGGTGATGGTATTATGGCCACAGTGTAATGCATGACAGATTTGATTGGCTAAATGCTTCGGGTTGCTTCATCATTTGTAATGCAGTATGCATAGTCTTCCTGCTACTATTCTGTTAACAAATGAAATATCTTTCTCACAGATATTTTTTCTTTCCAATCAGAATGCTGACTTAAAGAAACAGCTTCATGAACTCCAAGCCAAAATCACAGCTTTGAGTGAGAAACAGGTAGGGGAAAAGGGGAGGGGGGCATATTTTTAACGTTGTGTTCTAAAGATATGTCTGCTCGAGGCTTCTAAGAGAACTGCTATTTTTCCTCATGTGTGAAAATAAGTGTGGGCAGCCAGACTTGGTTTTAATTTTGTTTGAGCTCTGTTTATCTATTTTTATTTTTGGTTGAAATCAGTCTCTAGAGTATCCCATGGTTATATGTTACTGGCAAATACCTAAAAGCAATGTGGCAGGCTGCCGTTAACTGTGTTAATTAAACTCTATAGTTTACCTATAGGGGATGGGGTAAAGGCAGTTAGTGAGAATAGGTGATAGAGAATCTTGTAGGTGCTGCGTGTACCTTGTTACCTGTCTTAAAGCCTTGAGCTGACATTAAACTTACTGTGGAGAGAATCTTCTTGTAAGTAGATTGCTCTAAATGTAGGTTTCCCATTCTAAGTATGGTCATGCCTTTATGTTAATCTCTATTAGATATTGACCTACTATTACGTGAAAAAACTTCGGTGAAATGTTATTAGACTTATTCTATATAGGGCAGGAGAAGAACATCTTGCTTTTTTCCAAGGACACCTGGAAAATATTCTTTGGAATTTTTTGTATGATGACCTCCACTTTACCAATTCAGGCAGTGCCTGCCACCAGGTGGAGTGTGGCAATTGATAGAGCTATAAGTAAATGTTTATGGTAATCCCACAAAGCATTTGTTTTCTTGTTTCTTCCCCACCACTCTCCCTCTGGTTAGAAAGAGTGGTTTTCTGTCTTGGAGTAGGTGAATATATTAATCAAAAGAATAAGGTGATTTGCAGTTGATATTTCATGCCAGTGACATTTTATTGAGGATTTTTGACTAAATAGTTCTCAATAACTGATTTTTATGTTGTTACTTAATGTTATTTAGTGAAATAATAACAATGAGAATAATTCATTTCTGGAGATTTTTTATTGTGTTTCTATTGTGTTTTCATTTAACTGAGGGGAGAAATAAACTTTGAGAATTATGTGGAAGAGATATGAATCATTAATGTTTCAGAATAGAATCATCTTCCAAGCTGAGTGAACAACTGCTTTATATTCTTCCCTCCTATTCTTATGCGTCCCCATCTTGTCTTCTCCACAGACAGGAGGTATTTTAGATTAGGGAATTGCCAAACTAAAATTGGGAGGAGGTGGGATGGTGGAGAACAATTTGTAAGAAAAAATATAAACAGAGTCGGTTAGTATGTATTTGGCTCTGAATGTGATTCAGTTCTCTAAAGTCAACATGATGTGTGTTAGTGAAAGTGTTCTAGCTTTAGAATTCTGTTAGCGCTGAGCCTCCTTATAGTTTCAGGGTTAGTTTGACAAGACGCCAATGAATGAGTCACATTTGCTGAAAAATTCACGTGTTCCAGCAGGGGAAGAAGGTGAGAACTGATTAGTGGAGTAGGGGTTGGGGGATGCTGTTGCAAAGTTAAGATAACTTAAGACTACATTTGGGGAAAGTGGGACAATTTTTGGAAATTTACATCTACTCGAAATTTTTGTTTGTGAGAACTAACATAGATTTGGTTTATTTGTAACTTTTTATTCTTTAATCTTTTTTCTGTTAGGGACCTTACTGAATAGAAAATTGCAACTATCTATGTTAAGACATTTCATCAAGTGGCAAGCTCTAATTGTTCTCTGAACTAAGTTTGCATTTCAGAAACTGGAATTTTAAAAAATGTCTAACATCAGGAAAACTTTAGGTATACAAAGTAAGTAAAACTAGAGTTAGAAACTGAAATCCAGTCCTGCAATTTTTATATTTCCTTAACTGTTAAAACAACCTTCTTGATGGAACAGAAAAATATCATTTTTAGGTAGGCTAATACTTGAAGGAAGCACAGCTGTAAAGTTCAAAAGCTCATCCGTCCTCAGACTTATTTTCAACATGTGATATTACTCTTTAGTTTAGAATAGTTTTATTGGCCAGGCACGGTGGCTCACGCCTGTAATCCCAGCACTTTGGGAGGCCAAGGTGGGTGGATCACCTGAGGTCAGGGGTTCGAGACTAGCCTGGCCAACGTGGCAAAACCCCGTCTCTACTAAAAATACAAAAATTAACCGGGTGTAGTGGCACATGCCAGTAGTCCCAGCTACTTGGGAGGCTGAGGCAGGAGAATTGCTTGAACCCAGGAGGTGGAGGTTGCAGTGAGCCAAGACCATGCCACTGCACTCCAGCCTGGGCGACAGAGCAAGACTCCATCTCAAAAAAATAAAATAGTTTTATTTTAGAACAGTTTCCTAATGCTATATGCCTTCCCCCCTCCCGCCAAAAGAGCCACTTATCCTCTGGCAGAACCTAACCAATTTTCCTTCCACTTTAATAACTAAAATCTGAATTACCTTATCCGTATGACTGATATTTTAAGTTAACATTAATTTTTTGTTAGAAAAATTTAAAATACAGAAAAGTTTGAAGAATAATGTCATATTTCACACTTAACCCTTTGTCATATTTGCTTCTATTCTTTTTCTTTGTGCATTTTTCTGTAATCATTTTTTTCAATATTTATTAGAAAACTTTAATTATACAAATAATGGACTCATATATTCTCTTCTTTTGTTTTATTAAAAAAAGTTGCATCTGACAACTTTTTTTTTTTTTGCATCTGACAAAACCATTGCAGATAGTCACTATTTCTTGCGGTAGACACTAGTTCTTATTCACTGTTGCCACTTCAATCTTTGATACTTACTCAGTTTCTCCCTTAAAACTATGTAATCGTATGCTCCATTTGGGAAAATACAGCCTTTAGTGAGCATCCTTCATGACTAAAACTCAGTGAATTTCACTGAATTCTTGGTTGGAAGGGTCTAGTGCTTTTAAAGTGTAACTTGAGATTTCTGAAAGAAACTCTGGCAGATTTCAAAGTCAGCTTCTTGACCTGCAGGGCTTCAATTTGTGGCTGACAGTTTTAACTCAGAAAATCCCTGACTTGATTGGCTACATAAATTATATGTTATATAGCCATTAAGATCATGGTTTTGGAAAGTATTTTAATGATACAGGAATGTGCTCTGAAATAATAAGTGAGAGTATACACAACTTTATGTGCATTACAGTCCCATTTTTATGTTTATTTTGTGTATATATGTATGTGGGCGTGTAAACGTATGCAAAAACAGTGTCAGTATAAAATATTGGAAGGTGGTTAAGTTTACAGGTGGTTTATTTTTTCTGTATACTCTTATGTATATTTTCTAAATGCTCCACAATAAATTACGTTTCGCTTTTAGGATCAGAAATAGACAAGAAATAAGATTTAAAAAATTTTTTTAACATCAAGCTCTTGTCTGTTTCAGGCATAGTTCACATTTAAAAATCTAATGACATTCTTCTCATGGTATTAAATATATGAACCACTCTAATCAGAGAATCCAACTTTTTTTTTTTTTTTTGAGACGGGGTCTCGCTTTGTTGCCCAGGCTGGAGTGCAGTGGCGCTGTCTTGGCTCACTGCAAGCTCCGCCTCCTGGGTTCACGCCATTCTCCCACTTCAGCCTCCCAAGTAGCTGGGACTACAGGCGCCCGCCACCACGCCTGGCCAATTTTTTGTATTTTTAGTAGAGACCGGGTTTCATCATGTTAGCCAGGATGGTCTAGATCTCCTGACCTTGTGATCCTCCCACCTCGGCCTCCCAAAGTGCTGGGATTACAGGCGTGATGTAATGCTGAAGTGTGGAAGCAACTATTAATTTATTTAACAGGATTCACTCTCATTCTCACTCCCCACACCCTGATTTTTTGATAGGCATATGTGATCTTTTATGGAGATATTCTGATATGGAGCCAAAGCACTTAGTTGCTCTAGTTCTCTGCTTTCATTTTGCTTTCTTGTAGAGGCAATCTTAACATTCCGAAGTTTGTTGCTTGTTACTGTGGTGCTTCAGGGTTAAGCCATCGTGGTTGCAGCTTCGGTTTCCCCAGCCTGAACAGTTTGCTGCCCTATCTCCCTTTACCTGGTGGCCTCCTGGTGAGGTTTCATGTCATAGCTTAAATGTCACTTCCTCAGAGGAGCTATCCCTGACACTCCTTCCACTAGTCAAAATCAACTGTTTCTATTATTATCTCACATTGAACCATACTTTTCCTTCATAGTTATTCCATTTAGACATTCAGTTGTGAATGACTGAAAACCCAAAATGAAAGTAATGTAAACAGGGAAAACTTAATTTCTGTCTCATCTAAAAGTTCTATAGGTCCCCCTAGGGCTAGGGCTGCTGAGAGTGGTTCCACGATGTCAGGGAACCCAGGTTCCTCCTATTCTGTTGCTCTGCCATTCTCAGCATGCAGCTTTCACATCATAGTCCAAAATAGCTGCTCCATCTGGTAAGAAGGGGGAGAAGCAACAAAGAGCAAGCCCTTTATTTTTTAAGGATGTTTACTAGAAGTTGCATGCACCACTTCCAGTTAGATCCCATGGGCCTGAACTTAGTCATGTGGCCCCTGCTAGGAGCAAGGAAGTCTGGAAAATGTAGGTAGTTTATTGCTGGTAGTCATGGCCAGATAAAATTCAAGGACTATTACTGAGTAAGAATTGGGAAATAAATACTGGGAATAATTAGCATTTTCTATTACAGTAGCATATCTGTATCTGTAGGATTACTATTTTTTAAATATCTGTCTTCCTTATTAGATTGTTAGTTTCAGGAAGTCAGGGAACGTGTTTGTTTTATTTGCTTTTTTATTCCTAGTATAATATTTAGTATAATATTTAACATAGAATATTAACACAGAAGAGGCACTTATATTCTTTAAATGAATTATTTTATCCACCCGATCTTTTGCTCTGCTTATATTGTAATTTTTTTATAGAACGGTGTGTCTTGCTTTTTATGCTTTTTAAACTAACTTATGAAAATCTTCTTAGATTTTTGAGTGTTCTTTGAGAACATGATTTTTAACAGCTTTAAATATTAGCATAATTGGCTATATCATGATTTTTTAAAACTATTCTTCTCTTGATGATAGGGTGTTTCCAGTTTTTTTTTTTGGCTATTATCAATATTGCTTTGATAGATATACCCTTTTATATGAATGCGTGTTTCTCTCTGATGGTCTTAGGAGAAATTCCTAGATGTGTGATGACTGGATGTGTTGGTCACCTATTACCCTAACAATTCTGCATCAGAAACTAGTGTTTTATTGAGTGGCTTTCAACACTGCCAGTACTTATACCTAACTGGTCAAAGATTTGATTATCTCTTTAAGAAAAATAAGCTTGATGAAGTAACTTACACTTTAATAATGTGCCATATTATTATAGGGCATTTTACCTAAGTGTTTATTTTCACACTAGGTCTGTAGGTCATCTGGGGTTCTCCTAATCTAGGCTGTACTTGGCCAGGCACCTCTGCTTCAGTTTGTGGGCTGGCTGAACTTGCCTTTCAGGCTGCAGGTTTGGTTAGGTCTACTCTAAATGTGTTTATTCTGAGGCCTTGCATGAAGGGACAGCAGCTACCTGGGGCGTATTCATTTTGTAGTTTACCTAAGAGCACAAGAAGCAGGCCAAACTACTAAAATAATTTTAAGACTCTGCTGGCATCAGGTTTGTTAACATCTCATTAGCCAAAAGAAGCCACATGGCCAAGCCTTGCAAAGTTATATGACAAAGGGTGTGAATGTATAATTTTAAAACAGAGAGGATATGGAAATTGAAAACAGTAATTCATCTACCGCACTTAGTCTAAAAGTATAAAAAAAACTTTTGCTACATCAAAAAAAATTTTTAACCATGTATCTCCAAATAACCCCCAGAAAAGGCTATATCACATTAATAGCATATATTGATAATAAGTGATTTTCCCCATGAGATACCCTGTCACAGGGGAAAAAAGCACTCTGCTAATTTGGAAGATGTATTGATATGCATTTGATGCTTATCAGGAAGTATATTTTTCAAAGAATTTGCCGTTTGTCCATGGCACAAGTCTATTGTAGTATTCCATAAATTATCTTTTGGTTTTAAATTTTGTTGTTCTTTCACACCTTCTTCTATTTCTTTTTACTCCTTTTTAGAGAGATAGACCCTTCTGTAGTCTTTGATCTTTTCTACAAGTTTCCTTCTCTGACTCTGTTTAAAAATTATAGTCACCAGGCTGGGTGCGGTGGCTCACGGCTGTAATCCCAGCATTTTGGTAGGCCAAGGTAGGCAGATCACCTGAGATCAGGAGTTCAAGACCAGCCTGGCCAACATGGCGAAACCCTGTCTCTACTAAAAATACAAAAATTAGCTGGGTGTGGTGGCGGGCACCTGTAGTACCAGCTGCTCAGGAGGCTGAGGCGGGAGAATTGCTTGAACCCTGGAGGCAGAGGCTGCAGGGAGCCAAGATGGTGCCACTGCACTCCAGCCTGGGCAACACAGTGAGACTCGTCTCAAAAAAAAAAAAATTATAGTCACCATTTCTTACAGATCTTTTCAATATAATATTAGATGAAATACTTTTCTGGGTTTAGTAAGTTCATCTTGCCGTTTATGGAATCATTCTCAATTTTAAATTTGAATATATTTTAATACAAGATTCTGAAGCTTTTGGGAAAGAAGTTTCTGTCCCTCCTATAACTAGTTATGTTTCTGATCTATAGGACAACATAATTTAAGCTAATTAGGTAACTGAAACAAAGGACTGGGTAGGGATGGGGGAACCAGAAGTTTGATTCTATTCCTGACTCTGTAATAGACTTGTTGATAGATTTTAATTATTGAATAACTTAATATGTCTCTTTCCATATTCGTGGAATGTTTGGATTATGCATTGAGGAGTTAATGCACGTGTATCCATTGAGTGCATGGAGTTCTTTTGTAGGTGAGTTCTGTTTAAAAGGAAATTGTTGGCTGTAGTCATGGTGGTTAACTTCATCTCATATGTAACACTTTCATCTTACGTGTAAAGTACTACTTTTCTAAGAAGCTTAGAACATTTAACATTTAACTCAATCACAAGTGCATCATTGTGATACATAAACTGAGATGTGGGCTTTATGACTTAACCATTATTGTATAATTTATCAGTATGAGATTCAATACTAGAATCCAGATTGCTGTACTCTTCATTCAGTTTTATTTAGTAACTGTAGACCTTTATCTATCAAATATTTTTTGAAATAGGACATTAGGCAAAATAATTACATTGCCTTTAGGCTTCATTACCTTGGAGTCAAATAAGTAAGTTAGATCCTATAGTCCTTGTGTTGGTTACCTGATATATGACTATCTCCAGCCTCTAATACCAGTTACTGTAAAATGTTACCCTCCGTGGTTCACAGCCAAACTAGTGTGACTGGCACATCACATTGGAATTTAAAATTATTGTCTTAGAAATCTTCTCATTGTGATGGAAACCTGACTTTATCCAGAGCCTAGGAATTTCCTAAGATTTAGTCTAGTTCATCCCTCCTGTGTAATATTTATGTAAAGCCATTGGTCCAATTGTTTGTTGAGTTTATTGCCACTTGTGTACATCAGAGGACATCAGCTCCTCGTTTTCATCAAATACAGGAAATGTAATATTTCAAATTTCTCCTGGTGAAATCCTATTGGCTTATATTCAGCCAAGATGAGATGAAGGAAAGGCTCAGAAATAACTGGCTGCAAGTATGAAAGTTCTGAAGATCGAGAGGTTGTATATATGTAGTGTGACTGTGGTTCCCAGTGCTGTATTATCTGCTCTCCTTTTTACCTGTCTTCTTGGAGTGTGATTGTGTCTGTTGCTGCTAGTTGTACCTAAGTGGTCAAAGATTTTACTATCTCTTTGAGAAAGAGATGCTTGATTGAGTAACTTATACTTTAATAACGTGCCACATTATTATAGGGCATTTTACCTGAGTATGGCAGAGGAAATCAAGTCAGTTGGTTACTTGTACCAGATGCATCAGTTTGCTGAGTTAAGGCAGAGCAATCCTCTTGTAAGTTTATCCTAATAACGTATTTTTGGTGCTGGCAAATGGAATGACTTTTAAAATTCAAATTGAATTTCTTAGCCCTTGTCATCAGGTGTTATATATGTTGACACTGGGCTACTAGAATCTACTGACTGGAATCTACTGTATTTTTTTTTTCCACTTTGCTCATCTATTGCTTAGCTGAGAGCAGTTGCTTCAAGCTATGAATATCAAATCAAAGGCCAAGTTTGTGGAATGTTTTTCAAGCCTGTGGTATCTGTCTTTTTTCTTTTGCATAGAACATATCTGTATTTCAGAATGTTTAGGGACTCTTCCACTCTTTGGAGAACGTTAATTTTTGAGTGATAGGCAGTGTGAATAACGAATGCTTTTTAGGAGCCAATATAACTGACACCACCTCTCTACTATATCATGTGCTTTCAAATAATGTGCATATATTATATATATGTATGCTTTCAAAAAATCCATTCCCATTTATTCCCTTTTCTCTAGGATCTGTGCTTTTCAGACTTCTTTATCATTCAGAGTCTGATTCATCTGTTTTATTCCACATATATTTATTGAGAGTTTACTCTGGTGAAAGGCATGATACTAGGCCCATGGAGGATGCAGAGAATGAAAATCTTGGCAGTGTTACTTCCATGTGACTGGTTATGACCTACAAGGCATTCAAGCTCATTAGCACTGATACCTTTAGCAACTCATTCTCATACATACCCCATAAATTCTCTGCTGTCACCTTTACTCCCTGGGCTCTCTCAAGACTGTGCCTTCTTCACACATCCTCTTCTCTACACCTGGAATTTTCTTACCTTTTTACCTGATTAATTCCTATGTATCCTTTGAAGACTCAGCTTAAGCAAGGTCTTCTATAAGCTTTTCTTGACTTCTTTCTACCTTCCAAGCAGAGTTAGACACTCCTCTTCTGTGTACTCATGGTACTTGGTACTTGTGCCTACTTTATTTGGCGCTCATTGTGGTACTTATTTGCACTCATCAAGTTGTATTGTAATTATTTGTAAGATCCTCACAGGCAAGGACTGTGTCTTGCTCACATTTGTACCCCTCAAGTCTAGAATGGTAGATGAGCAGCAAGTGTTTTTGAATGTTATTAATTCATTATGCCCTCAGAAAGCTGGTAAGGTGGCCAAGGATGTCCCTACCAAGGGTTCACCATCAAAAGAAAATTCCCATTTAAATGATTCAATTCAGTTTTTTTTTTTTTTGTGGGGGGTGGAATATTCTTATTATTATTTCCTACTTCAGTGTTTTAGGAGAGTTCAGTGCCATTATTAACTCTATTCCAATTTAGAGCAGCTTTATCTTAGTTTCAGAAAAGGACAGTTTTTATTAAGTGAAGTTGTATAAACTAGTAAATGAGTCTGGGGCCACCAGTTTGAAAACTTGATACATCTAGAAACAAGTCTCTTCTGCAATGTTACTACGTCACTTACCTCAGAAAACCCTTCATTTTCTCACTCATGCCCGCCTCCCCATTGAACTCATACATACCTTACCCTCTAGACTTTTCAGATACTTGTTATGCTGTGTCGTTTCTTCAACCTGGGATGTTTTTACCTGTCTTCTTTGCATAGTGCAAACCTAGGGTCACCTTATACCTTTCTTCCGGCAGACCCCCTTACAGGACAACATAGTACAGAAATCCCCACAAAAGAAAATTTGAAAACAAATGTGATTGAATCAAGGTGCATTAGTAAGTAATACATAAGTAAGTAATACATAAGGTGCATTAGTAAAGAATACATTAGCTATATATGCATATTATGGAATAACATGTAGCTGTTAAAAAATAATGAGGTGCTTAACTGAATGGAAAGATGAATAGAAAGTTAAAAAAGCAAATTGTAAAACAGACATACGGTATAATTCAGTATTAGTTTAAAATGCAAAATACTAAAAAACTGTGTTTGTATTTATGCATTCATGGTCATTTATACTTGAAAATGCATGGGAAAAAGTCTAGATTATCTAGAATTGTTTACACAGAACCATTCACAGTGATTGCCTCTAAGAAGTGAGGTTCAAGAGAGCTAGCACGTTTAACTTTATATATGCTTTTGTTATTTAAATTTATTTATTTTTATTTTGTTTGTTTATTATTTTTAGAGGCAAGGTCTTGCTCTGTCGCCCAAGCTGGTGTGCGGTGGTACAATCATAGCTCGCTGGAGTCTTGAACTCCTGGGCTCAAGTAATCCTACCACCTGAGCCTCCCAAGTGGCTGGGGCTACAGGCATGCACTGTCACGCCTGGCTAATTTATTTTTATTTTTTTAGAAACAGGTTCTCATTTTGTTGCCCAGGCTGGTCTTGAATTCCTGGCAAGTGATCCTTCTGACTCAGCCTTCCAGGTAACTGGGATTATAGGTTCAAGCCACAATGGCTGGCTGAATTTATTTTTTATAAGGAACACATATTAATTTTTAAAAACTGTTGAGGTATACCATACAGATAAATATCTAATATATATTTATATGTATGTACATATGGCTCAAATATATTATTACACACTGAAACCACTAGGTAACTAATACCTATATCAGTAATCAGAATATCACTGTCACAACATAAATCCCTTCGTCCTTCCCCAGTTCACTACCTCCTCTACCAGAGAAACTACCTTTGTTACCTCTAACAGCATAGACTAATGTTGCCTGTGTATCAAATAAAATAGAGCCTACTTTTTTCTGTCTGGCTTATTTTGTTCAACATGTTTATGAGACTATATCCCTTTCTTTTGAAGTAGTAAAAAACTTTTTACTTGGAAATAATTACAGATTCACAGGAAGCTGTCTTTTGAAATTTTAAATCACTAAAGAAAAAAAGTTTGTCATCTCTTGGATGTGCCCGCCCTAACATCTCATGGCATAGTCAGGTGGTTTCTCTTCTGTGAGCCAGTAGCTCCTTGCTCTGTGACTTTTGTGTAGCTCTTACCACATATCTTTTAACTATTTGTTTGTGTGTCATTTCTTCCTCTCTAGATTGTGAGCCTCTGTGAACTGTGATCCCTTCACCCTTATACACCCGCTTTATACCCTAGTGCTTCACACACAGTGGCGCTTAAACAACTTTTGTTAAAGAAAAGGAGTAAATTCTAGTCCTGGCTGTGCTAGTCACTGACAGGCTTTGTGTCCATTGAATTTCTCTGAGCTGGTTTCCTCAACTGTAATATAGATGTTATAATTGTATCAGTACAGATGCTTTTAGCTGTAGTTTAGTTGTAGTTAGAAAGTCCAACTAAAAGTGGCTAAGATAGTAAGTGAATTTATTGATTCAAATAAGGAGAATTTGCTAGAATTGCTCAGTTCAGCAGCTCAGCAACACTATCAGGACCCATATTCATTCTGGTCATCTTTCAGCACTGCCATGCTCAGCATGTCGGCAACCACTGCTGTTGTCATGGGATGGCTGCTGTGGTGCCAGGCTTTACATCTTCACACATCAACATCCTGGGGCAAAAAAGGACCATTTCTTATTAAATATCTCTTTTTATGATTATGGAAAACTTTAATTAGAAGCCTTTCAACAGACTTTGCATCTCATTGACCACAGTTCTGTCATATGCCAATGCCTAGTTCCTGGCAAGAAGGAGGAGTCCAAGACTGATTTGTGTCCTGGAGCTGGAGATTTTCTCCTTGAGCATTTGGAAGCTAGATACCTAAACAAAACTCTTTTTTGTTATCAGGGAAGAGAAAGGGTGGAGAAGAATGGATATTCAAGAAAGTTAACAATGTCTGTCTCTATAACACTTTCCTCTACTAATGTAAATTAAGGATAATGTATATCTAAAGGTATATGCATGCTGAAATACCATGAAGTTATAATACATCATTAGTGCTTGTTACTGGCTCTGTGGATTATTTTAGAAAAGTCTCCCTTTGCCACCCTAGCTAGCAGCCTGCTTTAGGGCTAGGAGTACAAAAATAATTTTACTCTTTGCCAAAGCAATACATTATTAGAAGGGTAAATCCATTACAGAAAATAATGTAATTTATTTCAAATGTGAATTATAAATTATTTTTTAATTTTTTGGTATTTAAAAATTGTCTATAAACTATCATTATCGTTGTTGATATTAATATGGTGTTTTGGATTTCTCCTTTTTAAAATGT
Organism: Homo sapiens; assembly: GCF_000001405.40. NCBI lineage: Eukaryota > Metazoa > Chordata > Mammalia > Primates > Hominidae > Homo > Homo sapiens. Next base: position 46,064,695 of record NC_000011.10, on the reverse strand, counting down.
TGAATATGTTAAATGACAGGCCAAATCATATATTCCTTCACTTCTTTTTTTCCCCAACAGATTAGGGTATAAGAACCAGACAGGAAAAAGAAGTTTACTCTTTAACTAGTATCTTTTTATGGTAGCTGGTTAGATGGGAGGCTGTCCTGCAAAATTATGTTTTCAGAAGATATGTTTCCCAAAGTTGATTTACTCCCAAGTTTAGGAAGCAAATGTTTGTGTGAATCAGCAGGGTTTGGCTAACCTCTCTCATCCTAGCTCTATCTGAAAAGGAGAGAGGGATTCTTAGTTTCTCTCAGTGAAGCACCAAACATTCCTTTGCTCTGAGAAATGAGGCCCTACAAGTTTTCAACTAATCTGTTCAGTTGTCACCTTTTCTCCTGCTCGCACCTCCATCGCCTTTTAAAAAACCCTCCCACTTTGCCCAAACAAATTGTATCATTTTGACCAAGAAGAATATTAAAGATAGAGATCAGTTCTGAACTTAATTTTCCCTATGAACAGTGAATGATTATTACTCATCTGCTTTTATCTAGTGCTTCTGTCATCTAATATAGGAATTGGGGAAAAAATTAACAACTCCTTTCCTGTGGAGTCAAGAAGCACAAATGAACTTACCCTGAAAAGTTCTGTTACCTGAAGGAAAATAATCAAGTGAAATTGGGGGAGGGTGTTAATCGACAGAACTTGAAATTTGTTTTTCTGAGTATGTGATTTTATTTATTAGAGATTCTAGAAGTTTGTCTTGAAGTTGAGACAAATTCACATAAGATTTTGAGTTAATCCACCAGTGCCTTTTAATTATAACATTTATAAACATCTGTCATAAAAACTGATTTCTGCTTATCCTATGATGTGGGTTCATCAGATGAAACAGTATTTGCAGGTTATCAAAAGTGCTGCCCCTAAGCCTCATCAGTTCCTGCTAATAGCTGATAAAATTATATATAACTCTTTAAATTTCTAGTATTCCTTTTTATAGCTTCCCTTCCCCTAGCTCTTACTTGCTTAATTATATACTTTATGGGTAAAGTGGTTTTAGCCATTACTTCAGGGTATCCTTCTGAAGAGAAATTGATTAGTTCTCCAAAAATGGAAAGACTAGTATGATTCTGTAGGGCAGGGATTGGTAAAACTATGGCTTGAACCTGGGCAAAATCTGTCCTGCCACCTGTTTTTGTAAAATTATTAGAACACAATCACACTCTTTACATTTACATATTCTCTATGACTGACTGCTTTTGTGCCACAATGACAGAGTTAAGTAGTCGTGACAAAGACAGTATGGCCTTACAGTAGTTACTATCTGGTTATTTTTAGAAAGTTTGCCAATCTTACTCTAGAGAAATTTAACCAGAGAGGCACTCAACTCAGAGATACTAGGCATCATGTAACAGCCTTGGGCAGGAGTGAGTGCTACACTGTATATAGACTGTATGTACACTGAAAACAGGGTATATGGTGTATACAGAATAGTAAGAGCTCCTTCTCTTATAAACATGCCAGCCCCCCCGGCGAATTCAATTCATTTTGAACACCTCATTTTTTTAGCCACTTTTATTTTTTATTCTCTTCGTCTCTATTCCTCTCCCCACTTCTCTCTTATAGGTTTATTGAGTCATAATTAATGTAAAATAAATGATACACCTTGAAAGAGTAATTTTTGATGGTGTGAAACCGTCATCACGATCAAGATGAGCATATGCATCACCTCTGAAGTGTTCTTGGTCGTCTCGCTCATCCTTCTGTCAATCCAGTCCCCAGGCAAACACTGGTCTGCTTTTTGTAACCCAGTTTTTAGCTGTTACAAATAACATTAATTTGAACATTCATGTCCAAGTCTTTGTGTGGAGATCTGCTTTCATTTCTCTTCAGTAAATGCCTTAGTATGTCTGGGTTGTATAGTAGGTGTGTTTTTAACTTTTTAAGAAACTGCCAAAATGTTTTCCAAAGTGATTGTACTATTTTACATTCCTTTCAGTAGTGTATGAGAGTTCTAGCTGCTCCACATTCTTAGCGCTTCAATCTTAAATATGAACATAGCCAAGAATCACTAGATATTTAAGGGAAGCTGCTAATGTGCAAGTCAGAACAGGCCAAGAGAATTGGAAGGGACCATTCAAAATAACTATAAATTTAGATCCCTAGATCCGTAAAAGAAGATATTGCATTAGTGAAACAAGGAGAGGATGCTAGAAATAAAGGAACAATTAGAAAACAGAAACAATTCTTGATTTAAAAAAAAAGGTTGGAAAACAAAATTGGAGTTGTTTCTCAATAAATAGATGGAAGAGACAAAGGGGGATAGACAGTAGAATAGAGAAAAATTTTAAGAGGGTCACCCAGAAAGTCTCATGCCTGGCTAATAAAAGTTCTGAGACAAGGGAACAGAGAAAATGGAGAAGAGAAAACCAGCCAATAACTAATATAAGGAAATGTCCCACAACCGAAGGGCATATAATTCCAGATTAATAGAATCCACTGAGTGCCTAAAACTGTGAATTAAAAAAACCCCACACCCTCATACCAAGGCACAACGTGGTGAAACTTTAGCAAAACAAGAATAAAAGATCCTAAAAGCTTCCTTAGAGGAAAAAAAAAAACAAAACAAAAAACAGTTGCAAACAGGGATTGGGAATCAGATGTCATCAGACTTCTCAGCAGCAACAAAGAAAGCTAGCAGTCATTGGAATGATGCTTTACAAATTCTGAAAAGCAGTGATTTCCAGTATAGAATTCTATACCCAACCCATCTCTTGATCAAGTCCGGGGATAGAATAGAGACATTTTAAGACATGCAAGGTCACAAAACTTACCTCCCATACATCTTTTTTGAGGAAGCTATTGGAGGAGGTTCTCCATCAAACGAGAAAGTGAACCAATAAAGATGAAGGCATTGGTTCCGAAAACAGGGAATTCAGTATCAAAGAAAATCCCATTTGATGAAGGGAAAAACTTAGATAATTGATGTACAACAGGTTTAGAAAACAGCCAGTTTAGGTTGGACAGGAGGATGGAGGACTTAGGAGAAACAAAGCTAAGAAAGTGGACCAATATATCATACAATGTGTTTTGAGCCATTATTGAGAGACATTGTATAGTTTCTTTGGAAAGTATGGGAAAGAATTAATTGTAGGAATATAGAAAACCAAGCAAATGACAAAGCAAGTCAATTTTAAGTTCCAGGAATAGCAAAATGTTGTACAAGAAGTATAGTTGTCTCACCAATTAATTAATGTTATTTATATAATAATACAAGCCTTAAATATGGGTTTAATCATTAAAATGGCAATAACGTCCAAAGCAATTTACAGATTCAATGCTATTCCTATTAAACGACCATTGAGGTTCTTCACAGAACTAGAGAAAACTATTTTAAGATTCATATGGGATCAAAACAGAGCCTGAATAGCCAAGGCAATTCTAAGCAAAAAGAACAAAGCTGGTGGAGGCATCATGCTAACCGACTTCAAACTATACTACAGGGTCACAGTGACCAAAACAGCATGGTACTGGTACAAAAACAGCATAGACTAATAGAACAGAATACAGAACCCAGAAATAAGACCACACACCTACAGCTACCTGATCTTTGACAAACCTGACGAAAACAAGCAATGGGGAAGGGATTCCCTATTCAATAAGTGGTGCTGAGATAACTGGCTAGCCATATGCAGAAAATTAAAACTGTAGCCCTTCCTTACACCATATACAAAAATGAACTCTAGTTGGATTAGACTTAAATGTAAAACCCAAAACTATAAAAACCCTGGTAGATAACCTCAGCAATACCATTCAGGACATAAGCATGGGCACAGATTTCACGATGAAGGTGCAAAAGCAATTGAGCAAAAATTGACAAATGGGATCCAAATAAACTAAAGAGCTTCTGCACAGCAAATGAAACTATCAACAGAGTAAACAGACAGCCTACAGAATGGGAGAAAATGTTTGCAAACTGTGCATCTGACAAAGGTCTAATATCCAGCATCTATATGGAACTTAAACAAATTTACAAGAAAAAAACAGTCCCATTACAAAGTGGGCAAAGGACACGAACAGACACTTTTCAAAAGAAGACACACATGTGGCCAACAATCATATGCAAAAAAGCTCAACATCACTGATCTTTAGAGAAATGCACATCAGAACCACAATGAGTGGTTAGAATTTACTTAGAAATAGTCTCTTTTAATATCAATGAATTCTTAAGTAAAAAATATTATTTTATATAATATAACATAATTTTATATGAGTATGTGCTAAGATTACAACTTGTTTCTTGCCTTTTTTTCTTTCTTAGAGCTGTAGGAGGAGACTAGAATATTGGCATTAGGAGTTGAAGTCCATCATTTCTTTAAACATTTGTTTTTCAAAAGTTTATAAAAGTAATTCATGGTTGGGGTGTAGTGGCTTATGCCTGTAATCTCAGCATTTTGGTAGGCTGAGATGGGAGGATTGCTTGAGGCCAGGAGTTTGAGACCAGCCAGGCCAACGTAGCAAGACCCCATCCATGTTTTGAAAAAGTCATGCATGTTTATTTGGCAAATTCAGCAAAGAGAGAAATCAAATTTAGCTGTGATCCTACTTCCATGTTTTAGATCCTTTAAGTCTTTTTTTCTGTTCCATAAATTTATATTAAAAAATAAAATGGGCTGGGTGCAGTGGCTCACGCCTGTAATCCCAGCGCTTTGGAGGCCGAGGTGGGTGGATCACCTGAGGTCAGGAGTTTGAGACCAGGCTGGCCAACATCGGCGAAACCCCATCTGTACTAAAAATCCCCCAAAAATAAATAAATAAAATCAGCTGGGCGTGGTGGTGGGTGCCTGTAATCCCAGCTACTTGGGAGGCTGAGGCAGGAGAATTGCTTGAATCTGGGAGGCAGAAGTTGCAGTGAGCCGAGATTGAGCCACTGCACTCCAGCCTGGGCAACAGAGTGAGACTCTGTCTCAAATAAATAAATACTAAAATGGAGGCCAGGTACAATGGCTTATGCCTGTCATCCTAGCACTTTGGGAGGCTGAGGCAGAAGGATCCTTTGAGGCCAGTTTGAGACCAACCTAGGCACCATGGCAACATCCCACCTCTACACAAAATTTAAAAAGTTAGCCAGGTGTGGTGGCATGTGTGTAGTCCCAGCTACTTGGGAAGCTGAGTCAGGAGGATTGCTTGAACCCAGGAATTCGAGGTTACAGTGAGCTATGATCATACCACTGCACTCCCATCTGGGCGACAGTGGAACCCTGTCTTTTAAAAATAAATAAATAAAAAAAATTGAGATTGGTATTGTACTTATTATTTTAGAAATACTTATTTTGTCTATATCTTGAGCATTTCTTTACATTCTCAATTATTCTTCAGGAATAATAGTTTTTAGTGGCTTGATAGTATCCTATCATTTGGGTAGGGTATTATATCATACAGGGTTTATTTAATCAATTCACTATTTTTAGACGTTTAAATTATTCCCAGTTTTTTACTGTTGTATGCCTAGCTCTGCAGTGTACATCCTTGGACGTAAATATTTGTACGTAATTTTGATTATTTCCTAGAAGTAAAAAAAATCAGATAAGGAATACATAAATAGATGCTTCTTCATAACTTTCTTTGGTATGTATAGTAGAATCTAACTCCAACTAGCTTAATCATGAAGAGGAATTATTGGAACTGTATTAGGGCATCTTGGGTGACCCTGGGGCAGTTTTAGGGGCTGGAACTGGAGTCTCTGTCTCTTGTGTCTCTTCATCTTTCTTTGCTTCTGCTTCATTTCTGCTGTCTAGAGATTGACTTTCTCAGCTTCTTCTGTACTCGTAGCAGGCAAAAGGCTCTGGTCCCTGCGAAGTTCCCATGTTTGTATCTTCTCCATTCTAGATACTGTCCCAGACCCACTGGCTTGTTCTTGTTCCAGATTTTGTAAAGAGAATGTAATAAGCCTGCTTTGAGCCAGGGGACCATATTACTAGTACAGACATGGCTAGATCAGAGAGCCCCTGTCAGAGAAAAGAGTTCTGAGGTAGGCAGATAGCCTAACAAGTTTCTGAAGCCTTTTATGTTACCTAATTGCTCTCTAGAAAGACTGTCCATGTTTAGGGTCAGTCATTTTATTAAAGGAGAATTATTTAACATGCTAGATGGAATTTTTACCTTGAATCTAATGAAAAGTTTTAAACCTCAATTCATTTGGCAAATAATTATCAGGCACTTCCTATGTGTCAGGTACCTTTCTAGATGCTGAGAATATATCAGTCCTACAAGACTAAGTTCCTGCCTGCCCTTTTTAGTCAGCTGTTAGAAGGTGAGTTTCCTTTGAACTGCCCTTCAAAATATCCTTTCAAAGTCTTAATCAGGTTTCGTTTTACCAACAATGTGACACAGTTAAGCCTAGTGTAAAAAGGAAACATCTATAATGTTTCCTCTGTTGGACACCATTCATTTTTTTCTAAGTAAATGATTGGAAGTTGTGAGGTTATAATACTTGACATCTAAGAATATTAGCAGTTTAACCTTTCTCCTTCTCTTACCCCCATGGTAAGGCAGCAGTAGAATGTAGGGAGGTGTTCAGGCTATGACTTTCTAGTTTCTGTTTTCTGCAGGTTTAAGTGAGATCCTTCACATTTAACAAGGCTTTGTTAAAAGTTGAGATGTTAGGGGACTAGAGTTCTCCAGGTTGGAAACTTAACTGACGGAAAAACGTTTGCAAAGTAGGAAAACAGGTATGTTTTGAATTTCCACCAGAAACAAATTAGACTTTTTTTCTTGATTTGTGCCTGTCAGGTTGGTAGTTAAGTCACCCAGTGACAAAGTTGAAAATAGTGTGTGTGAGAGTGGAGTTTTAGAGGAAAATTCCCTTAAGCACCATATTTTTACACTTGGCACCTCTGAGTCGGCTCTCATCTAGAAAATTTATGATGCATTTATGCCAAGGTTAGTGTGGAGTGCCTTCTCATGAGACCCGATCTCAGTTTCATAGGTCCTCCTTCAAGTGAGCTAGGGTAAGTTCTAGAACAGCCTAGTACCTTTTGCACTTGTGAGACCTCTTGTTGCTGGAGTTAGGGTTTTAGGTGATTTTACTTATTTCAGCTTGAGTCATATTATAGATGACATTTTAAAAGAGATACCAACTCTCTTTCTTTTTTCCTCTATTTGAAAAGCAAAACATGGAGAACAGAAAGTACAGTTTTTCCCTTTATAAGTCAAGACATTTCATTCTGTTTTGTAGTTTCTAAACCAGCCTGGGTTCATTGGGAAAATTAAGCCCTAATGCTCTGGGCATCTGTTATATGTATTGAATTAACACTCCTGTGCATCTAGATTGATAATTGAGAAAATAGTCACTGAAATATTTGTGTTTTTTGGTTTAAATGAGGAATCCTGGCTGAGGAAGGCTGATGGGAAACTCTCTCCCATAAAACTTATAGACATGCAAAGATTATAGCTGAGTTGAGTGTACATTGATAGGGCAACTGCTTATGTAGTTCCAAGATGGAAAATAAACAAGTCTTAAGCATTACTAGCCCACTGGACATGACCCAGTAAAAACTGTTCTGCTCTTAGTTTCCTTAGGCACAAAATGAACTTGGGGAAAAAAACCTCTCAATTGTAGTTTTTATATAAACCAAAACAGATTAATGTCAATAATATTTTTTGTGTGCTAACATTTTAATTTTTTCGGCACTTACTATAACCATCTTGACTTTTTTTTTTACTATATTTAAAGCAAATAAAATCAGTTATCTTTAAGCTGAGGTACTTGATTAGTTTTAAAAATAGATAAGCAAAAAGTACCTCAGCCCACTGTTTGTGCTTGTAAATAATGTAATTGTTTTATGGAACTGAGTCCTGGGGGAGGAGGACAGCATGAGTATTGTTGACTAAAAGTGTCAGGGTTTTCAGGAAGCACAAGGATTCTATAGCTAATCTTAAAGTTTCCCTCTCTAAGGGTCTTTTAAGCAGCAGCAAATGTGAAATAAATCTACATTGTATTTCTGCCGCTAAATCCTGATTCATTGATTGGGAGAGCCATTATTGGTGAAGTAAACGTACAGGTGAAACAGTGTTTCATGGGTAATAAAAATGACATTGTCTATCTTGAACGAGTTTAGATTTCTTGATATTAACAGAAGCTGTTAATTTCTCCTGTCTCCATTCTCCCCCTTTTAGAAAGACGTTTACAAGGACCTATTTTTTAAAAGCCCAATTTCTTGTTTTAAAATCTTCACTGTGATATTAGCTCATACTAATTTGAGAACTATCAGGATTTACAGGTTCTTAAAGTAAAAGTTTTCCTTTTGTCATCACCTCCATATTTAACCCAGACATAATTGGAGTTATCTTTGTCATAGAAACTGACCCACACAGCCCAAGCCAGTGAAAATGTAAAGTCTGTTTTACTCTCTGAATCCCCTGCCAGGTGTCCCATGGGGTAAGATTGGAATTATTGACTCTCTTGAGAAAGACTTAATGAAAACAAAATTGCTAAATTGCTATCTAACTTAAAAAAATTTAAATAGTTCTGTTTTCTCCTTATAAGATGAAATTCAAAACCGGAGGCATTAAATTACATAAAGGGTATTTTGTTACTTTAAGATAGGAAACAGAGAAGCAATAACTTTATTTAAAAAAAACAGGTTACATGGAAAACTTGTCATTGAGAAAGTATTGCTTGAGCTATAAAGAAGCAAAAATATTTTAAATTTCAAGACTTTCAATAAAAGGTACATTAAGGAACCTCCTGGTGGCAGCAGTTCTTTGTCACCAGTGTCCTCATTTGAGACACCTGCCAAATGGGAACTGATTCTGAATTAGCAAAACAAAACTATTCAATTTGCCATATCCTTTTAACTCCAAGTAAAATAATATGTTGAGCGTTTAAAAATTCTGATTTTAGGCTTAGATCGTATTATATTTTCAATGAATCCCCTGCTATGTAACTTATAAATGCCTTAAAGGTAAATCAGGGAGTCTGGATGTAAATTGTTGGGGCGTTTATATAAAGAGATTCCATGACTCCTGCTGCCTCTGTGCCTGACATTCCTTTGATGATGTAATGTATAGACTTGGTAATTTTGTTGGATCTCAGTTCAGATGACCTACTAGTAAAGGGATGAATTGACTGCTCTAGGGAATTGGAAAGGTCAATGGAAAGAAACCTGTGGCTAGCATTTGTGTAACAGTAAAAGCTCTGTGGAGAGCAAAGTCTCAACTGACTCACTGGTTTAATTGTCACTCCTCATTCTGAATGCCAGTTCTGGTGGGTTACTGTGTACTCTACACTTTTCCCATCAGTTGTAGAACAGTTATCAAGAGTGAGTTGTGTTTGTTTCCAAACTTGTTTCTGCCATTTGTTCTTGTTACTGTAATTTAATTAACTATTATTAAACCAATGAGTTTTAAAAAACCAAGTTGTTTTCATGAAATCCATAATTTAATGCTTTGGAAATGATAAAAAAAATTACTAAAAATTTGCTGCTTTGTTATATTTGGGTAAGAGATCTATAACAGAATGGGATAAATTATTAATGTCCAGAAGGATTCTACATTCAGATTGCTTCAAAGTATCTTAAGTTCTCGCCATAATTTAAAAGTCCAAAATGGAAATGGTAGAGGATGCATTATAATTATGGTTTATGAAAGAAAGACGTTTTGGCGCTCTAACCTGTAGATCCATATAAACAGAAAGCCTGGTCCTGTATTACAAGATTAGCAAATGAAGGTTCATTTAAACTAAAATAAAATGCTTAGGTATGCTTATCAAATGATTTCCTGCTTTGTATGACTTTTTTTCCTTATCTGATCAACTGCTGGTCCTAGTCGTTACTGGTTAAAAGAGCTTCTACTGTATTGCTTCAAGGTGTAGAGCTGAAAAGGTAATCTTTCAACATTTAATTCATTCAGTCACAAATATTTATGGAGTATCTATTATTTGGAGGCATTCCACTCAGCCTCAGTGATGAACAAGGCTGAAAAAGCTTCTCTTCTTAAGGAACTTACCTTCTAGTGGCATATTAGTGAGAGTATAGTGATTTGAATAGTAATGATTTTTCTCAACAGTTGTAGAGTAATAAGATCTAGTCTTTGATTTGAAGGCCAGTGCCACATCTACGTGTAAACTGCTGGTTCTCAGCCCTAGCTGGTACCCTAATAAAATGAAAAGCTTTTGAAAAATCCTGCATACAGGGCTGCACCTTAGACCAGTTGAATCAGAATCTTCGAGAATGGCGCCCAGGCATAAAAAGATGTGTAGGAGTAGGTAAGTGGATTTTAAAGTTGTTTGATATTGCCCAAACTAAATTGGATAACCCCAAGCCAATTTGACATAGCATTTTTATTCCTGAATCATCTGGGGACAAATCTGTATGTTGTTAGTTTGTCAGAGTTAATGATTTGTTTGAATCTTGCTAGAGAAGAAACTTTATGTGATATAATTTTCAAGGGTTACTATCATATTAATACTCTGACTTTCAGCTTTTCCTTTTAGAAAAAAATTTTTTTAAATGAGTTGGTTGAAATTCTTCTCTGACTATAGTTAGAGGAATACAACTTTTACTAGTGTATTTTAGTTTTCAGAAACATTTTGGTGGGTGAGAAGCCTCAAGAAAAGCATCACATATTTTATTTGCTTAAAATATTAATGTTCAACTTTCTTCCTCCACTGCCACGACGTTGCTTGTGAAAAAGCTTGTGGCGAAGTGGGGGCAAAAGAAGAAAGGTCCAAATGGAATCGTGGATGCTGCCAATTTTTAGCAGGTTCTCCAAGAGAAAGTGAATGGAAAAGCCTGGAATCTCATTGGAGGGGTTGTAATCATCACATGCAGCAGAGCAAGGTCATAGTAACTTTTGAGGTGCCTTTTTCCAAAAGGTTTTTGAAATATGTCACAAAAAAATACTTGAAGAAGAATAATTTATGTGATTGATTGCACATAGTTGCTAACAGCAAAGGGAGTTACAAATTATGTTACTGCCAAATTAACCAGGAAGAAGAACGGGAGGAAGATGAGGATTGAAACTCATCTATCTGGAATATTTTGTATGAGTTATTGAATAAGATGAGAAACAAACAAAAATTAATGTTCAGCCTGTATGAAACACTGATTAAGGTTAGAACCCCATGCTGAGCCATGGGGTTCTTTTTACCAGTCATGGTATACATATAATTATATATATAATGAAGAAAAACTAATTGATGTCAAAGATGTTGATAACATCTTAAAATAAAATATCCTCTTAAGAATGATTTCATTTATACTTAATATTTAGGCCCAGCAACTTTGGAGGTTGAAAGTATAGCACATTTATGATTTTTCTTCCTAGCTCTTGCAAAATATTAGTTGTGCATTTCTTGCTTTTATTTATACACTTATATCAAAAGAGGACTAGAAGTTAGTACCCTTTACTTTTAGGTATTTGTTTCACTAATAATTCTTTCATATTGATATTTTGTAAATCAGTTACATATATTATAAAAAGTGTTTTATTCTGCTATCCATGAGAGATGTGATCTAGTGTTCTGTGAAACCAAACATTTATCAGGACACTAAATCAACTTCTAAAATACACATTACATTTAATTACAAATTTTGAATTGAAAATGTAATCCTAATAGTTCAGTTCTGCCCTTAGAATAATAATGCTTTGGGAGGGGGCACATTACTCGAGGCCCTTAGATTTTCACCTTGTTGTGTAGAGGTAGCTTCTTTTCATCCCTGATTTGCCTTCATGTGAGAATTATTCTTCTACTTCATCTTGTAGCACATGTGTATCTGCATGGGCACTCACACACACACATGCCCCTTGAAGATGGAACTGTTAATTTTCCCTTTCTGTGATGCCTTTGCTTATTCATCATGGTAAGCCTGGTAAGATGGCTTGGTCAGAGATGTCCAAGAAGGTGGAAAAGGCTTGTTAACTGGAAGTAAAAGGGAAAATATTTAAAGACTTACTAGGTGATTAACTGCTTTGATAAAGATTTCAGAGGCTCCACCAGGGCACATGGTGAAAAACTGGTAGAAATATAATGTTTTCTTATCAGCACTAGCAGCTAGGAGCAATTTAGCTTCATGAATATCTTTCTTCTTCTATCCCTACCTTCTGTTTTAGTTAAAATATTGTTAGCTCCTGTGTAGTACTTAGCAGTTTTCAATTCTGTAAAGTAAACATGGTTTTTTTTTTTTCTTCTCAGAGTTCAGAAAACTGATAGGCAGTGAGGTTGAATGGCTAGTGCAGAGGTATTCAGTAGGTATATGAGTGAAGACTCTTCTGCTTTCCAGTGATAGAAACTCAATTCAATGTTGTTGAAGGAAAAGAGATTTATTGGTATATATAAGTAGTAAGTTCAGGGATATAGCTGCTTTCAGGCATGGATGGATTTAGGAGCTTCAGGACACTTTCTCCCTCTTTTGGCTTCATTTGCTTACAGGCTGTCCTGTACTGGCAGAGGTTGCCTCTGGCAGCTCTAGGTTTACAGCCTGCCATTTAATCAACTCCATTGAAGAGGGAAAGTTTTTTTTATTTGTTTGTTTTTTCCTGGAAGTACCAGCATAGAGCATGGGCACAAGTTTTAGGTCCATTCTTGAATCAGTCATCCTTTTGTGGCCAGGGAACTGGAGTCCCCTCATTAGGCCTGGGTCATATGCTACTCCTGGATCATCTCAACCTTGACTATTGACTATTCCTTTGACTGTTTTCATAGGAGTAAACTTTGGGAGGCTACCTTATATTTGGAATTCTACTAGTAGTTTGAAACACATATGGGGGAAAGAAGGCTTGATAGAAAAGCTATTTTTGGATATTTTAACTGTTCCAACCATTGCAAGAGGCTCCTGGTTTCTGTACAGAAGAATTTTTGTCCCAGTTTATCTTTTCTTCTTCTGCATGTTTCCCCACCCCCATCACCTTTGTTTCTGCTTCTTAGCTTAAGTCCATTCCTTCATCCAATCCTTTGTCTTCCTCTAATATCTTCCTTCGTGGTAGCAGAGACCAGTGTCCTCACCCCCTTGAGTTGAGGCATGATGACCATTCTCTTCCTTCAAGGAAAGTACTACAGAATGGAATTGCACATTGGCATGCTTAAAAACAGCTGGTTAATGAGAACTCAGTTTTTCTTGTGTAGACAAGAAGCTTTGTGTTTCTGAAGACCAAAGTTAGAGTACTCTGTTTGAGGTTTCCTTAGGCAATTTCAACCCATTTATCTCTCGAGGCCCCAGAAGGAGTCTGGACACTGGAAATGAAGGCCTAGTAAACTCTTTTGTGCCCAAGATGGTATGAGAATGGAGGTGGGAGGTAATGGTAAATGCTCTGGTTTTCATTCCGGCTGTCACAAGAATAAAAATGACCTAACTGTATTTTGGGCCCCCAGGCAGCACTGAAATGACATGCCACCTGCTGACCTAATCCATTTCATTTCTGGTACTAGGATAGCCAAAGCAATTTGCTCAATTTGCAATTGACTATTTACTCTTTAAAGCAGCAATGATTAGATCTAGTATAAGAAACCACATACTTTATTTATCAAGAATTAAAACTTGAAAGGTGGAAAGTTATCCTTTTTGGAAGAAGCCATTTAAATGTGGTGTATTTTACCTCAGAGAGACTAACTATGCTTTTAGAAAGCTACTTTTTGCTGCTGTTTCCCAGGAAGGAGTACAATCTGCTGATGAAATTTAAGATAACAGAAGTGTTTCTCAGCAGCAGCTGAATGGCACAGAGAACTCGGAGACTGCTATATTTATCTTTAGGTAAATTTTTGCAATTTACTAGAAAAAAATCTGTGTAGCATACAAGCAGATTAACTCATGTTAATCCAGCAGCTGCCTCTCTGGCAAATAGTAGAGAGGGGTGTATGCCATAGCTGTAGTCCTGCACACATACTCAGTTGCTGGACATACTTCCTTTGTCTCGAACAATGCCAAGAGCCACATAGGCTGATGTGTTCCTGTTTCCTCAATTTTAATTTTTAAAAATCTTATTAATTCCCATTCTTTCTCTTCTCCATCAAATTGAAGTAATTAAAAATTGTAAATTATAGTTTCAGGATCTTGGACTATGCTCTTGAACATTGTGCTTAATAGTTTTATGTATAGTACTGCAATTGATGAATTAAAATTATAGAAGTACCTACTTCATTCCCCTCCCAGAGATGCTTATATCAGTAAGTAACATGCTGGCAGAATTAAGGTGTCTGCTTCCAGTTCAGCCCTCTTTTATTTCTTGTTGCTTTCTGTGATTCGGCAGCTATGGAATTTGCCTCCCTGCATGGGCCTCTCAAAAGCCAGCTCTCCTGCTCTCCCCAACATGCTCACAGTCAGCAGAACAGGGAAATCACACTGATCAGCACACCACTCAGTTGATCAAAGTAAGCCGGCCACTTTTCTTCAACAAGACCCAGTGGTATTAGTCCCTATGCCTTTCTCCTGCCGTGAGCAAGGACACTGGAATGCTGCTGGCAACATTAGTCTGTGTGTAAAAAAGCTGCTTATGTTCCCTTTACTGTAGCTTTGGCCTAGGCCAAATTAAGGGGGGAAAAAAGGAGGCAAATGTCCCAACAGCTAGTATCTCTTCTTTCTAAAACTTGGCGTGAAGCATTTCCTTTCAGTGGCAATCCCTAGTGGCAATCGCTAACTCTGCTGGGGAAAGACTTGCTAATTTTCTTTTAATTGCATAAGAGCAGAGCCCTACAGCAAATTGAACATGTGGTGACTACATGAAATATATGATAGAATATGGTCCTACTTTGATTGAGTTAATCACAGGTCTGACAAATATACAAAATTAAAATAAGCCACATTTTTTAGTACTTAATCTCTTGATTCTGTTGCTTTTTACTGTTTGCTGGATAGTCTTAACGTTGTTTTTAGGAACCTATGGTTCTCAGTGCTAATTTGTTGGATATAGACAGCAGTTTGCTATTCGTGACTCTAATGGGTGTGTAATTCCCTTTCTTGTATGCAATTGGCATTTCAGTATAGTTTACAATATGGAACGTGGAGGGGACCCCCTGAGTAGGACAGCGGCTGCTCTTTGTCACTTGCAGCTGTGTTTGCAAGGGAGCATGCTGGCAACCAGCAAGGAGAGTGCTGTGACAGGTGGGAAGAGCAAAACCAGAAATATGCTTCTCCTTTCTCCTATCCTCTTTCTATCCCTCCTTCCCCCGCCACACCCTCTTCTACCTGACCTTCTGTTTTTCTTCTCTTCCCCTTTTAGAAGCCATCTGTTTCCCTCTACCAGTTCTATTTGGCTTGCAGATGCCACTGTACAGGAATACACTGTGTTGAAGCTAGCCTATGCTTGACCTACTGAACGTATGTATTTGGGCCGGGTTCAACCTAATGGATCAAAAGGAATGGTGAGGGCATAAGAAATTTCATAACTTTTATACAGCAATTATGGAGACTCAGAAGGACAACATACCTTACTATCAGGATTTGAGAAATGATAGAGGACTTTTTAAAGCCTGGCTCTGACAGTTCTGTATTACTTTCTCTTAGAGATGGGAACAACATTAGTTTGTGTGTAAAAAGCTGTTTATATTGCCTTGGCCTGGACCAGGCCTAGGCAAGTGGGGAGAAAAGGAGGAAAATGCCCCAACAATGATAATCTCTCCTTTCTAAAACTTGGTGTGAAGCATTGTCATCCCTGTTGTCAGTAACACAAGCTGTCATTCTGCAGAGCTAGTTTAGCCATTCCCTAACAGACAGCTAGTTAATAGTCTCCCTTCTGTGGTCTAGCTTCAATTATCTATTCCTCAGACATTGCTGGTGGGAATGTAAAATGTTACAGCCACTTGAAAAACAGTCTGATAGTTTCTCAAAATATTAAACATAGACTTACCATGTGACTGAGCAGTTATTCCTAGGTATATGTATTTCCAGGTATAGATCCTAAAGAAATGAAAGCATACGTTCAAACAAAAAAAAAATTATTTTTTTTTTGAGATGGAGTCTTGCTCTGTCGCCCAAGCTGGAGTGCAGTGGCGCCATCTTGACTCCCTGCAGCCTCTGCCTCCCGGGTTCAAGCGATTCTCCTGCCTCAGCCTCCCGAGTAGCTGGGATTACAGGTGTATGCCACCATGCCCGGCTAATTTTTGTATTTTTAGTAGAGATGGGGTTTCACCATGTTGGCCAGGCTGGTCTCAAACTCCTGACCTCAGGTGACCTGCCTGCCTCGGCCTCCCAAATTGCTGGGATTACAGGTATGAGCCACCACTCCCAGCCCTCAAACAAAAATTTCTACATGGATGTTCATAGCATTATTCATGGTACCTAAAAAGTGGAAACAACCCATAAACTGATGGATAGTTAAATAAAGTGTGGTATATCCATACAGTAGAATATTATTTGACAATAAAAAGGAATGAAGTACTACATATAGAATGATACATGCTACAACATGGATGAATCTTAAAAACATGCTAAGTAAAAGAAGCCAATGACAAAAGGCCTTATACTGTATGATTCTGTTTATAAAAAATGTTTAGAATATGCACCTCCCTGGAGACAGAAAGTCAATTAATGGTTGCCCAGGGCTGGGGGAATTGTGGATATGTGTGGGTAGTTGGGGAATGGGGAGTGACTACTAATGTCACAGAGTTCCTTTTTGGGGCAGTGGCAATGTTCTGGAATTAATTCTGGAGTTGTGCAACTGTGAATATGTTAAAAGCCATTGAATTCTACACTTCAGATGGATGAATTGTGTGATATATGAATTGTATCTCAATAAATCTGTTTAAAAAAGTATTACATATTTCATTTGGTCTCAGGGCACTGAATTGTCTTTTAATTCAAAATTGTACTGGCTAGGAGAACCCATATTTTCAATAAGAATACCAGCCTAATAATGGTAATAACTTATTTGCATAGTGTGCCATTGTTTACCCAGAGTTTTCACATGCTTTATGTAATTTGATCCCCACTGGACCTCACCATGCAGATGAAATTGACACAAAGAAAAAGTGACTTCTCTTAAGCTTACACAACCAAGAAATGGTAGAGCAAGTATTTAATCTCAGGCTTTCTGGTTGTTAGTCACTGCCTTCTTGTCAGAACAATGTCAGAACATTGCAAAGAAAAAATAATATCTTTCAGACTCTTAATTATGCTTTAACCCTTTCAGTTCTTGAATGTGACTAGAAAAGTCATTCACCTTCTCTGTCTTGCTTTCCTTACCTGAAAAATGGAGATAATAATGCTTCCTAACTAAAAGTCATTTACCTTTTTGTCTCGGTTTCTTTATCCAGAAGAACAAGCCAGGAATATTTCCTATCTCTTGGGCATATAATAAGGACTAACTAATAAAAAAAAATTATAAAATACCTTACCAGCCTATAAAAATGCTTCATGATAAACCATCAAGGAGTATTGTTTTTCCCTTTCTTTCATGTTTTCAACTCCAGCAGTGTATAATAGTAACCACTTATGTCACTTTTCACTAAGGAGTTCAAAGCACTTTACAGACATTATCAAATTAATCCTCCCTACACCCCTATGAGTTACATAGGGAACTGGTATCAAAAGAGCTAGAGCAAAGTAACCTGCCTGAAGCCTTTATCTCAGACTGGGTCCATACTCTACCAATTGCTCATTAATTTGTCCCTAGTGATATTTATTTGGTCAACTACATTTATTTTCTAAAAGTTTGTTACTTGTTAAACATGAGAAGAATGTTTGAATAGACTTCCTGAATCACTTTAAATTAGCTTAAACTTTATCAGAGGTAAAGCTGTTTATTTTGACCTGCCCATGTCATCCTCAATCTAGACTAGCAAACAAACAGCTCAGACTTCTGAATATACACTTTTGACTCAAACTTTCATCATGGGGAGCAGTGCCAACTGGTGTCTTACTGTGTGGATGGGAGAAATCCTTGATCAGTGTTTGGAAACTACTCTCGTTTGTCCAGACACTCTTCACAGAGTGAAGGCAGGCTTCCTTCTATGTTGTTGGGTTTTATAGTGTGTTTACATGTAGAAAGCTCATTTGCCATCTGCATTACCACCTAGATCTTCACCGCTGCCATCATCATTTAATATTATTTTTGTCTTGTGGCATACCATTACCAACCCTTTTGACAGAGAAGATATATGAGGGAAATATATGCACAAAATGATTAGAAAGGCCTCTGTGAGATTGCCTTAGAATGGCTTCTAATAACCATTAAAAAAGCAGAGTGAAGCCTGACCCAAACAGTGGAAAACATTAAATCCTGGCTTTTCTCTTGCCCTGTATGACGAGCTCTGGTTTCTTGTTGAGGCTGTCATGGCAAGGTTTTTTGGTTTGGGTTTGGTTTGTTTTAGTTTTTGGTTTCTCTTTTGCCATATTGATCTCTCATTTTGCTTGATGGGGAAATACTTTTTTTGCCTCCAGAAGTGGGTTTCCCTTGCATATTAGCCTTGTTGGTGTGCTGCCCCATAGGAGGATGGCCCCAGTGCTATTGGCACTGTCCTGTGTACAGTTAATTAAACCTCCTGCTGTGGACCTGGATTTCTGCTGCTGCTATTCACTGATGTGTGTGAATTGAGTGAAGCACATGTGCATAAGCTCAGGGACACTCTTGAAAACAAACCCTGAAAATAGCAAAAGATGGAGTCAGGGCAGAGCCTTCAGCTTTCAAATAAGTTTGGTAATCTGGCTAGCTGAATGCCAGAGCTCACAAAGCTGAGAATTGCATTTCTGAAGATAAGACAGACTCTTTTTGTGTTTTTATCTTTTCTTCCCAAAATGTATTGAGTTTTAATACGGTACTTTATCTCTGTAAGCAAGAAAACAGAGCCAGTTGTGAACTCTTGGGCTATTGAGTCCAACCCAGTGAGGAGTTTATCCTCATTTTTCTGGTGACCACATCTCAAGGTAAACCATGAGCAGAGTCTTACTAAGACACCTGCCTGCTGTGGTCTCATAAAGGGGTCTTGGAGCAGAAAGGGGTTAAGAAACTCACAGAAGGCAAGAGTAGGGCTTCCAAAAAGTCTAGTAACCTACGTGTTTTAGAGAACAGATAGTGATTTCCTTTGAAGTTAGGCCCCTTCTCTTTTTCATTTAACTAAATATTCAGAGAGAGAAACTTGATTTCTAACCATTCTTTTTTTGAATACATTGTAGTGCTTTGAGTCCTTGTGATTCTGTTTACTAGGACATAAAATGCTAATTTTAGAAGCTCTAAATAAATTTTTTCCAATTCCTAGCTTGCTTACTTGGGTAAAATATAGCAAGTAATTAGACTGGAGTAATAGTAGTGTCCTAAAAACATATCAGCCACTGGATCAGACAACCTCTCTGTTCTTTCTCTACCTTTCCCAACTCCCCTCAGCAAGTTTTGACTATGTATTTTTATATGAAATTAATCAGCCAGGAAGTATATTTTCAGCCTCTCCTTTGTGTTAGTACCTGGTATAATAATGTGTGCTAATGCTTATGATCTTTCATAGGGAAAAAGAAATAAACACACATGGTAGACCAGGGCAGTACATAGTGAAGAGTTAGCATGTGGTATAGATAATGAGAAGAGAGAAAGCAAGAACAGCTTGGGAACCCAATTGGGACTTTGCTCCAGAAACAGAAAGAATGGAGGCATTCTAAGTCAGGGGAATCACACAAGCTAAGGCAGGGATATAGGAATGAACACAAAATAAAGATAAGAACTTTGCTGTATGTTTAACACTTTTCATAAAAAGTGTTGGGCCACAATCAAAAATAGGATTAAGTAGTTATGACAGGACCTGGTACTAGAAGGCCTTAAATGACCATACTATCCTTGCCTAGAACTAGACTTGCTTTGAAAGCTTCGATCAGTTCCTATCTTTTGAATGGAATACTTTAGCATTTGAAGGGTAAAATGAATTTATATTGGAGGAAATAAGGTTTCATTGGCCTGTCTGCTTTTTGTATATGTTTGTTTTGCTAAGGCAATATATTCAGAGAATTGAATCAGTGCTTTATCTTGTAGAAGGAAGTCAGGCATATAGTTAAGAAAGCAGATTTTTTTTTCCTTAAAAGGAATTTTATTTCCTAATTGTGAAATTGTGGCCTGTTTGCTTAGAAATGAGAATGTTTATGAGTGAAAGCACAGGTTTAATGTTTAAAAGAGTTTGGATAACCGTTGCAGAAGCAAAATGGATTTCTAACATTGCTTCCTAATCTGGGTTGCCCGAAAGAGTAAGAGAAGTCCTGCATATCCCTGTGTGAAGGTTACACAGGTTGTTACTTGAAATGCTGCTTGTTTGGAAAATAAGATATGAAATCCAAATGGGGGTGGAAAGGGGAGGGGGAAAAAGTAGTACCGGGGTCACTGGAAGTGTAAAGATTGGGAATTTCTGTTGTAAGTTTTCACTATAGATTTGAGTAGGTCAGCTGACCCTCAAATTTCTAATTACTTCTTTTACCTTGCATGAATTTTCTTTTTTTTTCCTGCTCATTTAAGGTACATTTGGTTTAATAATGTATTCTCAATAAAGCCAAAAGGTACCTCTAGCTGTACTATAGGACAGCTTTTGAATAGTAGTTTGATTTATTTTCCAGTTTGTTTTCCTGTGTCTTGTGTTAATAGTTGCTATTATTTATCTCATTTAAACAGTAGTGCTTAGGTTGAAACTTGATTCTAGTCAATTTTATTATGATGAGTTTACCATCTTCTCAAATGTAGTACTCCTCTAATGCATTGTTACTCTATGAAGGTAAAAACAAATTTACAGCTGTTAACCACAATCTTAACCTTTCCTCAGTTTGTTTGATTTACTACAAATTAAATTCTGTGCTTGATATAAATCATTAAGTATATAATTTAAAGCAGTTGCTGCGATCCATCTTTTACTGTTTTCTGCACTCACATCCAAATGTGGAACTTCAAGTCTGAAAAACAGTGAAATGATTAGAAAACTGCCCTTCTGGAGTCCAAAGTGAGCATTCATTTCAATGTGGGTATATGACAGCGGGGTCCTCTCATCTCTGAGTGGGAGATGCAGACATTGCATTCAGGATGGAATGTTTGCTTCTTGACTTGTCTGCCTGATTTAAATATTCATACTTCACCAGAAGGAAAAAGCTGCTGACTTCTAAAAGTGGGTCAGTTTTTTTTTTTAATGGCCCTTTTGGCACTTTGTAACGTGTTAATACTGCCTTAGAGATGGAGAACAGTTTGGCAGAGCTCGTCTTTATCACTTCAGGGGCCAAAGCTTCACTAGGCCAGTGGAAGGAGAGGCATTGCAGATATTAATAACTAATAGACCGTGATATGGGCTTTACTTGCCATTCTGTTTGCTTTTCTAGATATAGAAGGTAGTATGTTAACCAGAAAGGATTAATTTGAGGAAAACCTTGTATTGATAAAGGTGATGATGTGGGTAAACAGAAGTAACCTGTGTCTTCAGATGCATGGTGTTTCTGAACAAATTCCACAATTGCATAAATCTGTTTTATTTTTCTATTTGGACATGATAACTTTCGAAAGAAGTCCTTGGATAGAATAGGATCATTGATAGGTTGTCAGTCTTATTCCCACATCATTTATTTCTGCTTAATTATTATTTAAAGTGTACTTTACATTGATTGAATTTCTTACCTCTAAAGGACCCAAATGGCATTTAAACATGAATGCCATCTTTTTATCCTCACAAAATTAAAATTTCAGGTATCTTTTATGGAAAGGAGGGGTAGGACAGTAGGATGAGAAAGGAAGGAGAGTTAGAGTAATAATAGGAATTCTAGATGGAGAGAGATCTGGAGATCCTGATTACCACATGTATTAGTTCATTCAGGCTGCTATAACAAAATACCTCAGACTGGATCATTTATAAATAACAGAAATTCATTGCTTACAACTCTGGAGGCTGGGATGTCCACGTTCAAGGCATCAGCAGATTTTGTGAGGACCTACTGTCTGCTTCATAGATAGCACCTTCTTGCTGTGAGGACATAGCAAGAAGGTGCTATCTATGGCAGAAGGGGAAAAACAAGCTTTCATAGGCCTCTTTTATAAGGACACTAATCTCATTTGTGAAGGAGGGCCCTCGTGACCTAATGGCCTCTTAAAGACCTCACCTCATAATACAGTTGCACTGGGGATTAGATTTCAACATACGTATTTTGAGTGGACACAAACATTCAGATCTAGCACCATGTCCTAGTCATAAGACATAGATGAGATTGAGAGAGTTCAGGTTGCTTGTTTAGGAGACATGCTATACATTTCACCAATCTCTTTCTTCGGTTTTCTAGGATTTATAAAAACCATTCAGTGATTTTAGTCCAGTCTTATAACGTGTCCCTGGCCTGTCCTGTACCTCAGCGTAGACCAGCTCAAGTGGTGATGAACTTTCCGGAGTTGCACTATCACACATACTAATATGGCTGCTTCTAGGATCTTCTGGTTTACCGTCAAATTCTAGCTCCCAGTTTAAAATGGCCAAATACCTGTCCAGCAATCTTAAAGTTTGGTTCAAGTATTCGTAAAAATATGGAATATGCCTTATTGAGGAATATGTTTTGTCATGTGGCTTTCCCACAGGCCCCAAGATGTGCTTGCTTTTTATAAAAAATATTTATTATATTAAGTTGCCTGGCACCCTAAAAAATAACCAGGATAATATTGAACTGGTGCTTCTGGGGAATTATTTATTCAACTTCCTATAGACAATGGTTGTGTTCCAGAAAATGTTTTGTGAATCTCAAATCATATTAAGTATAGTAGGAAAATTGCCATTTTTAACACTTAAACAGACATACAGGATTTTAAAAATAGAAGAGATGAATCCTGTCCCCAGGATCTCATAGTGTAAAATTTTGAGGAATTCTGGGCTCTGTCTTTACTATAAGACACAAGATCCTTTTGTAATAGAAATGGCTACTAGTGTATTTAAGGGTTAAATGTAATAATGTCATCTGGCGTACTTTCAGATGGTTCATGGGAGAAGAAAGATGTGTGATAGTTCAGGGAGCGTGGAAGGGTATATAGGTATCTGATTTATCAAAGGGATCACTATACTATGAACTTTTATGTATGTTTGAAATTTTACAAAATAAAAAGTCTTAAAAATAAATGTTTTCTTTGTTTTAAATCTGGGTCTTCATGTATGGAGTATGCTTATAAAGCAACAAATTGGGTAGGACCTGTACCTTTGGAATCCTGACATACATACATCACTTAATAAATCACACTACCCCAGAAAGAAGCAGGTTATTTTGGCCTGGCTATAATTGAAACCAAGATGAAGAGACTTCTGACTTTCAGATTACCCCTTAGTTTCCCAATATACATTTGACTCAGATGACTAAAAAATAATCAGTTTTCATTGTCTTTAGTAGTGTGCAACAAAAAATGTTATTGCTCGAAAGAAGTACGCACAGTGCCCAAATCATGGTTGACATAGTAATTTCCTTGAACATCCTAAATAAGATCTCATTTGTTAATGACTTATCTTTTCCACCCTCCTTACTTTTTATCTTTTCTAGCGACATATTAGTATATATTCTAAAAAGCATTTGTGTGTATTGAGAAAATTCAGTTACAAAAAAAGGTGACTATTTCCGCTTCTGTATTTGAAACTGTGGTGGTGGGCTATGGGGAAAGAGAGAATAAGAAGGTGGATTTTTATACATGTTTAAAAAAAGAGAAAGAAGTCCATGCATCTAGTGCTTGCCTTATTATATTCACCATGAAAAGTCAGTGAGGGCGACCTATTTACTGTAGAGGCATGTTCAAATCTAGTGCATTGACAAAGGATGGGGCCAACCTGGGAAATTCTTACTGTGGCTAGATCAAGAACCTTAATTGTGCGTGCGTGTGTGTGTGTGTGTGTGTGTGTGTGTGTGTGTGTGTGTGTGTCTTCCTGTCAGTGTAGTTCTAAGGGTGAAATAGATTTATATTTAACCAAAGAGGAAAGGGGGAGCTATTCCTGGGCTTTTGCTATTTAAATAATCAATTCATGAGAAAGAATCAGTGTTATAAGAAAAAATTGCAGTGGTATTTAAATTCGAACATATACAGAATCCTTTGCTCTCCAACATAGTATGCAGTTTCATGTAAGCTGCTTCAGGATAGAATTGTGAGCAAGGGTTTGTTACCAGCAGGACCTTTTAATACAGTCCTTCAGCACATACTGTTATTTTTGGTGCACTAGATTGTATTAGTTGCTAAACCCTAATTTTCTAATGTACTGCAGTAATGAGTAATCCAGTCTTTTACTCTCAGAGTCATTTTACATTGTACAAGGGCTACAGAGCCCCAAGCCGTCACCCCTCCCCACTTTTTAAATATCACTATTCAGACATTTTCTCTTCTACTTATAATTAGATTGCTAAGTTATTTTGGAATTAAAGAATGCTAAAAAAAACTTTTATTGTCTGTGCCAAATAGTATTTTTCTTTGTTTATAACTACCAGTAGTGTCATCACTGTAGTGCAGGTATTTCCTTCCAGCACCTCCCCACCCTGCCTCCATCCTTCCTCTCTTTTCCACTGAGGTGAGACCATTATGTTTAATGAAACTCTGTTTCCTATGTGACTTGTATTATGTTCTACCCACTAAAGTATAATAGTAGAGTGAAAAGTCACTTGGGATTACTGCCAGAGGTTGTTCAGAAGAAACCACATCTAGTAACCCTGTTATATCTGGCACAGTTCATACTCAGAAGCCAGCACAAAAAGACTTGGAAGGTTGCATTCTTCTACTGGAACATTTTCAGTTACATGTGCTTTAGGCTTATAAAAGGCCTAATCTCTTTTTCCCAAAAAATGCTGTTTGTATCAAATAAGAATAAACTCATTTGAGGGTTTTTAAAAATAGATGTATTACTTGGAAGTCTTGGGAAGATGCAGAAAGCTAAACAGATTGATAAGTACTCAGTATTTTTCATTCATGCAGATATTTTTAATCTTAGGGAAATTTAAAAATTATTTCCTCTGACTTTAGTCAAGGACTCTAGAAAGCTGCAGATTGTGCAGTTTTGACTGAGATCCTGATAGTGATCTGTAATTTTAGTTTGCTCTTTATAATATTGACCTTTTGTCTTTACTACTGAGAAGGGTGGAGTGCAATATCAAACTTAATTCAGCCTTCGTAGATCTAAAATTGAGCCTATTCCTCTCCTGCTTTTTAAGATATTATTGATTCATAGGAGGAATATGACTGTTAGGGTATAGAACTCCAGGTTTAAGATAAAATTCTCCATGCTGACACTTGCAAGCTTCCTGAGAATTAATATTATTATAAAGATCATGGTGAGCTACCTCCTTCAAGGTGGGCCCTGTACTTACCTGACTATTCTCAGGCTTCCCCATGTATCCACTATGCCTGGGACAAAGACTTGGACTTTTTACAGCCACGCATATATTGATTTAGCTAAACCTTTATTTGTAACTATAAGCAGACAAGAAAAAATTACCAGTTCTATGAAGAGAATCAGCAGATTGAAAGTGGGGAATGAAGCTGAGTAATCGAAACAAATTCTCCACCCTACCTATACTAAAACAGCGAATGCACGAAAACAGGAGATAACTTTTTAAACGTTTCATTAGTATTCTCAGTAAGATTTGAGAGCATATTATTTCATCAGTAAAACAAAAATAGGCTATTTTCATTACCTTCAGAATAAAAGTCAAGTCTTTAGAGTTGTCTGTCAGACCCCACAACCCATCCTTCTTCCCTACTTTTATTCAGCCCACTCACTCTGCTCCAGTAATTTTGGGCTCCTTGCTGTTCTCTGTTCATGTCAAACTTGTGCCCACCTTAGGTCTTTATAACACTGTTTTCTCTGCTTGGAAAGCTCTTTGATAGTGCTGTGGTTTGAATGTGTCCCCCAAGTTTCATGCGTTGGAAACTTAATCCCCAATGTGGCAGCACTGAAAGATGGGGCCTTTAAGAGGTGATTGGATCATAAGGGCTCTCTCCTCAGGAACGGATTAATCAATCCACAGATTCATGGGTTATCATGGGAGTGGAACTAGTGGTTTTATAAGAAAAGGAAGAGAAACCTGAGCAAGTATGCTAGCATGCTTAGCCACCTCGCCATGTGATACCCTGTGCTGCCTTGGGACTTTGCAGAGAGTCCTCATGAGCAAAAAAGCTCTCACCAGATATGGCCCCTCCACCTTGGACTTCTCAGCCTCCATACCTGTAAGAAATAAATTCCTTTTCTTTATAAATTACCTAGTTTCAGGTATTATATCATAAACAACAGTAAACTAATAAAGATAATCACACAACTGACTCCTTTACCTCCTTCAAGAACCTAGAATAGTATGTAGCACATGGAGGTGCTCAATAAATAGTTATTGAAAGAATGAAATGGGCCGGGTGCAGTGGCACACACCTGTAATTCCAGCACTTTGGGAGGCTGAGGCGGGTGGATCACTTGAGGTCAGGAGTTCAAAACCAGCCTGGCCAACATGGTGAAACCCCGTATCTACTAAAAATACAAAAATTAGCCGGGTGTGGTGGCACATGCCTTATAATCTCAGCTACTCAGGAGGCTGAGGCAGGAGAATCGCTTGAAACTGGGAGGCAGAGGTTGCAGTGAGCTGAGATTGTGCCACTGCACTCCAGCCTGAGTGACAAAAAAAAAGCAAAACTCCATTTAAAAAAAAAAAGAGAGAGAGAGAGAAATAGGAGTATACAAGTAAACTCAATACAGGGAGGCAGATAACAAAATGGGCTCTGCAAGAAGGTGAATTAGTAAATTAGAAGAAACTTAAGAAATTCTATAATAAAGCAAGTGTCAAAGAGATGGAAATTTGGTAGAGAAAATAAACATGGAGACTAGATTTAAGATATTTAAAATTTTATAGTAGGAGCTTCAAAAGAAAAGCGATCCTAAAAGGAATTTCAGAAGAAAAAATTTCTGAGCTGAAAAAGCCTCAGATCTTGAGATAAAGCTCTTACTAAGCATCAAGCAAGAAAATTTGGAGGAAAAAAAAGATTCATACTGTTGCTAAAATTTTCAAGTATTGTTCAAGTTCTCAAGTAAAGAGAAAAATCCCACAAACTTCTCAATAATAAACAGCAACCACCAAAAAAGTTACTTACAAAAGGATAAGAATCAGATAAGCACCCTCTTTTTTTTTTTTTTTTTTTTTTTGAGATGACGTTTCACTCTTGTCCAGGCTGGAGTGCGCTGGCACGATCTCGGCTCACCGCAACAGAGGCGGCTCCCGGATTCAAGCGATTGTCCTGCCTCAGCCTCCCAAGTAGCTGGGATTACAGGCATGCGCCATCATGCCCAGCTAATTTTTTATTTTTAGTAGAGACGGGGTTTCTCCATGTTGACCAGGCTGGTCTTGAACTCCTGACCTCAGGTGATCTGCCTGCCTTGGCCTCCCAAAGTGCTGGGATCACAGGCATGAGCCACTGTGCCAGGCCGAGCACTCCATTTTTTATCAATAGGCCTGAAGGCTAGAAGAGAATGGAATTTCATAGAATTCTGAGGGTACAGGATTGTGACACTAGAATTTTATACTTAGGAAAGGCAAAGAAAGATATATTTGGACTCACAAAATATACTACAAACATAGCCTTTCTGAAAGTTTTTTGGTAGGGATGTGCACCGAATTAGTCAGAATTAAAGAATCAGTAAAATAAACAAAACCAAAAAATGAGTCTTTGAGATCAACAAAATAAACTGTTAGCTATACTGACCAAGGGAAAAAAGATTATTATTCTGGATATTCTAGCTAGTACAATAACATAGGGCAAGAAAATGAAAAATACTGGCCAGGTGCAGTGGCTTTTGCCTATAATCCCAACACTTTGGGAAGCTGAGGTGAGAGGATTGCCTGAGGCCAGGAGTTCAAGACTAGCCTGGACAACATAACAAGACCCTCATCTCTACAAAAAAAATTTTTTTTAAACATAAAAAATGCTATTTAAACAACAGATGTATATCATCATTATTTGCAGATGACCTGATTATCTACCTAGAGAAACCAGGAAAATCAATGACTTATTACAAATAATAATAGTAAGATGTCCATATACAAGGTAAAATCAAAACCAAGAACTTTGCTTTATGTCAGCAGTACTCTGTGAGGAAATAACAGTGGAAAAAATGGTCGAGTCAGAAAAGCAAGAAACCTTTTAAAAGCTAGAAATGAACTTCACAAGAAATGTATACCTGTACCTTTACTTTTACTTAGGGACATAAAAGAGTTTAAATAAATGAAGATCATTCATACCTTCTTTCTAAGTGGGGAGATTGAACGTTTTAAGGAAGTCAATTATCCTGAAATCTATAAATTTACTATAATTCTCTTCAAAATTCCAGTGAATATTTTGGGGAATTTGACAGATTGAGTCTAAAGTTCACCCAGATGTAGCCAAGGAAACTTTGAAAAAGAATTAAGGAGAATGTTACATTTCTAGCCCAGCTGCCCACTGAACAACTTCACTTCAGTGTCGTACTGGCATCTTAGACTCAGGATGTCCTGAACTGTACTCATTATTTTCTCTCCAGTGTTTCCAGTTATGTTACTTATGACTGTAAATTTTACCACAGTCTACCACAATAAAAAAGCCAGAATCTTAAACATCATTGTTGACTCTGAAAGCCTTCCTTGATTCTTCCCTTTCACTCATCTCCGAAATTCAGTCATCATGTTCTGCCAGTCTTCTTCTTAGATATCTTTTTAAATCTATCTTCTTTCCATAAGCACTACTTTAGCCCATGCCATTATTATCTCTTGCCTGGCTTATTTAAAGAGTTTCTTTTTGAATCTTCTTGCTTCCAGCCTTCTTCCCTTCTCTTTACTGTAGCTAGAGTGAATCTTCAAAAATGCAAATTTAAATGGTTGCTTAAAACCTCTCTGTGTCTTCTCTTTGCTCTTAGGACCAAGTCCAAAATCTTAACGTGGCTCGCAAATTTGTGTGATACATACCTACTTTCTCCAACCTCTCTTTTCTCTCTCTCTTTCTTCAAACTCTAACTTTTCTCACAACTAAATGGACCCTAGTCTTTCTGCATCTTTGAACTTACTGGTCTCCCTTCTGAGACACTGTTCTCCTCCCCACCTTGGTGAGCTCATACACATCCTTCAAGTCTCAGTGTAAAACTACTTCTTCCTAGAGGCCTTCTCTGACCTATAGATTAGGTTAGGTCCACCTGTTGGTTGTTTACCCTAGTGTACCTTATTCCCTTTATCCTAACACTCATTATATTTTATCATAATGATTTGTCTCTCTTTGCTTCTAGGTTTTAAACTCAATGAGAGTCAGGACTCCACCTGCCTATTCAAGGGAATATTCTCTGGCTAACACAATGTAGTGTACTGAATATGTACATTAAGTGAATGAAGTAACCAACAGAGTCAAAACATACTAGAAGGTTTAGTCAGTGAACGGTATGATGCTGGCAAGGAACAAACAGATTAGCAGAGCAAAACAACTTAAAAATAAAACATTCATATGAATTGGAATTTAATATAATAGAGATAATATTTCAGATCAGTAGAGAAAGATGGATTTTTTTCAGGAAATGGTATAAGAACAATTGGCTGTCCACTTCAGGAAAAAATATCAAGTGAGGCTCCTAGTCAGGACTGTCTTGATTGCAAATTACACATTCAGCTCAAACTAGCTGAAGCCAAAAAGAGAGCGGACATATTGGGAGGATGTTAAGGTATCACAGAAAGGAGGGAATAGGTGAACAGTATTCCCTCAGGAATGCAAGAAGCAGCAAACCTCTTCAGTCCTCATAGACTAGTTACTCTTTCATTTATATCATATGTTCTCCACTTCATTTTTAACTACGGTAGGCTAACTCTGTGTGGCAGAGAATGTAGCCTTTAGCAGCTTCCAGGTTTTGTCACCTTTTGAAGAAAAGTGTTCTCTGGCATGTTGAAAATACTTGAGGAAGTACTTTGATTTGTGTGGCCAGGGTCACATGCCCACTATCCCCTTGTAGGGCTCAGACCAATCACTATATCCTGGGAAACTGGGTCATGTAAGACTTCTTACACATATGACATGTTGGTTTCTGCAGGTGCGTGTGTCTCAGTGTGTGGATTTGGGGAAGGATGAACGTGAAAAGAAAGCCTCCCCAGGAAAGGAGGCGAGTAGCACAGCCATAGATAGCCACTGGGAGACCTGTCATGAGCTGGATAGTCACCGTAATTTTTGTCTGCTGTTATCTCTGTTTTACATCATACTAAAAAACAAATTTAAAGTGGATTAGAGATTTAATATATAACATTATAAAAATACTAAAAGAAAACAGTTTTTTTGTTCTTTTTATCTTGGAGTGTGGAAGACCTTCCTTAGTATGATAAGAAGACCAGAAACCATACAGGAAAGGACCTAATAACATAAGAGGATAAAAGAAAGAAGAGAAACCTTATTTAAGGCAAAGGCAGTAAAAGCAAAATTGCAAAAACAGCAATAAAAAATTCAAGACAGATATTTTTAACACATGTGTGACAAAGGGTTATTAGTCTTACATATAAAGAGTTCTTATGAATCTCTAAGAAAAGTATGAGCCTCCCAAGGGAAAAGTATGCAAGGGGGGGGTGGGGGCACTAATATTAAGGCAACTCACAGCAGAAGTAAAAATACTAGTATATGTTACAGAATAGGAAGCATCAGTGGACAGTAAATATGTGAAAGATGATTAGTTTTATTAGTAATGAGGAAAATGAGATTTAAAACCACAGTGAGATATCATTTTACTTCTGACAGATTGGCAAAAATTAAAATATCCAACAACAATCATTGGCAAGGATAAGCAGCAAGAAACCTTATACACTGCTGAATGGAATATAAAATTGTTCAACAACTTTGGAAAACAATTTTTGATTTTCTAGCAAATTTGAAGATGTGTATACTTTATGACCCACCAGTTCTCCTCCTAGATATATACTCTAGAGCAGCACTGTCCAATAGAAATAGAACAGAAAACACATATGTAATTAAAAGATTTCTAGCAGCCACCTACAAAAAAGTAAACAGAGTTGAAATCAATTTTAAGTCTTTGAAATCCGGTGTTTATATTTTACACTTGCAGCACATCTCAGCTTGAGGTAGCCATATTTTAAGTGCTCAATAGCCATATATGGCTAGTGGATAGATAGCATATTGGACAATGCAGCTTTAAAGACACTCTTACAGACATACAGAAGGACTTGCATGAGAATATTTGTAGCAGCCTTGTTAATAATAACAGAAAATGGGCTAAGCATGGTGGCTCACACCTGTAATCCCAACACTTTGGGAGGCTGAGGCCGGTGGATTGCTTGAGCCCAGGAGTTCAAGACCAGCCTAGGCAACATGGCGAAACCCATCTCTACCAAAAATACAAAAATTAGCCAGATGTGGTGGTGCACACCTGTGGTCCCAGCTGTTTGGGAGGCTGAGGTGGAAGGATCCCTCGAGCCTAGGAGGCAGAGGCTGCAGTGAGCCATGATTGCACCACTGCACTCCAATCTAGGCAACAGAGTAAGACTGTGCCTCAACAACAACAATAATACTAACAACAACAGAAAATGGAATCAGTCCAAATATCCTGTGATAGGATAAGTAAATTATGGGACACTCCTATGGTGGAATACCATACTATAGTTTTTAAAAAATGAATGAACTGCAGGTATATGTATCAACATGGAGAATTTCATGAGACTTGGGAAAAAATACAAGTCACAGGATACATAAAAACTAATAAAACATTATATATGGATAATTATATAAGTGGTAAAGTTAGAAGAAATTCAGAATAGTAACTACCTTTTGGGCAGAAGGAGAGGGATGCAATTAGAGAGAGGCTCTTAGGGATTCAGAGGTACCAAAACTAGCCTGTTTATTAGAGATTATATGTACATGTATGTATACATACTTATACATTCATATGTACATTCACACATGTACTTATACTCTTGTATGAATCATTAAACATATTAAAATCATTAATGGCCAATAAATATGAAGCGATGCTCAGTTTCATTAATAGGAATTATAAATTAGAACAATAATGAAATTTTTTCACTCATGAAACTGATAAATTTTAAGGGTATCAAGTCTGTGTACTTGTAAGAGATAGACAAACAGGCAGTCCTTACTCTATTGATGAAAGTATATATAGCCTTTTCAGACAACAGTTTTGGAATAGGAATCTACATTTTAAATTAGGCTACCCTTTAACCCAGCAGCATGATTTCTAAGAATTTATTCTCAGGAAGGATTCAGATAAGTGAATAAAGATACATTTATAAGGATGTTCATTACAGTTTTTTTAAATAATAGTGGAGAATTGAAAAAAACATTTGGTGTATTTGTGAGTGCACTTGTTAAGAAAAGGAAGTAGATGATACTGATTTTCACATGGAAATGTATTCGTGACATATTATTAAATAAACGAAGGACATGGTAGCACACTATGCAGTGTATGATCCCAGATTGTTATATAAAATCAGAAAAATATTAGAAAGAAATAACGGAGCTTATTTCTGGGGTTGAGAGGGATTACATGATATTTTAATTTCTTGAAAAAAATTAAATGAAATTATATTACATTTATAAATAGGAAAATATAATGATATTTTCGCTTTTTGTGAGATTAGCATCATTTTGTGTAGCAGGGTGATCCTAACTAAGGACACAGGACATTGCTCTAGGCTATCTAAATCAAACTCTGGTGTGTCTCCTTTTGAGAAATTTGTAGGGATTCAAACAGTTTTCTTTTTAAAGCAGCACTTAAGAGTTGGGCTTTGACTGTGTTTTAAATTATCAGCTAATAAAGCTGTGGTTTTCATGTTAGTGTGGAAGAGAACAAAAAGATGTGCATTGGGGAAAATTGGGTAACTGTGTGGCCCAATCCAATCCAGTTCCTTGTACCTGATAATGCTTCTGCTAACTTTAATCAAGCATTTATGTCTCACCCCATTTCCATAGTCTCTTGAGTGAATGTCACCCCTGAGTACTTACAGATTCTTCCAGCTTTTGCGTATAGTGTTAGTAACGTCTCTGGAAAAAAATTATTGCATTCTTTTCCAGACACTATTAGACCTAACAGACAAAGCCAGAGGAAAAAAGAGTCTCAGCCAAACCTTTTTGATTTGACCTGCCTCGGAGCGCCTATTAATCTAAAGAGAAAAGAATCCACTAACTAAACAATGTAAATTACATAACTGCCTAATTATGCATGTTTATTATCAACTTTTAAGAAAAAGAATGAATTCGTACCGGCTGCATGAACTACTAGGTTAAATCCTGCCAGACCCTCACCTCATGGGTCCTGTGTACTATCTTTGGGTTCCTGTTGCCAGGCTCCAGCTCCCATTACCTTCCCTTCCTACTCTGGGCCCCTCCAACAGTAATAGTCTGTGATTCTTTGTTGTTGTTTATCCAAGGAAGTGACATAATCAATCTGAGCTACATTTTCTTGCTATTAATCTGGCAGTGCTATATGGAAAGGAAGAAATGGGGTGTGGGAGTATAGTTAGAATTATATTATTGTGGCTTAAGGCTAAGGAAACAATTTCTGACACTGGTAAGGGACAAAAGGTATGGAAAGAGGTTGGAAGGGACATTATTGCAGAACAATCAACAAGATTAGGCATTATTGGGAACTGGGCCACAAGGTAGAGGAAGAAAGAATGATAAGTGACTCTGAGGCTTTGAGCTTGGGTGGCTAAAAATGTATAGCACTGGAACACAGCTTTTACTACGTGATCGCTTGTCGTACATGAATTTCCTGTAAAAGTTCACTCACTGGTGTAGGCTCTAGCTCCTTATGGCTCTGCATTATTTGCATTTTAGGACATTTATTTATTTGTGAGCAAATATTGATAGATGCTACTGTTTTAAAATCAGCAATTTCTCTGGTCAGTCTCCTCCACTTCCCCCAAAAAGTAGAAATTGCTACTGGAAACACACACACACACACACACACACACACACACACACACACGCACACACACGCACACACACACACTATGTGGTTTAGAAGAAATGATCGTCACCTTCTTAAAGTTACAAATTAAAAAAAAACTGAAGTAAATATAGTTGAATGGGAACATAAAATATTTGAATGCAAATGTGAGATTTAGTGAAAATTGGTTTTATTATGTTTATGATGCAGTTGTTTAAAAGATACAAATATGTGTTTTAGGATTAAAGAATCTTTTTGAATTTTGTGTTCAAGGTGATATAAAAGTTAAATTTTAGTAACATTCAGAGAACAGACTAATGAAAAGTAGCTTATTTATACACTTGAGACTGAAAAAGAATACTTTCCTTGTTGTCTCTTTTTGGATCTTTTTAAAATGCTGGTATTGAAATCTGATATTAGCCCCCATTGGTTCAAAGAATAATCTCTTGATCATAATATTAGAAGACAAATGATGAAAACCTGGGCAAATCATTTGGTAAGAATAAAAGATCGTGCAGGATCGTCTTGTTATGAAAGAAGCATTCTTGATTGGAGCAAGAGAACTTATGGAGAGAAAAAATAATTTTATATTGTCTTGACACCCTTTTAAAGAAATCAGAATAGAAACTAAAAATGTACCTTGGTCTTATTCTCTGGATAAGCTCTTTTCAGAGGCTGGGATTCTAAACCTGCAGTAGCTTTTAATGTATTAGCAAGATATTCTCCAGATAGAGTCAGCAGTTTGCTCTATTGTTTAGCGTTGATTCTTTGTCCAAAGACCGTAATGAATAACAACCTACTGTATTAGTTGTATATATCAGGGCTCTCTTCTTGTACAGAGCGTAATACACTTAGTTTTGAAAATAAATTTGAGTGAGGAGGATATTTATCAAATCAAGTTATAAAGACTATCCAAATTATGTCTTCAATTTTAAAACACTTTTGTAAGTATTAAAGTATTTTACCTACCAATTAGGGATTCACATTCTTATCTTCTTCTATGCCTTTGTTATTATTTTTACTGTATAACTGCAGGTGGAGTAAAGTTGAAATACTTTTAACTAAAAGCACTCTAACGGACATTTGTTATTTTTAAGCTAGGTGCACTATTGGAAATGACATGAAATTTATTGCTAGGTTTTTAGGTTGTACATATTTAAGGAAATATAGTTTATGAAGACAGTTTTTTTTTTTTTTTTTGAGACGGAGGCTCTAGTGCAGTGGCACGATCTTGGCTCACCGCAACCTTTGCCTTCTGGGTTCAAGTGATTCTCCTGCCTCAGCTTCCCAAGTAGCTGGGATTACAGACATGCGCTACCACGCCCAGCTAATTTTTGTATTTTTAGTAGAGACAGGGTTTCACCATGTTGCCCAGGCTGGTCTTGAACTCCTGATCTCAAGTGATCTGCCCGCCTTGGCCTCCCCGTGTATTAGGATTACAGGCGTGAGCCACTGCGCCCAGCCAGTGAAGAATTTTTTAATCCTTAAACTCAAAGGGAATATAGAATAAAAACAAGTCTGTTTTCAGAACAGTTATTTAGCTGGGCCTCTAGAAAAAAATAAAATATTGTTTTGGGAACCTATTATGTGAGGAAAAATTCAACAAGTATTTGTTAGACTTTGTGAAAGTCAGTATCAAGTAGAATTAATCAGTGAAAGAGCATTTCCACAACATTAAATGCAAAAAAATTGACCAAAGATTATGAGACAAGAAGTTATCGTTGACTTCTTGAGTTAAGCCCTTAATTTCCACAAGGTTTAGCTTATCATGACAGATAACACTCTTTTGCAAGCTACATTTTGTTTTGAAAAGGTAATGGTCAGATTAATAAACCATGATTGCATCAATATTAGACTTGTGGTACAATTTGTAGATCCAATAGAAATGAAAGAGGATCTAACAGTCTGTAGTCAACTTGTGTTCATATAGTCCTTTGGGGCATAGTAATACACATTGAAGCAAATAAAAAATTAGAAATGCCTTAAAAGGCAAGCCTTTGCTGGGCGTGGTGGCTCACGCCTGTAATCCCAGCACTTTGGGAGGCCGAGGCGAGTGGACGATGAGGTCAGGAGTTCGAAACTAGCCTGACCAACATGGTGAAACCCCATCTCTACTAAAAATACAGAAATTAGCTGGGCGTGGTGGCGGGCGCCTGTAATCCCAGCTACTCAGGAGGCTGAGGCAGGAGAATCACTTCAACTTGGGAGGCGGAGGTTGCAGTGAGCCGAGATCATGCCACTGCACTCCAGCCTGGGCGACAGAACGAGACTCTGTCTCAAAAAAAAAAAAAAAAAAAAGGCAAGCTTTTAAAGTATAAAGTAATATTTTAGCATGTAAACTTAAAAGTGAGAATTACAACAGAATCAGGAAGTCTTAGAGTTTCAGGAGGGAAAAACTTTTTTTCCTCAAAATGCAGTAGATTGTATAATTATTATTCTAATTATGAAAGTAATATGTTTGATCATAAAACCTTCAGCCAGTTCAGCAAAGTGAGAATTGCCTGTAAGCTTAACACTCAACTATTAACATTTTGATGTATAGTATTATTATTTTTATAGAAATTAATATGAGATTGTTTCAAAAGAACCATGACTTTAAAAGTTCAGGGACAGTCCTGAGTACATGTACTTGAAAATTGAAA
Source organism: Homo sapiens (assembly GCF_000001405.40). NCBI lineage: Eukaryota > Metazoa > Chordata > Mammalia > Primates > Hominidae > Homo > Homo sapiens. Next base: position 46,028,227 of record NC_000011.10, on the reverse strand, counting down.
TAATTTTGCATCCTGACACCAAACTCTTTGGAATGTTGAAATTTTTGGGATAGGAATACAAATGCAGTTTTTGCACAACTTTTTCAATTCTTTTTTTGTTGTATCCCCTCAAGCCCATCCTTCAAAAAAAAAAAAATTGTCCCCAGAGATTTCCAACTCAAGAATTTAGAGAATCAGCTACTAGCCTATTAAATTTCAACTGTAGCAAATGTTACCCTGTTTGTATTATTAGGCTGTAGTGAAATGAATTCCTTACTGACAAATAAAATGGTAGGTGCTGGCTGCTTCCCTTTGGCATGAGATAGGCTATGTCATGGATAGGGACTGACAGTTCTGAGATGTTCAAATAAGAATTTTCTATGTACTTACTACAAATAAAGTAAAATATTGGCTTAAGTATTTTTCCAGTGTGAATTATATGCTGAAAACAGGATAAAAAGAAGATATAAATCATTGTTTAACAGGTATCCCCTGAATACTGATTCCTGGGACAGTAGCTTTTCCATATGGGAACAATAGGCGTCTTCTCATAGCTCTGTGTGTTAGTCTTCATGTGATGGAAGGTGAATAAGGAGAATGTCTTTAGCACTTGGGTATTTTAAAGATCTTAAGCAGTGCATTTCGTTGATTGGCTTGCTTCATTCTTGAAAGAGTTGTGTGCATTAAAGACTGAATCAAATTGCATTGTATTTTGTGTGTTTCCTGTGCAGGCATCTGCATTCAGGTGTAGGTAGTACTGTTTTCCCATCCCAGAAAGGGCAGGGTGCTCAGTTGCCTTTATAAAGGCAATTTCTTGGTTGACTGCGATTGAGTGCAGAATTATAATACTGAGGACTTAATTTATAACAGAAAAATGCAGGAGTGCAAACCTGTTAAACCCCTTATACATGTATAAATAAGGTAAACGATGGCAGATTAGCATGGAATATTGTTTGATGTGAATAATCTTAAAAACAAATTTCCTTGGCCTGTTCATGTTGTACCTGTTAGCACGGAGAAAACTTGTAGAAATCAGTGCATCATCTTTGAAATATAATAAAATCAGGGAGAAAAAGCAGAGTGATGTGAGACAGCTGCTGCTTGGATTGGCAGCCTATTTATAATCTGGGAGGCTCGTTGCTAGATTGCTGTGCTGTGTGCTATGCTCTCACACATCAGATAGGAATGATGATTTGCGTGCATGTGTGCGTGTGTGTTCCTGCTCTCAGACTTTTAATTTTTCAGAAAAGGATTCCTTTTCCTACATAAAAATGGAGAATGCTAGCAAAAGCAGATTTTCTGTGTTCCAAACACTCAACAGTCTCTCCAGTGGACCTCTGGGCATTTTTCAATGCTGGGAGAAGACCTTTGGTGGGCCAGGCATTTAAAGATGTAAGGCCTTCTCAGCATTCTTCGTGATGCTGGCTCTGCTGAGTGGGTGAGTCATGTGGGACAGAATGTCGCATTTCAGTACCTTTTGGCTATCTGTGCACGTTAGACAATAACGATTGCCAAGCCAACGTGTCTCAGGTTTTTTAATTACGGATTTAAAAGCCCACAGGAGCTCTGCTCATATGTTAATTCCACTGCTTGACTTTAAAGGATTTTTTTTTTGCATTTTCTAATTCAGATTATAAAAGACAGTCAGCCATTCAATATGGAAACAGTTTACCACATAAACTTGTTTGAGGGGCGAACAGGGTAGAGAAGAGGTAGCTAAAGCTTTCCACAAGAGAAAAAGTCTCAATGCTCTCCCTTAGGTTTATTTTAAAGGGCCAAAAAGAGGTATATTAATAAAAATAACCTTGACACCTGTTTATGCAAAGGATCATGAAGCATTGGAATGATATTCTAAGTCCTATTCATTGTCAGCTTTCATGTACCTTGTGCATGACATCTACATCATGGATTGTCTGCACCTCAATATTCCACCTCAGGCAGTTTCCCCCTAAGGCACATTTTACTACAAAACATATCCCATGCCACTGAGCTGGGGTGGAATTTTAATTTTAAAACTTAGTCAAAACATAATTTTATAGATATATCTATCCCCAAAGGACTGAAAATTTTAAAGCCAAATATAACGAAGTTTTGGATATTTTGGTATTTTGGTTTAACCTTAGCCCAGGTCTCTCGCCTAAGTACGAATAGTCAGAAAGCCAACTTCCTCTGATACCAGGATATATTTAGATAACTTGGCATGATCTGAGACTCTCTTTTACTTAAAGGACATTCTTGGGACATTGTCAAAATCTGCATAAAGTCTGGAGATAATAGTATTGTATCAGTGTTGATTTTCTGATTTTTCCCCTCAACATTTTATTTTGAAATGTCTTCGCCTACAATAAAAGTTGAAAACACTTTAATTTACAATGGGCTATGAGCAGTCACAGCCCATCACCTATACTTGCTCCATCACATATCTGCCGATGACTCTGTCTTATGAAAAGCCATATTATGCCTATGACTTGCAAATAATTCCAGAGAAAAATTATGTGTTTGTGGAGAGAGCAAGAGAGGAGAATAAAAAAAATGTGGTAAAGATAACATTTTTGGGGAATTTGGGTGAAAGGTATATAGGAATTTTCTGTGCCATTACAACTTTTCTGTAACCCTGAAATTGTGTCAAAGTGAAAATTTTTTAAATGAGATTATAAGAGCATAATCAAATTGGAATTTTCTTAGGATACCAGAGAATCATTTTCTTCTCAGGTAAAGGAATTTTTCTTTTGTAGTCCAGAGCTATACATGATTAAGAAAATGTTCAGACCAGGAAGATGACATCTCTGCTAACCTAATCGATTATCATGGAAGGTCTAGAATTGGTGCTAAAGCAGGAAGAAAGGGGATATCTACTTCATCAGAAAGTATTTGAATTTGACCTAAAAACCAACTAAAATGTTCACTTTCCTATTGGTCATATTGTGTGAAAGGGACATAGTAAGTTTGAGAAAAGAAGAAATTCAGTGGGGATAAGACAGAAGAAGACTCCACCTCTTTGTATCTGTGGTATGAAATCATACTCTGTTGGGAGATGGAGAAAAGTTGTTTTTTTTTTTTAATCTGTATACATATGCCCCAGAGAAAATTATTTTCTTTCAACATATTCCTGTCACTGTTATCTCTTTCAGAGAAAGCTCCTTGTGGATAGGCAGTGTGTGTTTATTTTCATAAAGTTTCTAGAACACCATTACTCAGCTGGCTAATAGTGTTAATGACAAGATTAAGAAGCGAGGTGGAACAGCATAGCATAATGCTGATCTTGAGTAGCTTCCTGTGAGAAATTATTTATTGGAAGGGATGTTCAATAATAAGGGATGATGGCTTTATAGACTAGTCTAGAACTAGGAGTCACTATGGTATAGAAAAGGGAAATTAAGGGATCATCAGGATGGCAGGTTTATTCTTAAAGAAGTCCCTAAGTCTTTCTTTCTTTCTTTCTTTTTTTTGAGATGGAGTCTCACTTGGTCACCCAGGCTGGAGTGCAGTGGCACAATCTTGGCTCACTGCAACCTTCACCTCCTGGGTTCTAGCTATTCTCCTGCCTCAGCCTCCTGAGTACTGGGATTATAGGCGTGTGCCACCACACCTGGCTAATTTTTTGTATTTTTAGTAGAGATGGGGTTTCACCATTGTGGTCAGGCTGGTCTTGAACTCCTGACCTCAAGTGATCCACCTGCCTCGGCCTCCCAAAGTCCTGGAATTACAGGCATGAGCCACCATGCCAGGCCCAAAAGTCCCTAAGTCTTAATTAAAGTATAGAGGAAAAAATAGAAGAGAATCTAAACTAGGTGGCCACATCAGAGAGAAGCTTAATATTACATAAAAAGCAATTAAAAGCATTGTTTTAATGGAAGAAAAGTGATGTTGCTTAATAACAAGCAGAAAGCACTTTCATGGGAGAAAGGAGGCTACAAGAAAAAGAGAAGGACAGAGGAAAGAGATATAGGGAGAGAGGGAGGGAAAGTTTTGATAGCCTAGACATGTAAGTGGGAGAAATAGGAAAGTCAGAGAAGATAATAATTTAATGGAAGGTAGATTTATGCCTGGATCAGGTTGTGATGGGAAGGAGGAGAAAGAAAGAGGACCAGCAACTCAGTTAGCCCAACATATAAAATCATTAAGCTGGGAGATATCCCCAGACACCACCTTGCCCTTTCCTTGCTTTCATAACCAATTGCAACTAATCCAGTATTTCCCAAACTGTGTTCCTTAGAACATCAGTGTTCCCACATGTTACAGGTTGCTACATGCTCTATGCCATTCAGTGATTCTTTTTGTTTGTTTGTTTTCGAGATGGTGTCTTGCCGTGTCGCCCAGGATGGAGTGCAATGGCACGATCTTGGCTCACTGCAACCTCCGCCTCCTGGGTTCAAGCAATTTTCCTGCCTTAGCCTCCTGAGTAGCTGGGATTATAGGCACCCGCCACCACACCTGGCTAATTTTTGTATTTTTAGTAGAAACAGGGTTTCACCATGTTGGCGAGGCTGGTCTCAAACTCCTGACCTCAGGCGATCCGCCCACCTCTGTCTCCAAAAGTGTTGGGATTACAGGCATGAGCCACTGCGCCTGGCCTCCATTCAGTGATTCTTAACACACATTAGCAACTGAGGATAAAGAATCCTTTAGTAAAAATCTATTTAAGTGTGTTTAACTTGGTATTTGGTAAACTTACTAACCTCTTTTTCAGGAACACACCTTTTCATATCTGAGGGGATACCAGTATTCCATATGACACAGTTTAGGAATGCTGACCTAACCCTTTCTAGAAAGAGAGCAGTCTTCTTTCTTAATTTCCTTACCTGGTTTTGGAAATGGGTTTTGGCACTTCCCAAATGGTAGTCTGGTTCCGAAATGTTACCTAAATCCCTTCTGCTCATGACTTCTTACTCTGGGCAAAATAGCTCTGTGCAAGACAGACTCACAAAATGTTCAAAATAGAAGGGGCCTCAGTAATTAGCCATCAGCTGTCTCTCTGCCAGATCCCGGCCTGCCTTATGGAAGGCTAAGAAACCATTGCTTACACTTAAACTGCATCCTTTCATAAGTCCCTGGCTTCTTTCACAGACCAAATAATACAAATTCCTTTAACTTTTCCTCTCTTTTTTTCTAATTGTTTTTGTTCCTTTTCCAGATTGTCCACATATCACTCAAGGTCTGAGACCTTAGCCTAAATATACTATAATAGAAAATAACAAGGCCGGGCGCGGTGGCTCATGCCCATAATCTCAGCGCTTTGGGAGGCCAAGGCAGACAGATCACCTGAGATCAGGAGTTCGAGACCAGCCTGGCCAAGATGGCGAAACCCTATCTCTACTAAAAATACAAAAATTACCCAAGTGTGGTGGTGCACACTTGTAATCCCAGCTACTCAGGAGGTGGAGGTTGCAGTGAGCCAAGATCTCACCACTGCACTCCAGCCTGGGTAATAGACCGAGACTCCGTCTCAAAAAAAAAGAAAGGAAACTAACAGTATATGAGCCGGGCACAGTGGATCATGCCTGTAATCCCTACTGCTTAACTACTTGGGAGGCTGAGGCAGGAGAATCGCTTCAGCCCAGGGGTTAGAGACCAGCCTGGGTAACATAGTGAGACCTTGTCTCTAAAAAAAAATATTAAACTACACTGGCATGGTGGCATGTGCCTGTAGTCCCAGCTGCTTGGGAGACTGAGGCTGGAGGATTGCTTGAGCCCAGGAGTTTGAGGCTGCAGTTAGCCATGATCATGCCACTGCAACCTAGCCTAGGTGACAAAGGGAGACCCTGTCTTTTTGTTTCTTTTTCTTTTTTTTTAAGAGACAGGGTCTCACTTTGTTGCCCAGGCTGGAGTGCAGTGATGGGATCACAGCTCACTGCAGCCTCAATCTCCTGGGCTAAAGTGATCCTCCTACCTCAGCATCCTGAGTAACTGGGACTACAGGTGTGAGCCACCATACCTGGCTAATTTTTAAATTTTTTTGTAGAAATGGGGGTCTTGCTATGTTGCCCACACTGGTCTTGAACTCATGATCTCAAGTGGTCCTCCCACCTTGGCCTCCCAAAGTGCTGGAATTACAGGGATGAGCCACCACAACCAGCTCCTGTCTCTTAAATAAAAAAAGAAAGAAACAAACAGTACATGGTTTTGTTCTATAATAGAAAAATAACCATATGATTAATTTTTAGTTCTTTTATGTCATTCTCTTGTTCCTCTCCTTACAGCATTTGTGTCTCTTTAAAGAAAATATTGCTTAGTTATCTCTGCTTCACTGGAACACTGCACACACACAGATCTTTTCCTTTCCTACTAGTGCAATGCCTGTATTTTCTGTTCCCATGGTGGTTTTTTCCTTTCCAAAATGAATTATTCTGCCCCTCCTCAGGAATTCCTGAAATGTGAATTCAAAGAAGATAAGTGGCCAGGCATGGTGGCTCATGCCTATAATAATCTCAGCACTTTGGGATGCTGAGGTGGAAGGTTTGCTTAAAGCCAGGAGTTCAAGACCAGCCTGGGCAACAAAGTGGGATCTCATCTCTACAAAAAAATAAAATAACATAAAAATTAGCTGGGCATAGTGGTGTGTGCCTATAGTCTCAGAGACTTGAGAGGCTGAGGCAGGAGGATCGCTTGAGCCCAAGAGTTCAAGGCAGTGAGCTATGATCATGCCACTGCACTCCAGACTGGATGACAGGGTGAGACCCTGTCTCTGAACACACACACACATGCACACACACATGCACGCACACACATGTGCAATAAGGGTCTCTTTGATTGCTTTCTGTGGCACCCTTGGTGATGCTTGGGCCCAGGATGAATACTGTTTCTAGATTGACAATACTGATGGAGGTATGGTGTATACTTGTTAATAGTTTAAAATGTGGTGAGGTTATTTTAAAAGTCTGTCTAATGGCCAGGCACAGTGGCTTATCCCTGTAATCCCAGCACTTTGGAAGGCCAAGGCAGGAGGATCGCTTGAGACCACGAGTTCAAGACCAGCCTGGGCAACAGAGTGAGACCCCCATCTCTACAAAAAATAAAAAAAATTAGCCAGGCATAGCGGCTTGCACCTGTAGTTCCAGCTGCTCTGGAAGCTGAGGTGGGAAGATCACTTGAGCTCAGAAGGTCAAGGCTGCAGTGAGCTATGATCCTGCCACTGCACTCCCACCTGAGTGGTAGAGTAAGACCTTGTCTCTCTTTTTTTTTTTTTTAAAGAATCTATCTAATGGTCCCTTCCATATTCAGATACTCCTCAGTGTATGATGGAGTTATGGTCCAATAAACCCATCATACATTGAAACTATCGTAAGTGGAAAATGCACTTTCGACTTAGAATATTTTCAGTTTACAATGGATTTTTCAGATGGAATTATCAGGACATAACCCCATCATAAGTTAATTGAGAAGCTTACTGAATGCATATCGCTTTGGTACCACTGTAAATCAAACTATTGTAAGTTGGGGACTGTCTGTATTTGAAATGCTTAGTTTAAGAATAATGTTTTTCAACCATAACTATCATGGCTTTATAGGACATCAGCATTCAAAACAGGTTGTTTTTGAATTTGGAGTCGGTACAGTTGGTGCAGGCCCCAAAAGATAACTTAAAATATAGAGAACTCTGGGTCATGTTCATATTTGAGAAATTTCATAACTTATAGAGCTAAATAGGACCGAAGAGGATAGTATTTTATATTCTAGATCATCAGATGGTGTTAGACGCAAGGGAAGCAGAAAAGTGAAAGTGGGAGCTAGTTGTATCCAGGGCCTGCTTTAAAAGATACAGCAGTAATCCACAAGCCTGGTAAGCACTTCCATCCGCTGCGTATGTACACGGTGCTTCCCTCCTGCTGCTGCGCAAAGACCCATCGAACAGTGTCAGAGCAGGCGCTCCTGGTTCTTGGTGGCAGTTCTGATGAAAAATTGGTTTGCTGCAGGATACTAGCAGCCACTTCAGGGAATTCTAGTGTTGTCCCCAAACATGTCATAGGATCTTACTCTGCAGATGTGTGAATGAAATGCCATGTCTGAGAATGTCAATAGGGAACAAAAGAAGGCATTAGGAAATGACACCACTGATGCCACAAAGTAGGGATCAAATCCAAGAAAAAGTAATCATATTCCCAGCCTGATTACTTTTGAGTGGTAGAGTTGCCCATTTACTGGTGGTCATTAACCAGGATAAATAAAATGGAGTGGTGAGAAACCTGCCTTCACAATAGTATCTTTGTTTTAGTATCATCATTCAGGTCTCTTCATAATGATGGCTAAAAAAAAAAAGAGTCAAAATGTAGAAAATAGCAAAATGCCCTTAAAAGAACACAATTTGAAATGAGATGACATGATGATTAAGATTATTAGGAACCCTGAAAGTTAAGCATATGGGCTTTCCTGCTTCTTAATGGTTGTGTGGTCCTTTTCTACCTAGGAGATGTAACTCACAGATGTAATATTTCTTACTTGCTTCTGTGTTGCAATGTTGTGTTATCATTTTTAGAGCAGAGCTACTGTTTAACTGTCAAGCAGAAATATAAAAACAAAGGAACCAGTTAAATCTAACCGGAGACTAATACGACTAAATTTCATTGCTAAGATTGGAATGCCGTCTGATTGCTTAAGTTAATATAAAAGTAAAGCATTTGGATCTTGGAAAAATTGGTCACAGGTGAATAGAGTGCAATTTATAGCATCAGAAAGAACATAGTACTCCATAATATCTACTCCAGAACTTGTTCAGGGGTATGGTAGAGTATGTTTAACTAAATTCCTCTGATCCCTGCTTTTAGCCAGCTTTGCCTGGATTGGCCACATCTTAGGGCTGTGTGGACCTGGTTCATTCCCACTTAGTTTATAAAAGCCCATCTTATTTTTTGGCGTGGTGTACATGCTTACCAATGAAAGTTAGCTTCTGGATTAGTTCTCAAGTGAAAAAAATTAAGATGATTCATTTGACATGATACTTAATTTTGATGTGACTTTATTTGGAACTCAGATCCCAAGCTAATCAAAAAGTACCATTAAAAGCGACATTCTTTTCCCCTATCTTCTAGAAAGAATTAAAAAGCAGTTTCTTCTTTTCCTCTTTAGAGAAGATAAAGCGAAAAACCAATAACTGAGAAATTAACAGCCACAAAAGTTTGCAAATGGAGTCTGTGAGTTTCAAAGGCTCCAAATTAAAAAAAAAAAAAAATTAGATTAGGCTTCCAGAATGAGAAAGGCTTATTTTCTTCCCCCTTTCTTTTTCTTGCCTTATTTTGACCAAATGAGTTTGTCTTTAAACACAGTTTTAGCTTCTTACATGATGTGTGTGTTCTTGCTGCTTACGGTATGATACATTGATTTTGTCATAAAAAGTCTTGCATTGGATTGCATTACTCTGAGATGTTATTTTAGAAATTGGTGATGTGCATCTGTGAGAGCGTGTCATGGTATGCAGTAAGCAGTGCCATTAAGTGAGTTATCACCATCTGCTCCTACCTACAGTTATTCTTGGTACAGCATCATCATTTTTTCTACAACTATCAATTGCTATCTCTGTTTTCTTGAATTTAAAAAAAAAAATGTGTTGTCCATATCAGGATTTTGTTCATGTTTACCAAATTATCTTTTGCCAAGTCATGTGACATATGTACCTGTATGGAATCTCTTCCATATGAAATTGAGTCAAATAGGTTAGTGGGATTTAAAAGGCATTTAAATGGACACATAAATTATGCACAGACGGCTATTTCAGGATAGCTGTTTTCTCTGAATTGATGAGAGATGAAGTCTTTAGACAAATTTCTTTCAGTTTTAAGGAGATTCTTTTCTTTTTCCCCTATAGATTTTTCCCAACTGGCCAAATACACCAGAGGCTAAGTGTTAATACTATACTGTACATTCTCCTGAAAATGGTGCTGAGCTTGAGCCCAGACCTTCATGATGCGCAGCTAACAGATCATTGGGCATTCTGGGGAGGTACATTTTGATGCTTTTATAAGAAAGCTTTTGAAGCATAGGACACATTTTTTTTTTTTTTTTTTTGAGACGGAGTCTCGCTCTGTCGCCCAGGCTGGAGTGCAGTGGCGCAATCTCAGCTCACTGCAAGCTCCGCCTCCCGGGTTCACGCCATTCTCCTGCCTCAGCCTCCCAAGTAGCTGGGACTACAGGCGCCCGCCACTACGCCCGGCTAATTTTTTGTATTTTTAGTAGAGACGGGGTTTCACCGTTTTAGCCGGGATGGTCTCGATCTCCTGACCTCGTGATCCGCCCGCCTCGGCCTCCCAAAGTGCTGGGATTACAGGCGTGAGCCACCGCGCCCGGCCTAGGACACATTTTTTAACCCCTACAGCTAGTTAGAGTAATGAATTTAACCAAAATAATAAATTTTCATTTTGTGTTCCAATTGAGATTACAGAGTTGAAAAGGCAAAGTAATAAGAGCAATTTGGGTGGCTATTTACACTGTGCTTTGCTGTTTGATAGCCTTTTCTGTGGAACCTTGGTTTATTTCTAGGGGAAAGATTAGTTTTTCCTATCAGTCTACATATTTATCAAGAACAGTTTTTAGGGACAAAATCATTTGCATTTGATTTATGTAATCTTTGTTAATTTTGTAGAAATTTGGAAGAAAATATTATAGTGAGTAAAGATAATGACTTCTTTTCCAGTTTGGTTTTTTTGAGGAGATGAGGGAGGTGTTTTTTTTTTTTCCCCCTTAAGGGCAAATCCTGAACTGTAACTTATAAATATGGAGCTCTTCCTTGTCAGGAGTTTCAGCTTACAAATAGCTTCCTACCACCACAGGGAGACAGAGTGTTATCAGTCCACACACCCAAAGCAAGAAAAGAACACATCCAACTAGTATTTGCAAAGAGTAGTTTACAGTCTTGTTAGCTTTCAATATACTTTAGTATCTCCTACTTCTTTAGTCGTTCTGAGTGCTAAAAAAACAAATCTGATTTTTTCCTTTGCTAGAACTATGAGAAGATAGCAAATATGCCTGTTAAAAATTAATAGATGTAGGCCGGGCGTGGTGGCTCACGCCTGTAATCCCAGCACTCTGGGAGGCTGAGGCGAGCGGATCACCTGAGGTCGGGAGTTTGAGACCAGACTGACCAATGTGGAGAAACCCCGTCTCTGCTAAAAATACAAAAATTAGCTGGGTGTGGTGGCACATGCCTGTAATCCCAGCAACTCAGGAGGCTGAGGCAGGAGAATCGCTGGAACCTGGGAGGCAGAGGTTTCAGTGAGCCAAAATCACGCCACTGCACTCCAGCCTGGGTGACAGAGTGAGACTCCATCTCAATTAAAAAAAAAAAAATCCAGGTTAAACATTTTTAGTAAGAACACTACCTTGTGACTTCATCACATCAGGGCACATCATGTTGATTTGCCCCAGAATTGCTGATACAAATTTTGATCATTGGTTGAGGTCGTGTCTGTTTAATTTTTAAGTGCTATAGGTCTGCATTCTAGATGATAGAATCATGTAATGATTCAGTTCAGTTTACCAAACATTTCTGAGGGCTGCCAAGCTCCAGGTAGTGGGCTATAAAATCAGCAAGACCTAGTCTCCCCATGTTCTTAAGGTGCTGGCAGTATAGTAGAGGAGAAAAACATAAGCTACAAATTGCAGTGTAAAATAGATTATGTCATGTGCCATTTTAAAGTTGTACACGGGTGCTCTTTGAATATAGAGAAGGGAGATATTAATCCTGAGTAGGGGATTAGGGAAGGGTTTATGTAAGAAATGGTGTTTGATCTAGGTCTTCTAGAATGGGTAAGGTTTGGACAGGTAGGAAAGGTGTTGCATGAGAGAGGGAATAATTTAAGCAAAGGCAAAGGTACAGAGGCAGGAAAAAGCATTTTGAGTTCTGGAAATAGCAGATAATTCAGAGTGGTTGAAGGAATGGATATAATGGGAGGCGAAGTATAGTTGTTAAGGGCCTTAAATGCCTTACCTAAGAGTTTAGGGAGAAGACTCTGGGAAATTTTGAGTCATGAAATGACATGGTGATATCCCTTTTTGAGAAAGATTGTTCTACTAGCAAAAGGATCTACAGTCACACAAAGACATTTAGGTCAACAACAGACCACATATATGATGGTGGTCCCATAAGATTATAGTGGAGCTAAAAATTTTCTGTTGCTTAGTAGCCATCATAACTACTTGGTAGCGTAATACATTACTCATGTTTGTGGTGATGCTGGTGTAAACAAACCTACTGTGCTGCCAGTCATATAAAACTATAGCACATACAATTATGTACAGTACATATTTGATAATAATAAATGACTGTGTTATCAGTTTATGTGTTTACTTTTTATCACTACTTTAAAATATACTCCTTCTGCATAGATAGATAGATAGATAGATAGATAGATAGATAGATAGATGACTGTAAAACAGCAATAGCCTCGGGCAGGTCCTTCAGGAGGTATTTCAGACGAAGGCATTGTTACCATAGAAGATGACAGCTCCATGGATGTTGTTGTCTGTGAAGACCTTCCAGTGGGATAAGGTATAGAGGTAAAAGACAGTAATATTGATGATTGTGACCCTGTGTAGGCCTAGGCTAATGTGTGTGTTTGTGTCTTTGTTTTTAATTAAAATGCTTAAAAAGTTACAAAAAATTTAAATATTTAAAAATAGAAAACTTAAAACATAAGGATAAAAAAAGTATTTTTATACAACTGTACAATGTGTTTTAAGCTGTTATTACAAAGAGTCAAAAAGTTTAAAAATTAAACTTTATAAAGCAAAAAAATTACACTAAGCTAAGGTTAATTTATTATTGAAGAAATAAATTTTTAAAATCTCAAACTATAAGAATCCTAGAAGAAAACCTTGGAAATACTTTTCTGGAAATTGGCCTAGGCAAAGAATTTATGGCTAAGTCCTCAAAAGTAATTGTAACAAAAACAAAAATTGACATTTGGGACCTAATTAAACTAAAGAGCTTCTGCATAGCAAAAGAAACTATCAGAGCAAACAGACAACCTACAGAATGGGAGAAAATATTTGCAGTCTATGTAGCCAACAAAAGATTAATATCCAGAATCTGTAAGGAACTTAAATCAACAACAACAACAAAATAAATAACCCCATTAAAAAGTGGGCAAACAACATGAACAGACACTTTTGAAGGGAGACATACAAGCAGTCAACAAACATGAAAAAATGCTCAACATTGCTAATCATCAAAGAAATGCAAATCAAAAGCACAGTGATACCACTTTACACCAGTCAGAATAACTATTTTTTATTTTTTTATTTTTTTTTATTTTTTTATTTTTATTTTTTTTTTTTTTTGAGACGGAGTCTCGCTCTGTCGCCCAGGCTGGAGTGCAGTGGCGGGATCTCGGCTCACTGCAAGCTCCGCCTCCCGGGTTCACGCCATTCTCCTGCCTCAGCCTCCCGAGTAGCTGGGACTACAGGCGCCCGCCACTACGCCCAGCTAATTTTTTGTATTTTTAGTAGAGACGGGGTTTCACCGTTTTAGCCGGGATGGTCTCGATCTCCTGACCTCGTGATCCGCCCGCCTCGGCCTCCCAAAGTGCTGGGATTACAGGCGTGAGCCACCGCGCCCGGCCCCAGAATAACTATTATTAAAAAGTCAAAAATAACAGATGTTGGAGAGGCTATGGAAAAAAGGGAACACATATACTGTTGGTGGGAATGTAAATTAGTTCAGCCTCGGCCATTTGGAGATTAATGAAAGAATAAAAGTAAAACTACCATTTGACCCAGCAATCCCATTACTGGATATATACCCAAAGGAAAATACCTCAGTCTACCAAAAAGTACACTTGCACTTGTATGTTCATTGCCACACTATTCACAGTAGCAAAGACATGGAATCAACCTAGGTGTCCATCAACAGTGGATTGGATAAAGAAAATGTGGTGCATATACACTGGAATATTACACAGCCATAAAAAAGAACAACATAATATCCTTTGCAGCAACATGGCTGCAGCTGGAGGCCATTATCCTAAGGGAATTAATGCAGAAACAGAAAACTGAATATTATATGTTCTCATTTATAAGTGGGAGTTAAACATTGGGTACACTTGGACATAAAGATGGGAACAGTAAACACTAGGGACTCCACAAGTGAGTAGGGAAGGATGGGAGCAAGGGTTGAAAAACTTCCTGTTGGGTACTATGTTCACCATGTGGGTCACAGGATCAATAGAAGCCCAAACCTCAGCATTATGAAATATGCTGTTATAAGAAACCTGCACATGTACCCCTTGAATCTAAAATAAATAAATATAATTATAATGTTTTTCAAAGAAATTAAAATTAGCGTAGCCTAAGTATACGGTATTATAAAGTCTAGAGTAGTGTATAGTAATGTGTTAGGCTTTCACATTTACTAACCACTCATTCACTGACTCACCCAGTACAACTACCAGTCCTGCAAGCTGGTTTACCGTTTTTCATCTTTCGTAGTGTATTTTTACTGTAGTTTTTCCATTTTTAGATATATTTAGATACACAAATACTTACCATTGTTACCTATGGTATTCAGTACAGTAACCTGCTCCTAGGTTTAGCCCATAAGCAATAGGCTATTACCATATAGCCTAGGTGTGTAGTAGGCTGTACCATCTAAGTTTGTTTAAGTACATTGTATGATGTTCGCACAGCAATGAAATGACCTAAGGATGCATTTCTCAGGACATATCCCTGTTATTAAGCAACACATGACTGTGTCTACTTTAGATGGGGAGAGATCAGTTAGGAAGACATTACACAGTACTCCCCCACTTACCTGCAGTTTCCATTTCTGTGGCTTTAGTTACTCACGGTCAGCTGAGGCCCAAAAATATTACATCACTACTCTTTCGCTTTGGGGCCATTATTAAGTAAAATAAGGGTTACTTGAACACAGCACTGTGATACTGCCACAGTTGATCTGATAACCGAGATAGCTACTAAGTGACCAATGGCAGTCTGGGTAGGAAGGGGTGGGACAGGGAGAGATTTCGTCAGGCTACTCTAAGCGTGCAGTTTAAAACTTATGGATTATTTTTTCTGGAATTTTCTATTCACAGTGCCTATGCCACTCATCTCACATTATTATAGTATATAATATTGTGTTATTATGAGGTGTTGTTAATCTCTTACCCATCAATCCCATTACTGGGTATATACTAATACCCAGTTTAACCGGGTTTAAATAAGTTTAACTTACAGATTAAACTTTATCATAGGTGTGAATATATAGGAAAAAACATAGTATATATAGGGTTCAGTACTATCTGCAGTTTCAAGCATCCACTGGGGGACTTGGAACATACTCCCCAAGGATAAGGGGGACTGATGGTAAATTTTCCCCTATGAGGACTGAAGTACAGCAGCAGGACAGAAGTACAAGACAGTGCAAAGACTAATTAGATGTAAAGAGTTGGGGGGATGTGATGAAGTAAACATGCTTAGAAATCCCAGCATGAGCTCTTAGGGTATCATTAAGATGAGAAACTGCAAGAGAGGGAAGACAATGAGTTTGGCCTTAAGCAGGCCAGATTTGAGTTGTTGGTGGGATATTAAGATAGAATTAGAAATGTGGGTGTAGGGTTGCAGGAGAGGCCAGCACTAGAGATATAGATTTACTTACCTCTACTATGTTCTAGGCACTGTGCTAGGTACTTTATATTGATATATGTTACCTCATTTAATCTTCACAGCCCTTTGAGGTAGCTACTTTTATCTCCATTTAAGAGGTGAATAAACAGAGACTGTCGTGAGTTAACTTGCGTAAGACCAAATAGCTAGTGATGAGGGCCAGAATTCTGTCCAAGGTGTGTGGTCCTTCACTGTTTGTGGAGATAATTGCTTCATTGAGACTGAATGTTGTTATCCAGGGAATGACTATAGGGAGGAAACAAAGAAGGCCTGGACAGAAACTTGAAAAGCATCTGAATATAAAAGGGTCTAAGAAGGAGCTTTCTGGGCCAAGAGAAAGAGAATTAAGCAGATGGTGACAGGAAAGCAGAGAGGCCCAAGAAGAGCATGGTCAGTAATAGTGCAGCTGCACAAAGAGGTCAGGAAAGACAAAGATTTGAATACTTTCTGAGGGAAATGGATAGATGATCACACATGGATGATTAGAAGGTTAGGGTAAAGATGGCATGAACTTCAGGCAGAGCCTTTGGCCTGGTTGAAGGATTCTTTCCGGTAGTAATGAACAGCTCAGGACTAGGGATTATGAAGGTAAAAAGGAAAAGGGGTCTAGTGTGAGGGAGAACATAGTAGAAGTGGTTTATCATGGGTCCCAGGATGGACAGGAAGTAAAGAAGGTGATAGTCATCTGGAAATCTAGATAGAGTGAAGGACCTAGAGTGTGCAGGTTGCTTCTAATTTTTGTGCCTAATGTTTTAAAATTAATGTTACACTAAAGAAGTTTTTGCTCTTTTTGTTTTGTTGTGTTGCATAGAGAGAATAAAAAGAAGGTAAGAGTTAAGAGTGATTTTTTTATCTTTGCAATCAAGCAGTAAATAAAAACTCGTAAAATTCCCCTCTGCCAAGCTCATGGACATCCACTATTTTGCTTTAGGGAACTTTTGTTAGCTAAATACATTGCTTGAAAGAACATCTGTATTCTGCGGGAGTCAGAAAAGAGAAAGGACCTAAACCAAAACTGTTTCTTGAATTTAGAAATGAAAAGCAGTGCTTAGTACCACCAAGTGGGACATGTCTTGAAATCCTAGATTTCCAGAGCGAGAAAGTATCTTAGAAATTGCCAATCTTCTTACTTCAACAATTGGTTCATTGAACACTTTTTTTTTTTTGAGACTGAATCTTGCACTGTCGCTCAGGCTGGAGTGCAGTGGCACCATCTCCGCTCACTGCTGCAACCTCCACCTACTGGGCTCAGGCGATTCTCCTGCCTCAGCCTCCTAAGTACCTGGGATTACAGGCATGCACCACCACACCCAGCTAATTTTTGTATTTTTAGTAGAGACAGGGTTTTACCATGTTGGGCAGATTGGCCTTGAACTCCTGACCTCAGGTGATCTGCCCTCCTCTGCCTCCCAAAGTGCTGGGGTTACAGGTGTGAGCCACCATGCCCAACCTCATTGAACACTTTTATACACCCTACCACTAGCCAGGCTAAAAAGTGAAGTTACAAATTAAAACGGTTAATTCTTTCCCTCAAGGAGTTCACGATCTAGTGGCAAGATCAAAGAGTCCAGTAACTCCTTTAAGAAGTTTTGTGATAAAGGGGAAAGGGAACTATAATTAAGCAGATGCCTGTTTTCTGTTGATCACTTTTTTGAGAGGGGTGTGTGTGTGTGAGAGAGAGAGAGAAAGAGAAAGTTTTTTATACAGAGGAGACTTGATCATGCTTATTTATTATAGTAGGAGAGAAAGGAGCTGGTATGATGCTGTTCACTGCCTGGTTACTTTAATTGCCCCCAACAATTCAGACTTATGAATGAACTGATCATTATTATCCTCAGTCCACTGGGTAGGGGTGTAGAGTTAGTCAGGGAGAGACACAGTGAATTTCCAAGATAAGGGGAAAAGAGAGGCACAGAAATACATATATCTTTTTCCTTGTTCTTCTCTAACTTCTGTGGGTCAAGGCTTTGCACGCTGGCTTAGAAAACCTGTTATTTCTTCCACAGCCAAGATTGTTTTGTTTTGTGATTGTTGACTTGCAGTATTATGAATTACCAAAAGAAGAGAACCCAAAAAGCATACTCCGGTGCCAAATATAATTTAATTTTGAGTTATTCATACCACTATTCCCAAACAATGTCGTAAAGCAGAAAGAAATTCAGGCATTAGAGTCAGGAAACAAAGATTTGGTTTCTGGCTTTGCCACTTAACTGTATAATTTTAGACAAATTACTAAATCTCCTTGAGTTTCATGTTATTCTTCTGTAAAGTATCTTCACAAGATTGTTGCGAGGTATAAGTAACATAATGTATTTAAGAGAAAAGCCTTTGTTAACTGTAATGTCAGTTATATTTACAAAATGCTGACATTTTAAAAATAGTTGTGTATTTTGGACTGTTCCTGGTCTCAGGTGACTTAATCATTGAATTATTAAATCTCCATTATTAATTTTCTTTAGAAATGCCCAGGAGACTGCTTCATGAGTGTATATCAGGAGAGAGCTTTAGTTTTTGTCTTTAAATGATTGTTCTCATTCCTGCAGTAACTCTCAAACTTGGCATATTTTTCTCCCCTTTCTTTTAGTATGATATGGTTAAGCAACTAAATGAATGTTCCTCAGACTTCCCCAAAATTTTTGATTCTGGGATAGAAGCAGGAATAATCTTTTGTTAGAAGCTGAACAAATTAGGATACTTATTTAATGAAAATACTGTAAAGTGACTGACGGCCCCTTTATCTGTTTCAAGGAAACACTTAGCACCTAATTGTGTAAGCCAGAAAAATGCAAGGTGATGAAAGAGTTATACCAGATGAAATGACTGTTATCCTGAGTAACCACACATTCTGGACCAAAAGACAAAGCAGAACACATAAAACAATGAACGAGCAGAATTATATTAATTGTATTGTGCAGTGACTAAGTGGATGGGCTCTGTAGCCAAACTGCCCAAGTTGGAAGTCTGCTCTGGCTCTGCTATTTGCTACTTTTGGAATGTTGGAAAGTTACTTTTCTGTGCTTTAGTTTCTCCATCTGTAAAATAGCATACTATATAGTACATATCTCCTAGGATTGCTTTGAAGATTAAATTATGTAATACATAGCGTGCTTAGAACTGTGCTTGCCTTATAGTAAGTACTATAATAAATGTGTGCAGCTGCTATTATCGTTACATGTTTAGATGTTAAATTGTATGGTTCAGACACTTGGTATAATAGGGTTTCACAGATCATTCTAGGCAGGTAGAGTCAAGAAAAGTTTTATAAAGGAAATGGAATGTGTCAGAACCCTCAAAGGTAGATGGTTAAACAGAATTGGGTGAAAGAAAAAAGGTACTCCAGGACCAGGGAACATCATGAACAGAAGGTGAGAAATGTGAACTAATGGCCGGGCGCAGTGGCTCACCCCTGTAATCCCAGCACTTTGGGAGACCGAGGCGGGCAGATTACCTGAGGTCGGGAGTTGGAGATCAGCCTGGCTATCATGGTGAAACCCTGTCTCTACTAAATACAGAAAATTAGCTGGGCATGGTGATGCACGCCTGTAATCCCAGCTACTCAGGAGGCTGAGGCAGGAGAATCGCTTGAACCCAGGGGGTGGAGGTTGCAGTGAGCCGGGATCACGCCACTGCACTCCAGCGTGAGCGACAGTGAGACTCCGTCTCCAAAAAAAAAAAAAAAAAAAAAAGTGAAATGTGAACCAATTTGTTGAGTTCACTGAGCAGGGAAGAGTCCAGTCTGATTGAAGGATCTGATTAAGATGGAGGGTGAACACTGGTCAAATAAGTAGTGGAATGGGAGTGGATAGGGTTGACAAGATTATTTTGTAGTTGCATTCACATTTTACAGTTGCAAACATAGCATTTTGCAGTTGAATTTACATTTATTTACTTAAATCTAACAAAAATTATATTCAGATTTATTTATATGAGATATGTAAAACATATATTATTATTTTCCTTTTATTTTATAAATGAATATACTGGAACTCAGAGAGTGTGACTTGTCCAGCAGCACCAGGTTTTCATACACAAAACCGAGTCACATTTCCACCATATCTTGCCATTTCTCTTCCTTTGCTAGATATACAGGTAAATTTGACAGCCAATCAAAGCAGACTCTTTTCCCGTCTTCTACCTTTGACCCATGGAGTAGCTTTCAAGACATTGGCACTTCTCTACTGAAGCAAATCTGGGTCAAGATGAGATGTATGCTGCCCATTTCCTGAGTCCTTCAGGAAAGCAAGAGAGGAATTTTGATTAAGTTTAGCTCATCTTTTCAGAACCCAGGCCATATGTGGTCCATAGTGTCCCGGATATGCTTCACAGTGTGGAACTCTGCTCTGTATTTTCTTTAATAAGGACACACACACAGGAAAATTTCAATTGAAGACCTCACAAATGTTTTGAGATTTTATTGAGTTATCATCTGAACATTATGGATTAGTCTAGGATTTCACATGATAGAGTGTATGGGCGTATGTGAGTAAACAAATACACATTGTAGGGGAAGGTGCTGAAATGTTAAAGTTAACATTCCCAAATAGAAAATGGGATAGTTTGCAGGTTACTTTCTGAACTTCACTTCGTGTTAATTTTCACCTACCAGTTGGTGGGTAGAACAACATTAAACACATTTTACTTTAGTACCCTTCTGTTCTTATCTGGAGCATGGTAATCCCAAGTACAGACAGAAAAAGAAGAAGCAGATATGCGATTAAAAATGAAAATAACATAACAACACGGATTATTGTGATAGATCCTGTACCTTTTTAAAGACTCTGACATTCCACTTAGGAGTAAGATGGAAAAGTCCCTTGTTCTAAAATTTGAAAATGATAAAAATAAGTCATATTAATGGAAATTAAAGAAAGAATATGTCCATTGTTAGGTTATGTAAAGGGTACACATCTCACTTCTTTCACATCGTTTTTTGATTTAAATTAATGTAACTAAATTTTAAAATGACGGATTTAATATTCATGCTAGCAGTTTATTTTTAATGTGAATAAAATTAACAGTAAAACTATCATAAAAGATAGATGGGGCCGGGCACGGTGGCTCACACCTGTAATACCCAGCACTTTGGGAGGCCACAGCAGGCGAATCACCTGAGGTCAGGAGTTCGAGACCAGCCTGGGCAACAGGGTGAAACCCCATCTCTACTAAAAATACAAAAATAAGCTGGACATGGTCGTGGGCACCTGTAAACCCAGCTACTCAGGAGGCTGAGACAGGAGAATCACTTGAACTTGGGAGGTGGAGGTTGCAGCGAGCCAAGATCACGCCATTGCACCCCAGCCTGGACAAGAGTGAAACTCCATCTCGAAAAAAAAAAAAAGAAGAAGAAGAAAAAAGGTAGATGGAAGTATCTTCTGTAAAGTGCCACAGATTCCTGGCTTCAGCGCTACCTGGATTCCTTGAAAAGACAGGGGGCCCTTTTCTCATCTCTTAGAACCTCACTATCACTTTGCATGTTTTTGAACACATGGTAGGTATGCAGTGAGCTAGTGTTGATAGATGTCTCGTCACGTTATGGTTGGTTGGAGGGAAGAAAGATCACTTTTTAAGTTAGTCACTCTATATTTAAGTGTTTTTGTAATGGGAAATCACCTGTAAAACGAGCTTGCAGGAACGCTCTAAAGATTAAAACTGTGAAGTGTGTGGCATATGCTAGGCACTTAATAAGTAAATAATAGCTCTTGTTATTGTTATCTTTAAATTTTACTGACTGTTGTTCTGACTTTGACTTTGCATTTTCTGAGATCTTTGAAAATACATATTGTTAGTACCTGTTGATTTGTATTTTGTGCCTTTGAAGGAAAGAATAGAAATATTATTCCAAGGGAGGGTTGTTGGTCTTAAAATATTTTTGTGCCATTTTTATTGTAGGCAAGTATATCACATTCTAATAGGCGTTTAAGACAGTTCAATACTTAATACAAGTGTATCTTTTTAAATAAGACATTTGACCAGCTGAATAGATTGTAGTAACCTGTTGTAAACTAGTTTCAGCTGAAATCTCACTGATCCCACTAGATGGCGTTAGTTCATTAAGGCATAACTTCATCCTCTAGCTCAGGCAGACAGCTGCCTGTGTAGATGAACTGATTTTAGTATCTTTAGAGAGTGAATGTGGCAGTAAACTTTTAGACTCCTTGTTATTTATATAGCGTGATTTGTGGAGGTTATTCAGAAAGTTTAGGAAGATAGAACACTGAGGGCAGATTTATTCAAACTAAAGAACTATAACAAGTTGCAATATTTCGTTAGGTGCTTATTAATTCTGGATTTGACTTAGCCTTTGCCCTAATTGTATATACAACCGAAAGATTAAGAATTTACTGATTTCTCATGGTTTTTTGCCCTATTAAAATAATTCTTGTTTGGGCTTCTGGAAGCATTGGAAAACAAATGAAAATTGGGAGTACACATTTTTTAAAGCATGAAGTTTATAACATTTAATTTTAAAATCATTTGGCTCTTATTTATAGGAACTATGTCAACAGTGATCTACTTGTCAGTTAATCTGGTTCTTTAATCGTAAATGTAAAATAACAGTGAACATCCTAATTCTTTAATTCTCTCTTGTCTGAATTTGAATTATTTTTTATCTACAAAGACTGTTTTATATTAGACCAGCCCATTTTCAAAGTTTAAAATTGTGCTTTTCCACAGGCATTTGTAGGCTCCAAATAAACTTTTAAAATTGTATGTTTTATTTTTCTTACTGTTCTTGAGAGTTCTGAAGTTGAAGTTTTTTAAAGAAATGAATACGATTCACATGCAAAAAAAGCATTTCCACATTTCATTAGAAGTGTTTCTTTTTTCTTTATGATCAGATTCATACAGCTAGAGTAAATTGTTTCAGAATTGGTGGGATGATCCGTCTTGAGCTATGGAAGCTTAATTGTGCTACAAATA
Source organism: Homo sapiens (assembly GCF_000001405.40). NCBI lineage: Eukaryota > Metazoa > Chordata > Mammalia > Primates > Hominidae > Homo > Homo sapiens. The sequence goes on along the minus strand of NC_000011.10, from coordinate 46,005,736 downwards.
TTATTCTTTTATTCATTGCTCATAGGGAGTAAGTAGTTGGTGCTGATGGTTCCCCTAATGTTTATTTAACTATTCCAGTATAAGGCAGTTCACATTTCTTAGTAAAAGGATCGTTGATAGTTTCATTTACCTAGTATGTAATAAAAAGCTGAGAATAATCAGGGGCATTTGCTAATGGAGTCAAAATAACCTGTTTTATAAGTCAGAACAGGAAGGTCTGAACATTTGGTGCCCATTAATTAAGTTAATATTGCAAATGAGGTTTTTGCTTTTCTTATTATCTTGAAACCTTCAACCAGAAAAAGCAACTGCCTAAGATTATTTGGTATATACAAGGCGTTAATATATTGTGCAAATATTCTACAGTCTGAAAAATCTCAAAATCTGAAACACTTCTGGTCCCAAGCATAAATTTGTATAAATTTTATACAATATTTTACATCATTTTGTACATGAAACAAAGTTTTGACTGCATGTTGACTATGATCTATCACTTGAGGTCAGGTGTGAAGTTTTCCAGTTGTGGCATCACGTCAGTGCTCAAAAAGTTTTGGATTTTGGAGCATTTTGGATTTCAGATTTTTCAGATTAAAGATGCTCAACCTGAATTTTTGGACTGCGGTTGCTCTTGGTAACTGAGCCTGCAGAAAGTGAAATTACTGATGTGGGGGACTGCTGTATTAGTTGGGTGTATACATGCATGTGTTAAAATTTAACTGCATAATCTCATTTTCCATATTCAGAGACATTTGCAGTAAGAGACAAATATTATTGTAAAGGGAAAAAGTAAACTTTGTTGTGTAGTGCTTATCTGTTTCCCTGTGTTTTTTCTTGAGGGTAGCCATGATAAAGAAGGGGAATAAATTTCGAACACATGTAAGTATGTGTGTAGTGAATGGGAGAGAGGGAGAGATGGTATTTTCAGGAGGCATAAACTGTATTTTACAAAGACATCTTTTAGATGATGAGTCCTTTAGTCTTGAGGAGACAGTTCAATGGAAAGCATTCTAGGCCTGGCAGATACAGCCCTCATCCACAGTAAAAGTTAAGTGCTATGAAAAAGTAATAGTCTGTGCTATGCAAACCAATATGAAGAAAAGTGAGTTTTTGTTTGATAAGAGGTCAAATGAGCACAGTTCTTTAAAACTTTTATGTTGAAGAAAAGAATAGAGAATATTCTGTCATAGCTACTGATAAAATATTTCAGTTTATGAAATATTGTCACTTACATGTTTTAAGTAGCTTTTAATATAATCTTAGAACAAGGACTTCCTTCTCTCCTCTACCCCTTCCCTACTCCCCAGTGTCTCTTATTTCTTATCTATTAAAAGTGAAATCCATTTCCTTTGGTCAAAAGTACAAGTTTTTTACAGTGTCCAAGACATCTCAAATTGATTCACTTTGTTATATAGAAAACACCATCTGTGATGTCAGACCATTTCTTAGAAAATTGACTGTTAAGAGCTCTTTTGCATTGAGTTATTTGGTTTTTATGAAGATGAACATTGGATGAAATTTCTTACCAGTATGCATAATTCAATGATTTTAAGAATCTATGGAAAATAAATTTAAACATTTTTAAATGAAATGGGATAAGAAAAAGGGGAGACAGGATTTTATTCATTGGTATATCTTTTTAATTTTCTACTTTGTGACTCCGTTTAAAAAAACCAACTCTGTAATTTTGAAGCAGAGATTCTGAAATTACCACTTTTCTAAAAATATCACTTACAGCTGAAACTTAATATATTGAAGCATTTTTGTTCTGAGGATGATACATATTTTCATAAAGATGTATTTCCAAATGGAAACAGCACTGAAGCTTCTGAAATAGGGAACCTTTCCAAAATAGGCTGTGGTTGCCTGGGTGAAGAATATTAGGTTGCAACACTCAAAAAGGAAATCCTGGCATAGGAAGCAATTGATGAAGGGCAAATGTCTGCAGAGTGTAATGAAGCTTTTAAAAGCACTTGTGTGGGCCTGCATGCAAGGCCTTGCCAGTACTTTTCAAATTAAAATTCATGTGCTCTGTAGTGTGCTGAGCCATACTCATACTTCCATCTTTACTTCTCTTCTACATAATATATCATTCTTATTTTTAATCTTCTATAAGTACTAGTCATCATCCTAGTGAGAATTGTAGCGTTTTCTCACTCTGCCCTTCGTGAAAATGTCATCATCATTATGGGCAGCAGGGCAGCTTTATGGTGTTTTAAAAATCAAGTTCATCAGCATTTTTAAGCTATCAATTTCTTGTTTTAGTGTCATTAGTACTATGAATATTGAATATTTTATGACTCTTTAGTTTTATAAAATATTTTTTTCTTTTAGCAGTGGGGGAGAGGATAGGTATTATCCTCATTTTGTAACAGTATTAACACCGAAGAGAGTCTGAGTGATGACTAGACACATAGATGGTGTGAAAAGAAAACTTGGCATTTTTTTTTTTTTTTGAATGTTAGCCTTTAACCCAAGCTCTTTCCTCCATACACTATATGCACAAAGTTTTTAGGACTTTTTTTAGTGGCACTCTCATATACAGATTTTCTTTTCAAAGCAAGAAATAATCTGAGCTTTAAAAAGATTCTATTGAGGAAATTATTCTACTCCTGTTTTTATAGTCTCAGAATGTCTCAAGATAATTTTAAATGGGTTTGTGCTATTTGGGGGAGAAGAGAAAGTCACAGAAACTTACCTGATTTTGCAAATCCAAAACAGTTAGAAATCATAGTATTCAATCTTTAGAAAAATTTCTGTAGCAGATATTTATCCAATTAATTCATTTTATTTGAATTCATTTAATTTGAGCTGTGTTTTAAGTAAAAAGGTATCAATGATCTACTTAATGTTAAATACATTGGGTGTTTTTTTGTTTTGCTTTGTTCTAGAGACTTTTTTTTTCATTACAAATTTCGGCCTTGGGGAAGAAGGGTCTTTTGAATAAAGATAAAACTAGTTCTGTGGAGGGGTTTGAGGGGGTGCCTCTAAATTCCCTGAAATGTGTGCAAAATTGTTTTATATGTTTGCACACATAGGACATTTTACGGGGACAGAGTCCAAAGTTCTTCATTATATCCCTTAAAGGTGTATATGACATCCCCTTTATCTAATGGTAATATCTGTGACGTAAATAAGTTCCCTTATGAAGTTTGAATATACAGCACTTTCTGCCCTTAAATGAAAAAGGCCATGTGTGAATTCCTTTTTTTTTCCCCCAAATAGTGCTTTCAAAAGCCCAGAAGTATTTGCTGAGGGTGGTTCTCAAATAAATCATCATTTATAAATGGAAAGAGATATGGTAGGTTATTATTGGAAAGTTAATAAATTTTACAAATTGTAGTAAAGTTACAAATTAGTTTATTTCTGAAGCATTAGCCATTCCACAAATATTTTGAGGACTATGCATTCTAGTTATGAAGGCCAAATATAGTAACAAATGGTGAGGATGGAGCAAAAGAAAAAGTTGCCCAAAGGAGCTCAACCCACCATTAAAACCTAGCCCAGTGTGCCAGATTATAATGATGTAAATCACTAATGAATATCATGTTATTTGTAAGGGAGTGTTTAAAAACATTAAGTGAAGTAGTAATTTTTCAGTAGTCTAAATTTTAATGAAAGCATTTACTTATGTAAATTGGAGCTTTATTTTTATATATTAGTTTTACTGTTTTGTTTTCACTAAAAATAGTCACTCTTTTCTTTATATTTTCTCATGAAATCCTTCCGAACCACTTCTAGAAATGGCATCGTCTTGCCATAAGTATTTTGTTTTCTCCCCATCTAGTTTTTATGAAGTAGTGCTAACTCTGCCTTAATTTGATTTGGCATCCCTGCAATTGAACATTTGTAAGTATCTTGTATTATGGCCCATCTGGGTTGTCATAGAAACCAAAGACCTCCATCCTCTTCCCTCTAGTTAAAAATGGAATGCAAACAGGGCTTCAAAGTGACGTTTTTCTAGTACGAGTGACAGCCCTGTGAAGTGCAGAACAGAAAGGTTTCTTATTGGTTTTATTCTCCCATGGCCTATCATACCAGTTAACTCTGATGCACACAGCCTTTCTCTTGAAAATCTGGCAAGATACTAATGGAATTTTAAAAATGTAAGCATGGGGGAAAAGAATGTAGTTAATCCTTTTCCTGTTCTTTTCTTATACAAAAATTCAGTGTTAGCTAGCAGTGTTTTTGTTTTCCTCCCTATGTTATTAGGTGGTCTGTTGATGCTGTGGTGCATGTGACGGAGACACCAACTGGAGCTTCTATTGTTAGTCTTGTTATTTATTTCCTAGGTTATATCAATGTGGGCTTATCTCATTAGAATCTACAGGTGCATTGGCTAAGTACATGGCAATACTTTATCGGAATAGAAATTTGTTGATAACAGTGATATCTAGTGTGCTGTCAATGGACCTGGTGACAGAACATCTTAGAGCCCCATTTCCAGCCCCCCTGGTGGTCACAGAACCTTTGACTTAACCTTGATGGTTTTTCAGTTTCCACATTCCCTTCAGATTCTCTACCAGAACCATACATGGCTTTAAGTTTTTCTTCTTAGACTTCTGTGATGTTTCTGCTTCTGAAGCAGCTATGTTAGTAAGTTCCAGTGAATTATTTCAGTTGTGTTAGCAAAATGTCTGATTTTATGGTTAAGATATGTTGAGCTATTGCTGTAGCATTACTTAGAGTTTAGAGTGTCACATTCTTATTTTAACATAGGTTTTGAATATAGAAGATGACACAGTGACCTCTGAACGTGAAACAATGAAAAAGTGACATATAAATTTATTTATTTATTTATTTATTTATTTATTTTTTTGAGACGGAGGTTCACTTTTGTTGCCCAGGCTGGAGTGCAATGGTGCGATCTTGGCTCACTGCAACCTCCATCTCCTGGGTTCAAGCGATCCTCCTGCCTCAGCCTCCCAAGTAGCTGGGATTACAGGCACCCACCACCACACCTGGCTAATTTTTGTATTTTTAGTAGAGATGGGGTTTCACCCTATTGGCCAGGCTGGTCTCTAACTCCAAACCTCAGGTGATCTGCCTGCCTCAGCCTCCCAAAGTACTGGGATTACAGACGTGAGACACCATGCCCAGCCATAAATTTATATCTTAATAGGAATGTTTCAGAGGGGTTGGATTAAAATCATTAGACAATTGAATTTGACAGATCATTGGTCAATTTTAAGTGTCTTTACAACTTTTCAAAAGAAAAACGTTATAGAGTCTTTAAAGCTGTTTAAAATTATTCACCATTTGACTGTTACCTAGTTTCTGGTAATTGTGTACTTGTCTTTAGTCCCATATCGCAGCTAATGGTCATTTTCAGCAGTGAATTCAGAAGTGCTATGAGTACTATCATATCTTGATGAGAGAGATCCTGCAACTCTCAGTAGAGTATGAAGAAGTAGTGCTTAGCTTCTGTTACAGCTAGAGGTGAGAGAATATATTTTCTAAATAACACTGTATTCCTTGGCATATAGTGTAGAAGTGAATAATTTGTTTGCATAGCATAGTGAGGGAAATAGTGTAGCAGTTTCTTCGTGCTAAATATGTTGGTTTCTTCTCTATAGTTTGCTGCCTTCACTAACAATTTGACTGGTACTATTGTGTTGTCTTATTTTGCTTACACCTATCAAGCAGTTAAAAGGGCTAATGTACTGTCCTCAGCTCTCTAGTCAATCGAAAAATTAGAATCTCCCCTAGATCATTATTTTTACTTATCAATGTTGTTTAAAAAGACTAGAGATGTTGCTGGTTGTTTAGTAAATGTCATGTTGCAGCCTTGCAGAATATTGCGACTTTCTCTTAGCACAGAGGATAAGACAAGCCTTCCTGTTCACCACTGCTATGCCTCATCCTCAAGAGAAAAGTTACGATGTTTCTATATACTGGAGGCAGTAGGTGCTTGAACAAAATGAAACATGATGAATTTCTCACCCACTGGGATACATAAATTCTCATGTAGGTATCAGTCCCTTATCATCTCTGTGCTTTGTCATCACTAAATAAGTAACATAATATTTGGTCCTTTCAAATCTGTGTTTTTAGATGTATTTCTGCATGTTATTGACATTGTTCTTCCTCTTCTAACCCACTAATCCATTAAATATTCAGCTCCTCCTAAATTATACATTTTTTGTCCTCTATAGATATATTTTTAAATTTCCCTTCTCAAAATAAGCTTGCATTTTGAAGTACATTTGTTAGAAACAAGGTAGAATAATTCTACTTTCTAGTCTCAAGGAACAGTCTTCTAAATGTAAAGAATAGAACCTGGTGGAAGTATATACTATGTGCTATTTCACTGGGTACATATTAGTTTATCTGTTTAGAGACCTATAATCAACCACTAGCAGGGAAACTTGCCTTACTCCATTTCTGCAAAGTAATAATTTTTAATTATTATTGATAGACCAAGTTTTATTTTTAATCTCAAAAAAGTTTCCTTGAGTTAGCATTGCACAAAATATATACTCTCCCAGGTTTGATCTTGACCTCTGTTTGTGGTCCTGTTTTCTCTATTTACTGCTCTCTTCTCTGTTTACATAGTTTTTAAATTTTCTAATAATTTTCTTTGTTGATACTCTGTAAGAAATGGTAGGGTTCTGGCCGGGCACAGTGGCTCACGCCTGTAATCCCAGCACTTTGGGAGGCTGAGGCGGGCAGATCACTTGAGCTCAGGAGTTTGAGACCAGCCTGGCCAACATGGTGAAACCCTGTCTGTGCAAAAAATATAAAAATTAGCCAGGCGTGGTGGCAGGTGCCTGTAATCCCAGCTATTCGGGAGGGAGGCTGAGGGAGGAGAATTGCTTGAACCCAAGAGTCAGAGGCCGCAGTGAGCTGAGATCACACCACTGCACTCCAGCCTGGGCAACAGAGTGAGACTGTCTCAAAAAAAAACAAAAACAAAAAAAGGCCGGGTGTGGTGGCTCATGCCTGTAATCCCAGCATCCCAGCACTTTGGGAAGCCGAGGTAGGTGGATGACTTGAGGTCCGAAGTTCGAGACCAGCCTGACCAACATGGAGAAACCCCGTCTCTACTAAAAATACAAAATTAGCTGGGCATGGTGGCGCATACCTGTAATCCCAGCTACTCGGGAGGCTGAGGCAGGAGAATCACTTGAACCTGGGAGGTGGAGGTTGCGCCGAGCCAAGATCACGCAATTGCACTCCAGCCTGGGCAACAAGAGCAAAACTCTGTTTAAAAAAAAAAAAGAAAAAGAAATGGTAGAGTTATTTTGCATGTACATCTTCTGTTTCCTAAAATAGATGTGGAAACTTCTTAAATAATTTAACTTGTTAATATACTACATCTGTTACAATACTATATACTCAGTAGGCATATTCATTTAATATTGTCTTCAAACCTTATACTGCCTACCACTCTATCCATGGCCCTAACATCCTTTCACATCTAAGATGAGAGAGTGATTAGCACAGTGCTTGCAAAGCAGCAGGCAAATTGATATTTGTGGATGACTCAAAGGATGTTCTGAGAACCTTTTCTAAACTGCTTTAAATTTGTGTGCTAATAACACAGATGGAAACCTAGCTGTGAGTAAGTTACCAATCTTTAAAACAAAGACGACTAGAATGGTTTGTATTTGTAGTTCATATTCTTGTCCTCTGGGATTCAGTAATCTTTTTAGCCTCTCTCCACAGTGGTACATGTATATTCCTGGGTAGCAGGCTGATTGCTACTGATGGTACTGAAATGTTTTGATAGGAGCAAAACTGTGCTGCCATCCTCCTTACGAGCCCAGTGTTCAGAGGTGACCTGTTTGCACATGGGCCTGTGGTGTATCACTTTTTTATACAAGAGCAGTAGAATAAGGTCTGACTCGAGTTGATTGAAGTGGTAGTTTTAGGTTCTGATAAGAGGACCTATTGCTGGTGAGGGAGGTTGAAATTGCAGAATGAGTTTGCAGCATGAGGCAGGTCTGCCCAGCAGCAGGTTGATTTGCACCGTGAGACAAGCAGCACACATAAACAGATGGCCCAACAATGAGTCAGAACAACAGATCCTGAACAGGTAGATTGGCTTTTGTCTGATTCTTAACGTGGTTATAGAGAGTGGAATTTTAATTTGTCTGCCACTTTTAAGGCTGCAAAACAAGCATTTAGTGAAAGAAATTCTATTCATTGGGAAATGAAAAATGTTATTAGGCAGAGGAGAAATCTGATTGTCACTGGATCTAGACATTGAGAAACCAGCATTTTCAGGAGCTGTTTCACGTAGGCATGGGCTGGCTTCATCTTTTGGCATACAGTTATTCAACTGTATCATTTTGCTGAATCCTCTAGTATGTAACGTGCAGCAAGAAAATAGTAAAATGATGTCCTTTATATTTGGATTTTAAGAAGTATAGTCCTGTTATTTGCAAGTACACTTCTGATATTTGGGTTAAGAAAAGCATTTTTAAAAAGGATACACTAGTGATAAGTGTCATAAAAACATACAGCAATGTAAGTTTGTAATGGTATTAAGCAAAGGAAAAACATTCATGGAAAAAAATCCCTCTGTTTCATACATCAAGCATAGGAAAAAGGAAGAGTGTAGTAGAATTCCTAGATCTAATCATCCATCTTCAAAATGTAAATGTAAACAAACATTTCTCCGCCAAACACTTTCAGAAATACTAAGCGTCTTATTAATTTTCAAAACCAAGATTTTGTGATAGTTTTATATCTCTAGAAAAGTGTTTTAAATATGGCATTTGGTGAATAAATTGGTGTACCACTTGAGTTCCTATACTTTAATTTTGTGATTATCACATTCACTGTACCATAGACTAACATTTACAATGGATACATTTGTGCCCAAAGAAAGTAAGTTAGTAGTCAGCAGTATTGTTAGGATAACTATTGACCTTTTTTAGGTTACTGTGGTTAGGGATATACTCAGAAACACAAACTGCTATGATGGAAACTTTATTCTGAGTTGCTGTGAAGGCTGTTATGCCATTAGTTAAGGCAGAGTTATAAATATAGCTACCTTTTGTTTCCCAAATAATTGGGATCCTATTCAAGATTAATTGTGCCAACACCTACTTTCAAAATTGCCTTTCATTTTATCTGCTCAAGCATGTACACCTAGCCTTTGCTCAGGGTAGAAAAAGCACTAATCTACCTTTGTGCATATGGAGAGTAGCATTCCTGGCACTGCATTAAAAACTCCAGGAGAATGCATTATTAATGGAATACGTTTCTCTCTCTCTCTCTGTCTCTCAAAAAGGGAAATCATTTATGTGGCCACTGTCAAGGATGATAGGGACAGACTTAGTGCTAGTTCTTAACCAGCATATTTTTTAAGTGAGTTACTGAGCAATACATAAAGAGAAATGCTTTAGCAAGTAAATACCACATGTAGCTTGTAGACACCAATGTGATCTAATTGTAATATAGATCACTCTATAATGTGTCAACCTGTAAGCTTTACTACCTTGAGTACTAGATCCTATGTTTTTAATAGGATGCCACATTATCAAAGGTTAGAAAAACAATAATGGCTAGGCATGGTGGCTCACTTTGGGAGGCCGAGCCAGGAGGGTGACTTGAAGCCGGGGGTTTCTGACCAGCCTGGGCAATTCAGTGAGACCTCATCTCTACAGAAAACTTAAAAATTGGCTGGATTTGGTGGTGTATGCCTGTAGCTCTAGCTACTTGGGAGACTGAGGTGGGAGGATCACTTGAGCCGGGGAGTTTGAGGTTATAATGAGCTATGATCACACCACTGCACTCCAGCCTGGGTGACAGTGGAGACCCTGTGTCTAAATAAATAAATAAAAATTATTTTTTTAAAAAAAGCCATATACTGAAAATAATAATGAATTTGGGGTTTGAATATTATGAAGATTACCAGAAGGTTTTTGAATCACTTTTGATTTAAATAAGCTCCCATCATTTGTTTACTGGTTTCCAGCTTTATGTTTTTGGTTTGTTTTTGTCTACACATGTATAATTGAGCTGAATATGTGTGCCAATAAGTAACAGAGCTGCGTTCAGCTTCTGCTTAAGTCTGCAGTATTAAAGTCTTCCTTTTGTTACATGTGCTGGTCTTGCAGACTCTGTAGAGCCTTATCAAATGCAGCCAGTTGGTGCTGCTGGTATGAAAGCACAGGGGAGCTCTCATGTGGAAGGTTAATGGAGTGTAATTATAAAGAAAAATGAACTGCTCAACCACTCTATCTCACTCTACCTGCACCAAGAGTGACAAGTGCTCTGATCTTTTATAAACCCGGGAGTAGAGGTTTAACCATCTAAAATTATGACAGTATAACTGTCACACAAACATGCTGTGAAGTATAGGTATGCACCCCTGTGTAAGAATGATTCCTTCCTGTTAGGGGAGTCTCTGTTAGGACAGGAGCACCTTCAGCCACCAAGAGCAGCTGCTTGTTAAACATTGCACTTTTGTGTCACTTCTTTTCCACTGAATTTGTTCCATTTTCTTTTCCTAAAAGTGCTTTCTCCCCTATGATTAGTGGCAAAAGTGGATAGCCTGCTGATGAGTGGGTTCGTTCCACTGTATCCCATCAGACAACAAATATCCATGCTTTCTCCAAGCAAGCCTATCACACTTGCCTTAGCAGCCAACCTGAAATCAGCTGTATTCTTATAAAGGGGATGGAAATAATTGTCTCTTCTCATTCTCAACATCTAAGCAGAGTAGACTCTAGGACGCTTAGGTACAGTCTGACAATTAGGTCTTTCTCCCAGGTCTGCATATAGCACAGAGATTATACACATTTCTGTGGGCTCAAGATGGAGTTAGATTCTTACGTCCTTTGGTTGAAAATATTATCAGAAATATTTAGTAAGGAAAATGCAGCACAGAGGGACAAGGACAGAGAAATACCAGGGAGACATTCAAAGCGTGTGATGACTAGACAAACTGTTACTAGTGTGTCACGTTGCCAGTGAATATTGCAAAGTCGTCCTACTACTGGAACATCTGAAGGGTAAGCTAAGCGAGCTGGGTTGCAGAGCTGGGTTGATTTAGAGCTTTTGCCAGCTCAGCACAGAGTTGAAATAAGGTGTTGCAGAATGATGCAACAGCAAAACCCCTGACATCTTGTTCTTACAAAGCCTAAAACATAACCACTCTTGGTGAGGCTGTGCTGCCTACTGAGATAAGTAAATTCAGCATCACATACATTAGGCCTGTGGAGACTAAGCAGAAGTGATGGCTGCGTCACTTACACAGCAGTCTTACTGACTGAGCCCTGGTCTTGCCTGATACGTGGAGGAGGGGCAGCCAGGATTCCTAGTAGCAGCTCTGAAAGCAGGGAGGCTGGTTTTAAAACCTCTCTGTGTGGTTTGTAATGGTATTTCCGCAGCCCCTTTGCATATGGGTTTTGATTATCTGAGCTCTATTTCAAAAGACAAATAGCTACATAATTTTTATGGCAGTAAGATAAATCTGTTAGTGAATCAAATTTTTAAATCCAGCTTTAGTGGATGGTAAGTAAAGTTTGCTATGATTTACTTTAAAAACCCACCAGAGCCCAACACTTTACCCAGTCTAAATGTTGCCAGTGTCCATTCCATTTTTAAAATTGAAGTCATTATTCCAGAATTGAAGTTTTTGGCTTGAGGCTGTAAGGTTAGCAACAGAATCTTAAAATTGTCCATCATACTATGTAGACGAGGAAGTATATCATTCTTGTTGGGTTGGCTCCAGCATTTATCCCTGCTCAGCTGCCCTGCCAAAGAGACTGTCTTGGATGACAGAAGTACAGTCTCCCTGGCACTTTGAAGCAAGTTATCTAGCCCTGCCCAGTCCCTTTAGGAACGTTCCCAGCCTTTCCAAGTACTTAGAGCAGTTTCTAGGAAATTCATCTCAGATAGGCACTGTCGGTGTAACAGGCTCCAGAGCTATCTCGCCAGCTGCCCGAGCCTCATCTCTGACCGTCCCGTTTCCCAGCATCACTGCATCCACTGGCTCCTCTCCTGCTTGGCCCTTTCAATTTATTGTGTAGGTTACTCTACTTCCTTGGATCTCAACAGCCTGACTCTGTTTCCTGGCAGTTGACTGTATCTAGAGAATATGACCAGAAAGGGACATCTCTCCCTGTTGGCCCAGCTCCCCATACTAGTGTACTCTGCATTCAGTCAGTCTGCTTGGATGCCACCCAACCTCCTGTGAGCCCCAGAAAAGTTGGCTCAGAAAAATGAGCTCCAGCTTTTTGTTAGTGAACAGAGCTTCATTCAAACTAGTTTTCCAGAGGGCAGGGATTCCATATTCTAGTCCCAGTTTTACTATCACAGAACTGTGTAACTTTTGATTGGTCACCCATCACCATGTGCCTCACTCTCCCCATCTGAATCAATGACAGTTAACATAATTAGCCCTGCACAGTTCTGAGAGTCTTATTTGATAAGAGGGTTTCAAAATTTACAATCGTAAAGTGCTGTGTAAATATGTGATTACTTATACACACAAGCACACAGAAAAATCACATCATTAGGGAAATATTTGTGGAAAATAGTACCATCATTTTTCATTTAGGGTCTACTCAGAAAGTAAGATTCTTGAAAAATTATTAAATAGTCGTATGTTTATAACATGAATTGTTTTTTCTTAATCATGTAAATTAAATGATTTTGAAAAATCAGAGTACTCAGAAATGAGAACCAGTTAAATGTAAAAGATGTTAGTTTCAGTGTTCTGGTTGGATTCCAAGTGAGATTATTACATTTTGCTTACTGTAATTCCCTAGATAGCTTCAGCAAGGTAGTTTTCAGTTTTCTGACCTCTACTCTACAGCTCTTTAAACAACTGCTTTCTCCACCACTTGAGGTAGCTGCGGTTCAGTGGTAGAGGAACGGATTTCAGTTTATCCTTGTGTCAGTCTTATGTGACAGGGGTTAAATTATATGTAAGGTACTTTAAGCTGTTTTGATAAAGTAGGCACCATTATGAAACGTATTACTACCATTTTCATTTCCACTGTTATATTTTGTATATAGTTGTGTGTTTCCCTGTGTCTTCAGATATTTTATCTTAGCATATTCTCAGAACTCATTCATATAACTTGCCTTTTGTCTATGCATTTTCCCACTAAAGTCACATCCCAGCTCTTCCATTATGATAAAATTTTGATTAGTCAGAAGGCCATTTGAATTTTCTGGTTATCTAAAATCATTTTTGGTTCACCTTGTGATGTCAAAAAATTTTCTTTTTTGAGACGGAGTCTCGCTCTGTCACCCAGCGCTCAGGCTGGAGTGCAGTGGCGCGATCTCAGCTCACTGCAAGCTCTGCCTCCTGGGTTCACGCCATTCTCCTGCCTCAGCCTCCCGAGTAGCTGGGACTACAGGCGCCCGCCACCATGCCTGGCTAATTTTTTTTTTTTTTGTATTTTTAGTATAGACGGGGTTTCACCATGTTAGCCAGGATGGTCTTGATCTCCTGACCTCATGATCTGCCCGCCTCAGCCTCCCAAAGTGCTAGGATTACAAGCATGAGCCACCATGCCGGGCTGAAAAATTTTCTAAGTAATGTCTAATTCCACTTTCCTAGTAGTTACAGTTCAGTGAGTGTAATTACCGTCTGAGGGTTGAAAACTGGTGGCCCATGGGCTTTATCTATCAGCAAAGATACTTTGTTTGACTCACAATATTAAAAGCAGTTCATTGATTAGTGTTATTAGGGCACTGCCTCTCCAGTTGATGTCAGTCCCTATCATGCCTAGTATCTTACACCTGGCCTGCTTCATTCTCTTGTATTAATATTACTTGCCTGGCAATAGGTAATAATCCTATTACATGTCTTGCAAAATGTAATCATCAGTTTACATGTTCACGTGAGTGAGATTTCAACCCCTGAATGAAACTGTTCTTTAATGATTTAGCTTCTTTGGGTGTGTCAGGATCATCTTTGTGAGCATTTTTCTCTGTGCAGTGCTATAGAGGTAAAGATATACATCAGGAATGTATTCTTGCCATTCAGAGATTCATAAAATTTTAATAGAAGATAATTTAGAGATTGAGTGCAGAAGCTGAGACCAAGATTGGGTAAATAACTGACCAAAGGTCACAAACCTTGTTTAGTGACAGAACCTAGGTTTCTCGACCCAGTGTATTATTTTTACAGCACAATACTGCCTCTCTACTTATTTTTTCTAAAAGCAGAGCGGAGGAGAAAAAGTGCACGCGTGCATGTGTGTGTGTGTGTATAAGCTTACTGCAGCTGTATTACAGGTGTGAGGGCTCCAGATCCTTACCAGCAAGCCAGATACTGGTGTTGGGGGTTTGAGGTGGGAATATGGAATTAGTTATCAGGAGTTGGAACTCTTTAAGTCTGACTCTATCCCTGATTTGTGACCTAGGTTTAGTCACTTAATTACTCAGAGCCTCATTGTTCTACCTGGCAAGTAATATCCATCTGATATTATTACTTCGTTTTTATGTAACAGTTATAGAATTCACTAGCTACTACATTAGACCATATGGAAAAAATCAAGGTACTACTGTGATACATTCAGACAATGCAATATTATTGAGAGCTAAAAAGAAATGAACTATCAAACCATGAAAAACATAGAAGAACCTTACATGCTTATTACTGAGTGAAAGAAACCAATTTGGAAAGGCTGCATACTGTATGACTCCAACTCTATGACATTCTGGAAAGGGTAGAACTATGGAGGCAGTAAAAAGAGGAGTGGTTGCCAGAGGGTGAGGGAAGGTTGTGCTGAATAGACAGGCATAGAGGAATTTCAGGACAGTGAAACTACTCTGTGTGATAGTATAATGGTGGCTGTATGTCATTATATGTTTGTCTAAATCCATGGAATGTACAGCATCAGGAGTGAACACTAGTTTAAACTGTGGACTTCGACAGTATTGAGGTGTCAGTGTAGGTTCGATTGTAACAAATGTTCTGCTATGTGTAGCTTGTTGATAGTGGGGAGATGTGGGGTGGGGAGGCCAGGAGTATGTGGGAACTCTACTTTCTGTTCAGTTTTGTTCTGAACCTAAAACTGCTCTAAAAATAAAGTCTTCTTTAAAAAAAAAAAACAAATCAAGGGACTGCCTTTATGTTCATTGTAGTGTCCTCTTTTGACCATGCATGTCAATACTTTTGCTGTATGTAGAAACTGGAGAACAATACAGTAAAAGCATGAATCACAGCTTCAGTACTTAGGAGTATACTGGAAGAAGATGAAAATGGGCTAGGTGCAGTGGCACACACCTGTAATCCCAGCACTTTGGGAGGCTGAGGCGGGTGGATCGCTTGAGTCCAGGAGTTTGAGACCAGCCTAGGCAACATGGCGAAACCATGTCTCTACTAAAAATACAAAAAATTAGCCGGGCGTGGTGGTGCATTCGTGTAGTCCCAGCTCCTTGGGGAGCTGAGGTGGGAGGATCACTTGAGGCCAGGAAGTCAAGGCTGCAGTGAGCCCAGATCATGCCACTGCACTCCAGCCTGGGGGACAGAGTGAGATCCTGTTTGAAAAAAAAAAAAAAAAAAAAAAAAAAGAAGATGAAAATGCTATAAATGATTTTTACTGTGGCCATTCCATCCTTTCTAAAGTGTGAGAGGGGTGTGTGTATGTTTGTGTTAGTGGGTGCATACATGTGTATGTTCAGGTGTGAAGACTGTAAATATTTGTGTAGAAATTTGTGGATTAGATTTTGTAATTAGATTTTGTAATTTTCATCACCTGTGAAAAATGTTTTTCTTCAGGCTTAAGATTTAAAAAATTCTCTTTCTTTTAATTTTATTTATTTATTTTTTGAGTCAGGGTCTCACTCTGTTGCCCAGGCTGAAGTGCAGTGGCACGATCATGGCTCACTGCAGCCTCAACCTCCTGGGCTCAAGCCAGCCTCAGCCTCCTGAGTAGCTGATACTGCCGGTGTATGCCACCATCCTTGGCTAATTTTTGTATTTTTTGTAGAGACAGGGTCTCACTTTGTTGCCCAGGCTGGTCTCGAACTCCTGGGCCCAAGCAGTCCTCCTGCATTGGCCTCCCAAAGTGCTGGAATTATAGGCATGAGCCACTGTGCCCAGCTAAATTTTTTATTTTTTTATTTTTATTTTTATTTATTTATTTATTTATTTTGAGACAGTTTCACTCTGTCACCCAGGCTGGAGTGCAGTGGCATGATATTGGCTCACTGCAACCTCCACCTCCTGGGTCCAAGAGATGCTCCTGCCTCAGCCTCCCGAGTAGCTGGAACTACAGGTGCGCAACATCAGGCCCGGCTAATTTTTTGTATTTTTTTTTTTTTTTTTTTTAGTAGAGATGGGGTTTCACCGTGTTAGCCAGGTTGGTCTTGATCTCCTGACCTTGTGATCTGCCCACTTCGGCCTCCCAAAGTGCTGGGATTATAGGCATGAGCCACCGCGTCTGGCCCACCCCAGCTAAATTTTTAACCAAATTTGTTTTATTCATTAAGAGATCGTTCATGCTTTTCTTCTACAATGCTGAACCTCTCTCTTTAATAAGATTTGTAGTACTAATGATTTAAAACAAACAAAAGCAAATGTGTTCTGAAATTCTGAAAGATGAGTTCAGGTTTCTTGTGTCTCTGATGAAGTAAACTCAGATAAATACAGAGAAGTGCAAATTATCCTTTATCACATGTCTTGGAAGAGCCAATTCCATGAAGTTAATCAGTAATTATTTTGGCAGGCTGCACTTGTGAGGAACTTGCACCCTCCCTGTTGTTTGACGAGGGGTGTCTTGTCAGAAAGTAAATTTATAACATTGTTCATTTTTTTCTTTAAGTGATTGTAACAAATATTTGGTGGTAAATTTAACTACTGAAATTAGGAATACTTTGTGAAACTAAGAGGGTAGCATTCAGCAGCTTTAGAATCTTTTCTTTCTTTTTTTAAAGACAGTCTCGCTCTGTCACCCAGGCTGAAGTACAATGGCAGGATCATGGCTCACTGCAACCTCCACCTCCTGAGTTCAAGCAGTTCTCATGCCTCAGCTTCCCGAGTAGCTGGGACTACAATTGTGCCACCACCATGCCTGGCTAATTTTTGTATTTTCTGTAGAGACGGGATTTTTGCCATGTTGGCCAGGCTGGTCTCGAACTCCTGGTCTCAAGTGGTCATCCAGCCTCAGCCTCCCAAAGTGCTGGGATTACAGGGGTGAGCCACCACGCCTGGCCTAGCAGCTTTAGAATCTTTTAAAATTTATGTGCCTGTGCTATTACTGTAGATGATTTTTTAAATTATGATTTTAAGCATCAAGAGTGTGATATTAAGAATGTACTTTTGTTAAAAATACTTCCCAATTAAAAATGCCAGTGTTTAGTTATATACAAGTGTTACTTTTGTTTAAATGTAAGGCAAATATTACATTTCATCATATAATATTTTCTACATGATATATACTGCCTGCTACGATATATTTTTCTAATATTATTGTCTTTTTCTGTCTTCTAAGAAAACTTACAGAGTTGAGGATTCTTAAAAGGTATCCTCATCTTTGAAAATAATGGATCTATTTCTTAGTGGATGTATTCTGCATAGAATTTGGTTAAATAATCTGTTATATTTACCTCTTCTAGCATCTGATTCTGTCTTGTGTTTCTGTGAAAATGTGACTTCCTACATTATCTCAAATGGTACCTAGGGCTTGGAGTAGGTAAAACAATTTGTTTTGTCTGAGCAGTGTTCCATAAAATGATAGGGGCTTTGGTTTTGTTCCTCCTTTCCCCTCCTCCAATTTAGCATCATCACTGTACTTAAATTGTATTTTCATATCCAACTTGTCAGGGACAGCTACTGTGCAGCCATCTCCAGTCAGCATTCTTTTGTGAGGAAAACCACAGCAGCTACAGTGCAGAGGAATGGGAGAATTTCTGTAGTGTCCAAGACAATTCTGATATTAACAAAGCAGTGCTGCCTTTAGGTTGTGGGATACAGCCATGTAATGATGAATGACAAGCTGATGGTATGTGCAGCGGTGTTCTGTAAACAGACAGTTACAGAGGGACAGACGTTTTGCTCTATTGGAGCTTAATTTACAAATTAATAGCCTCTATGATATATCTTATTGTGGTACAAACACAATGATTCAGGTGCTTTTTTTTTTTTTTTTTTTTTTTTTTTGAGACGGGGTCTTGCTCTGTCACCCAGGCTGGAGTACAGTGGCGTGATCTTGGCTCACTGCAACTTCTGCCTCCTGGGTTAAAGCAATTCTCCTGCCTCAGCCTCCCGAGTAGCTGGGATTACAGGCGCCCACCACTATGCCCAGCTAATTTTTTGTATTTTTAGTAGAGACGGAGTTTCACCATATTTGCCAGGCTGGTCTCGAACTCCTGACCTTGTGATTCGCCCACCTCGGCCTCCCAAAGTGCCAGGATTACAGGTGTGAGCCACCACGCCTGGCCTCAGGTGCTTTTTTATGGTAACAAACAGCTAAATTGTGCAGATTATAAATGGTTCTTAGGTATTTACTGCGTCTAGGGTCTTTGATGGGTCAGGTTACATACATACATACATACATACATACATACATTTATTTATGATACAGTCTCGCTCTGTTGCCCAGGCTGGAGTGTAGTGGCATGATTATAGCTCACTGAAGCTTCAAACTGCTGGGCTTAAGGGATCTTCCTGTCTCAGCCTCCCAAGTAGCTGGGACTACAGGCATGAGCCACTGTGCTTGGCCCAGGTTACATTTAAATTGGGCATCTCTTTTACGCATTCATAATTATGGCCCTGAACCACCATAGAGGTATAAGAAATCTGGGATGTACCTAGATTTCCACAGGGATATATATCCTAATATATTTGATTTCTGAGATTAAAAGGCAACAGGTAGCATTCGCTTTGATATTGTACTTTCTTTTTGGCAGTTGTCATTAAAAAAAAAATAGCCAAACATAGATTGAACTAGCATTAAAATGATTAGATGTTAAAAATCAAGTGATTGAAATATAATTGACATTGGAAATAAAAGTCACATTTAATTAGCTGTTGCTCTGAGTTAAAAATTCATACTAGACAAATTGTGTCATTCATTAGTTACTATCCCTTTTTTTCACATTGCCCCTGACAGTTTCCTAAGCATTCCCCACCATTAATTAATTTGATTCCCAATATTTTTCTGAAGGAAGGAGGGCGGTATAGTTTAGTGCTTCAAAGAAATGTAGAAAACTTGAATGTAAGCCATCTGGACTTTTAGGTCTTTTATCACACATAAATATATTACAACTACCATTCCTAGTATGCATTGTTCGATTGTAGTTTATGTGTTTATACTTTTTTGCTGCAGCATCGTCGTATGTTACATATTAGAATCTGTAATTCTCTAGGGGTCACATCTCTCTTGAGTACAACAGCCACACTCTTTCTTGTTTGACACAAATTAAAGGCAGTCCCAGGTTTTTAGAAGGGTCTCTAAATTTAGGCAAAGTCTGACTATATCAATATTAGTCTTTTATAGTCATACATATCAAGTTAGGGGGAAGATGGGGTTGAGTTTACCTATTAGAGCATGAGTGAATTAAATAAGAAAACTGCATTTCAATCAGGCTAGCAAATAAAAGGTCTAAAGTCTAAATTTTTAGAGAGATGGACTGTAAATCCTAATGATATTAATAAAGGGTCTCATCTCCTATGGAGATGAGATGTAAAATCCATTGATGTAAATACCTCTGTGTGTGTGTGTGTGTGTGTGTGTTTTGAAGGAAGAATAAGCCCCAAAGAATATTTTTTAATTAAAAAAGTAAGCCGAAGTCTAATCAATACCATGATATATGCATTCTTTGCCATCTGTTAAACATCCATGCAGAGAATTTTAAACTTTACTGAAAAAAATCTCTGATAATTACAGTTGCTGCTGTTGTCAATTTGTTTATTTGTACTATATAAATTCCATGACAACTTGAGAACTATAAAATAATTATGTCCCCAAATCTCAAAACCAGGAAAGAGACCTTCTTTTGTAGACATTGTGTCCAGTTCACTGTGTAAGATGAGGTTGTAGATGCTGTTTCTGTCAAACAGGTGGTATTTTAAAAGGATATGTACTTTTTAAAAGAGGTTAAAAAGGGAAAGAAACTATTTGTCTAATTCTTTGTGAATCTCAGAGAGTCTGGGGAAAACTTTCTAGTATCTTACAAAATGAAGAAAGTGCAATTATTTTAGCTAAGTATATTTTTATAGCTTCTGCCACCAGTATTCCTCCCTGTCTTCCTCTGTTAGAATTCTATCCTGTGTCTTGCCTGGACTATCCCCTCCAATAACTCCAGTGCAGATTCTCTTATTGAATTTTACTTGCATTAAGGAGGGAGTTTATCTTGAGTTTCTCTTCTGTGTGTTTGTCCATAAAATGGCATTCTGTGTTTTTGTTCATAAAATGGTGAAATCTTCACTTAGTTTCTGTTTCCATTAAACAATACATACATTTTACTCTAGATTGTAATTTTGTCTCTAATGTTATGACAGTAACACATCCCCTCTTCTTTAGAGGATAATTTTGTGGCACATTCTGAAGACTGCCCTGTCTCCTTCCTGCATCCTCAGCGTTGATGAATATTGGTGTGACTTATCAATGCAGTGGCTGAGTTTTAGTTAGACGGTAGAAAGTCTTTTTTTTCCTCTTTGAGTAAGTTCTGATCTCATCAACAAATAAACATTTCTCCAGGTTAGTTTTTCCATACGCGTAAAATTTAGTATCCTTGGTTTCATTTTGAGCAATTGGTGTGTCTGAAGACCCAGAAAGATTTTGAGTAAGATTTGATACCTTTCTGCATTTGTGAAAAGTTACAAGTCTCTATCAGCCTCTGGTATAAAGAGTGAAGGTTGTATTTTTAAATTGCATGTTGATTCATGGAAGGAATAAAAGGATGCATCTTTAAGGCAATACTGTGTAAGAAGATGTCTTGAGTGGGTGTGGCCCTCTAATAATTGATACGCAACAGATACTGCCATGTAGAGCACAAACCAGTGGAGTGACTGAATGTGTGAAAAAGCAGAGACTTGCAGCACTGACATCCAGTTGTGGAGGGCAGGGTCTTGGAGTTTCTTTTGAGAGAAGCTTTCTAAAATTTGTGGGAGCAATTTTTGATAGGAATAAACTGGTGGGTTGATTGGGTGGGGGCAGTCCTTCCGTCTCTCCGTCTCCCTTCTCTGTTGACAAAAGCCATGGAACGTGACTTAAACGGTGGAAAAACGAACCTGATTTTCTGTTGTATTAGACCTATAAAATTCCGTATTTTTCTTCAGGATCTGTCTTGCTGTCGTGTGAACACGTTGATAGTATCGCTGAATGTCACAATATTGATCACCGTGACTACCTGTCTTGGAAACTGTGACTTGAAGTGTCAGAGGCTCTGTGAACTCTTCTGCCTGAACAAGCCCTGATGAAACCCAGTGATGCGAATGTCAAGGGAATCTAAGGCTCCTTGTTACATGCTGGGTTTATGGAGCAGTTCTTGACAGATGGATTGAAGTGGGCGGTACTAGCAGTTCTGGAGGCCTGGCATGTTGGCTTATTGTTTATAGAAATATATTAAGAAGAAAAGATGATAAGTTATTAATTTTTTCTCCCTCTCTCCCTTCCGTCTTTGTTCTTTCCAGCTTTCTTTTTTCATTTCCCTGATTTTTTCCCTCTCTTTTAACTCTCATTAACTTATCAGTGAATGATGAATGGCCAGTTTGTGAAATTTAGCCCTTTCTCAAAGCTTCAGGATAATGTTCCAATATAGTTAGCTACATTTAAAGATCTCCATTATATGTGAATACCTTTGAAAATATCAAATCATGTATGCCAGTATAACCTTCGTCAGTGACCAGCAGCAGTCATGACGTCTTCATTTAAAACACATAGTAGTAAAAATATAGGCTCATCTCCTGTGGAGATGAGAGGATATCCTTTATATAGGGAGCAGTGAGAACCTTGGATGATACCACACAGCTAGGGTTTTTGAGATATTTTCGCCGTATTCTCTTGCTGCCACCCAGAAGTGGTACTGACCTAAATCCGGGGTCCCTCTGAAGTCATTTGAGTGCTGTGTTTGCCAGAGCTGCAAGACTGAACTAGAACGAGACTGGATTGTGAGACTTAGAAAAGCCAGCTAATATGCACAGCAACTCTCCTTTACTCCCAGTCCTTGGAAGAGCCTGCAGGGCCTCCACACCTAAGGAGCACCTCTGCTGCAGAGCTCACCTGGCTTTCAGTTACTGGTTTCTAAGTGCAGTCATCTATATTTAAGTGACAGAGGGCATCAGTGCTTCCTCAAAATCTTGATTTAAAAATTTTTTTTTTTCACAGATAGCAACAGACATGTATAACCACACACGCAGTATTCTAATCTGGTGAACACAGCAAGGAGTAAGGGACAATTCATTTCTGAGTGGCAGTTTGACATACCAACGCTATCTTTTAAAGAAAGCTTTACCCAGCTCATATGATCTGACCTGTAATGCAGAGCTCTCTTTCTTTTTCCTTTTTTTTTTCCCTCCTCTCAAGGACTGATGTAAGTTTGCAAGTATTTTGATCATGTCCCCCCACCAGCCCCCACCCCAAGCTTCCACGGCTTTGTTTCAGGCCCTGGGGGAGGAGCAGTTGTGAATGCAGTGTGACTCACTTGACTCCCACGCTCCTGATTCTGGTTCTGATTGGTCGTCACCTTGCTCTAGCCATATGGCTGAAGAGTAGTACTCTAGCCCGCATCCCTTGCTCCTGCTTTCCCTACTGTTCCCTTCTGTTGTACATGACATTGGAAATGGGTTCTGGGCTTTGTTTCTTGCTTCTAGTGTACTTTAGCTAGGCAGTGATTAGGAGAGCACATTGTGTTTCCTAAGGATGGCTGTAGAGGAGAAAAAAACACCCTTTCCTTTTGTGACTGGTATAGTAATTAGTTTCCTGTGCTGTTTTTGTCCAAAGTTTATTTTTTGGCAGGTGTCATGTTTATGTTGTATTATTTCCTCCTGATTTATCTCCTTCTTCTGATTTGATCTGTTTTGGGTTTTTTATTGTTGTTTTTGTTTTGTAAGAGCTCTTAGGGTTCCTTTCTCTGGCTGCTGATGCTGCACGTTAGCTAGTTCGTTAATATGTTTGATGTCTGATGGGGAGGAGGACTGAAGCAACTCTAAATAATTACTTAATTTTTAAATGTCTAAATGTTCTAGCAGTCACCAAGCAATAAAATTTACATGAGATTCTCAACATTATCTGCAGCACCACTGCTATTACTTTGCCTTCTCCTAAACTACAGCAGTTTAATTATTCTGCCTTTTATATTGGAGAAATAGAATTTTGAAGACTTGAAAGTTAACTTTATAAGCATTTGATATTTTATTAATTTGCATTTTTATTATTCTGCAGATAGTTTCTGCAAAGACTTTAAACTCTGCATCATTTAAAAAAAAATATTTACTCAGAGAGGCAGTGCTAGCAGAATATAATGCATAGCAGAATTTTTCCCCCCAAAATTGGCCTTTATATGATATTTTAGTTGTCTGAAAAGAATCAATAATAAAAATATTTTTCTAAAAACCTCTCAGCCGGGCGTGGTGGCTTATGCCTATAATCCCAGCACTTTGGGAGGCCAAGGTGGGCAGATTGCATGAGCTCAGGAGTTTGAGACCAGCCTGGGCAACATGGCGAAACCCCATCTCTACAAAAAATAAAAAAATTAGCTGGGCATGGTAGCACGCTCTTGTAGTCCCAGCTACTTGGTAGGTTGAGGTGACAGGATCGCTTGAGCCTGGGGCGTGGAAATGGCAATGAGCCAAGATTGTGCTGCCGCACTCCAGCCTGGGTGACAGAGCCAGACCCTGTTTCAAAACAACCAAAAAAAAAAAAAAAAAAAAAAAAAGAAAAACAAAAAGAGAGAAACAAACCAAAAAATAAAAACAAACAACTCTCAAGAGAACTTTTTTTTTTACTTAAAGATTTTAGAAATTCATTTTATACATATTTTAATGTTCAAATATGTTAAATGAGTAATCCACAGATTTGGATTCTTCAGAGAATATGGGGGATGAAGTTGGTTAGAGCCATAAGCAGGCATTTGAGAATTAACCTGGCTCTTATGGTTTCATCTAACTATTTAAAGCTCTTCATTCACTTCTTTTTCTTCATTCATAATCTATATTAGAAAATCACAATCTATTTTTATCAGAAATAGCACACCTCTGCTAATGAACTAACTTGAAAGTGTATGAGATATGAGAGGAATGCTGCTTATACCTTCTTCCTCCTATTAGGGCAGGAGAGTCAGAGCCCAAATATGGCCCCAAATAGTTATTATATGCTTTATGAGCCATTTGTTGGTCTTTGGTCCCACCACTTTACACATCAGGTAAAGAGAACAAGGACATTTACTGAGCAATATAGTTTTTTTTTTTTTTTTTTTTTTTTTTTGAGACAGGGTTTCACTCTGTCACCCAGGCTGGAGTGCAGAGTGCAATGGCATGATCTTGGCTCACTGCAACCTCCATCTCCTAGGTTCAAGCAATTCTCCTGCCTCAGCCTGCTGAGTAGCTGGGATTACAGGTGTGTGCCACCATGCTTGGCTAATTTTTGTATTTTTAGCGGAGATGGGGTTTCACCATGTTGGCCAGGCTGGTCTTGAACTCCTGACCTCAAGTGATCCACCCACCTTGGCCTCCTAAAGTGCTGGGATTACAGGCATGAGCCACCGTGTTGGGCCAGCAATATAGTTATAAGTGCAGAGTATAGTTGTGAACCAAATAAGCCCCTGCACTCATGGGGCTTACATGCTGTTGAAGTGTATTATAATAATGAAGGTATCCAGAAACACATTTCTCTTGGATTTGAGCAAGGCCTAGAAAGTTTGAAGAACTTTGACATTAATTTTTCACTCCACGCAGTTAAATCCCTACTCTGCCTAAACAAACGTGTGTACCGCCACAGAACCTGTCCCAGCAAAGAAGTCCTGCTCATGAGTTACACATTTCAGTAATTTAGAATGTGTTGTTTATATGGCATATTACTGGGATCAAGGTTTCTTTGTTTAACAGTCTGTTTAATGTTTTCAACTGGGACAGATACATGATGTTTGCTTAATAAAAATTACTATGGCTAGTATCTGTGTTATCATATGCAAAAAATAATAAGCTGGGCCCAGTGGTGTGTGCTTGTAGTTCCAGCTACTTGGGATGCTGAAGTGAGAAGATTGCTTGATGCCAGGAGTTCAAGGCTGTAGTGCATGCACTATGACTACACCTGTGAATAGCTACTGTACTCCAACCTGGGCAGTATAGAGAGACACTATCTCTAATAATAATAATAATGATCAACAATGTGCCAATCACAGTTCTGAGTACTTTCCATATAACAAGTCATTTGGTGCTCATAAGAACCTCAAGGGTACTGTTAACCACCTCATTTTAAAGAGCAAGACAGTGAGGCACAGGTAGGTTCATAAACTTACCCAACATCTTAGAGCTGTGAGTAGCAAAACTGAAATTGGAGTTGAAGTAGGATGGCTCCAGAGTCCTGCTTTTTACTGCTACGTTGTATACTGCTCTCAGCATGCTAAGTTAATAATAGGACATCTGAGCTCTGCTGTGTGATCTCCTTCAGATTTTTCATTTGTGTGCCTCAGTTGCCCTTTATATATAAAACATTTCTTACACCATCAGTTTCATATTACCAATAATGTATATTAAATGCTTTAAGCTCTTCATATGTAGAACCTGTGTAAATTTAGATGTAATAAGTTTTAGATGAAGCTATTTATAGAAAAGATGTCAGAGCATATTTCTGTGCAGCTGATAGAGCAGTATTCTAATATCTTTTATTTCTTTTTGTCTTCATTTGGTAGAAAAGAGTAGTTGAACAGCTACGGAAGAACCTGATAGTAAAGCAAGAACAACCGGACAAGTTCCAAATACAGCCATTGCCACAATCTGAAAACAAACTACAAACAGCACAGCAGCAACCACTACAGCAACTACAACAACAGCAGCAGTACCACCACCACCACGCCCAGCAGTCAGCTGCAGCCTCTCCCAACCTGACTGCTTCACAGGTAAATGTGTGGATGGAACATTGCAGGCTGCAGATTGTAGACTGATTTGTTGTTGGTCATATAGAACTGGGTCCTGTCTCACACTATACTAAGCTCAGCTAGAACTAAACAAAAGTTATTTTGATTGCTTTTTTACAGTATAACCCAGATAAGTATCACTTGTAATCATTGGCAGAAGGAAATAACATTACTAAGAAGCAAAAATTAAATGATTTCCCACCTGTCTGAAGAAGGGGAGAAAGGTAGTCAATAACAAAAATCAATTATCTGCTTTACAGCAGAATTAAAACCTTATTTTGAATTTTTGGAGGTATTTATTTACACTTGTTCTAAAAGTTTGTGACTTGACCTCTTCTGGAATTCTTAGCAACTAGGCATAGAGCTATTCCAGGATCAGTGCTCTTGGGACCAGATAGAAAGAAGCATTTGGAAGGGTGCTATGGCTGGGCTCAGTAGCTCATGCCTGTAATCCCAGCACTTTGGGAGGCTGAGGTGGGCAGATCACTTGAGGTCAGGAGTTTGAGACCAGCCTGGCCAACGTGGTGAAACTTCATTTCTACTAAAAATACAAAAAAATTAGCCAGGCCTGGTAGCAGGCGCCTGTAATCCCAGCTACTCGGCAGGCTGAGGCAGGAGAATCACTTGAACCCAGGAGGCAGAGGCTGCAGTGGGCTGAGATCACACCACTGCACTCCAGCCTGGGCAACAGAGCAAAACTCCGTCTCAAAAAAAAAAAAAGAAGAGTGCTATATTTGCACTATTCATAGAAACACTCATTTTTAAGCCCATATTTATAAGAAAATGTATTTGTTCTAATACACTGATGGGAATCTGAAATGAAAGCTACAGGTCAAAACTAAAGAAATGGGAGCTTAATAAAATTCTAACTTGGTGTAGCTGTGCAAATGTTTTTACCAAAAAGGGCATTTAAACAAGCATACAATTTAAGAATCGTGAGGCAATCAAGATACACAAAAAGGGCGTATTTGGAAATGATATTCCAAATGATACTTGGATCCTTGAAGGTCACAGATCCCTTTATGACTCTGTTGAAAGCTATAGATCCCTCTCCAGAAGAATATACATTCACACTTAATACACTCATTTTTGCACACTTCAAGGACTTTGGGATCCTCTGAAACCTAAGCGTGGATACCTCTTACAACCAACACCAGGTCTTCACTGTGTCTTTATATAGAGAGAAAAAGAGTATAGTTCAGTTGGCTGTTCACTGTTTATGGACATTGGACTGGTTCATGTGCAACATTTTGCAAGTAAAGAATGAATTTTTTATAAGAACACTAAAGATAAGTTAACATTTAATAGAGGTTACTGTATACTGGCAGTCTCCTAAGTGTTTTACATAATGGACATACTCCTCACCCTAATCCTAAGAGGAAGTTATTATTATTACCATCTCTGTTTTTTTGTTTGTTTGTTTTTTTGTTATTGTTTTTTTGAGACGGAGTCTCACTGTGTCACCCAGGCTGGAGTGCAGTGGCGCAGTCTTGGCTCACTGCAACCTCCACCGTCTTGGGTTCAAACAATTCTTCTGCCTCAGCCTCCTGAGTAGCTGGGACTACAGGCGCGTGCCACCATGCCCGGCTAATTTTTGTATTTTTAGTAGAGACAGGGTTTTACCATATTGGCCAGGCTGGTCTCGAACTCCTGACCTCGTGGTCTGCCCGCCTCGGCCTCCCAAAGTGCTAGGATTACAGGTGTGAGCCACCGCAACCGGCCCACCATCTCTGTTTTTTAGAAGAGAAAACTAAGGCACAGAGAGGTTACATAATTTACCTAAGATCATGGAGGGTGGTATGTGGTGTAGCTAAGATTTGAACCTAGATGTTCTGGCTGAAAAATAGGTCCATTCAACTACTCTTCTGTACTGCCATTCAATACCAAAAAAAAAAAAAGAAGAAGAAGAAAAAAAAGAAAAAAGCAATACCAATACTGTATAAAACCAAAGAAGGAAAAAGAAAAATCCCTGTTGTAAATCAGATAGCTAGGACAGCCTACATAAATTTTTACCCTAATCACCACCCCAAGGCTATTTGGAAATTAGGCATTCAAAACTGACTTTAAAAATCTCCTTACCAGCACTTGTATTAGTTCTGAAAGAATGTTTAGAGGATAATTTTTGTTTAAGTTTTAAACAGAATTGGGTTAGGTTGTTCTCTTTCCAAAGTACAGGTTGATCAGAAAATGTTTATCTGAAAGGAGTGTGGTAGAATTCATTGTTTCCTGTTACATAGGAGTTTTCTGTCTTAACCCATGGAAACATCCTGTTCAAGTAACATTTTATGTTATAAAAATCAAAGGAGGCTAGGCACAGTGGCACACGCCTGTAATCCCAACACTTTGGGAGGCCGAGGTGGGTGGATCACTTTAGGTCAGGAGTTTGAGACCAGCCTGGCCAACATGGCAAAACTCCATCTCTACTAAAAATACAAAAATTAGCCATGCGTGGTAACATATACCTGTAATCCCAGCTCCTCAGGAGGCTTAGGCATGAGAATCACTTGAACCCGGGCAACAGAGGTTCCAGTGAGCCGAGATCGTACTGCACTCCATGCTGGGCGACAGAGCAAGACTCCATCTCAAAAAAAAAAAAAAAAAAAAATCAAAGGAAGCATTTCCAAAATATAATAGCTTTTCCTTTCCCTGGTAGTCTGTGTTGCTTTGGGATGGTGAATGGTAAGAGGCCCAGGGCTGCCTCCAAAACAGTGTTGTATAGCACCTCTCCATCCAGTAGCCCACCTGACATATTTAATTGATTTTGCCAACCTTTTTTAAATATTGTTTTATTTAATGCAAATGATGCAAATGTTTAATGTTAAAAACCAAAAGGATCCTCTGAGTTTTTGGTTTTTGAGTTTACAGGTAAACTACAAATCTGGTTTTTGGTGTTTGTTTGTTTGTTTTTTAGACAGGATCTGGCTCTTTGACCCAGGCTGGAGTGCAGTGGCACAATCTCAGCTCACTGAAACCCCTGCCCCAAGCCATCCTCCCACCTCAGCCTCCCGGGTAGCTGGGACTACAGGCACAGGCCACCATGCCCAGCTAATTTTTGTATTTTTTGTAGAAACAGGGTTTCACCATGTTTGCCAGGCTGGTCTCAAACTCCGGAGCTCAAGTGATCCACCCATCTCGGTCTCCCACAGTGTTGGGATTACAGACATGAGCCACTGCGCTTGGCACTACTAACCTATTTATTGGTACTACCAATCTATGTGGTAGATTCTGGTATACAAAGAGCAGTGGTCCCTGCCAAAAGTCTGGTATATCATTATTAATAATTTTTATTCATTCTGTAAATATTTGTGGAGTTCCTACTGTGTGCAAGCACTGTTCTAGGTAATGTGGAGACTAAATTCACAAATCAGAGAGTTTCTATTTTCAAGAATTAAAAAAATTTAAGATGTAGAGAAATTTTGAGGACAGAGTAATTTTGACTAGAGGGATCAGAAAGTACTTGTCAAGGAGGGTTGCATCTGAGCAGGGCCCTGTCAGATGAATGGGATTTTAGTGATAGAGCAAAGGGGAAAGAGCTTCACAAGTATAGAGAGTAGTATGAACAAAAGGATGGCGTCAAAATAGTAAATGTATGCCCTGGGAATCGTAAGTAGGCTGGTGTGGTTGGAGTGTGTGATCCACGAAACGATGGAGAGGAGATAAGGCCAAGCCCTCCAAAGCATGCCAGAGCTTCTGGGTTTTTTAACAGTCATAGGGAAGTCTAAGGCAAGGACAAATGGGAGGTTATATATGGCATATATTAAATACATATATTTAATGTATGAGGGCAAGGACGAATGGGAGGTTATATATGGCATATATTAAATACACAACTTCAGAAAGAATTAAATATTAAGTAGCAATCGGGGGGCCAGGGGGAGATGCTAAGAGGAGAAAGTTTTTTATTCTAAGTCGGGTGATTGGCATATACCAAGGCGTAGAGAAAGCAATGAGGAATTCTTTTTGGGAGAGGGAATGGGAACAGTTTGCTTTACTTAGTTAACGTCAACTCATGCTTATAGGTGTATTTTAAAAGTTTTCCAATCTACAGAAAAAGTGAAAGAATAGAACAGTTAAATACAGGTATACTCTCCAACCTATATTCACAGCCCTCTAATTTTTAATGGCATAATGCAAATGTAAAGAAGAAAGCAGTTAATAAAACCAAATGGAAAACAAACCTTTGGAGACAAAAAAGGGAAAAGTTTCTATTTGTGGTTGTTTGAGTATACATCATGACTGCATTCAAAATTAAACCAGCAAAATAATATAAAACAGATGTGGAAGTTAGATCCCATAGTAATAATCCCTTAAATTCTGATTTGTATATTGGAGTTCATCTGTTTTATTTTATTTTGTTTTGTTTTATTTTATTTTATTTTATTTTATTTTATTTTATTTTATTTTATTTTATTTTATTTTGTTTTCTTTGAGACAGGGTCTCACTGTGTCACCTAGGCTGGAGTGCAATGGTGCAATTACGGTTCACCTCAGCCTTGACCTCCCAGGCTTAGGTGATCCTTCCACCTCAGCCTCTCAAGTAGTTGGGACTACAGGTGTGTGTCACCATGCCCAACTAATTTTTGTATTTTTTGTAGAGGTGGAGTTTCACTATGTTGCCAAGGCTGGTCTCAAACTCCTAGGCTTAAGTGATCCGCCCACCTTAGCCTCCCAAAGTGCTGGGATTATAGGCATGACCCACTGTGTCCAGCCTGAGTCCATCTGTTTTAAATCAATACTTCATATTTGGCAGGCAGACAACAATGACTTAGCAAATAAATAAATAAATAAAAAGGATTTTGCTATTGGCAGTATTTGCCATGCCATGTATTTCTGCATTAACTTCTAGCTCATGCAATTTGGGTTTTGTCAAAATAAAGGACCCCATCATGAAACTGTGGAGAAACAGCTACCTTCTCTTAAAGGTGATCATACTTAGACACTGTTAACTAGCTAAAAACAAATCACAGCTTTCATATAAATAAATCTCTTGGTTGGGTGTGGTGGCTCATGCCTGTAATCCCAACACTTTGGGAGGCCGATGTGGGAGGATTACGTGAGAGCGAGTTCTAGACCAGCCTGGGCAACATAGCGAGATCACGTCTCTACTAAAAATAAAAAAAATTAGCCAGGTGTGGTAGCACCTGCCTTTAGTCCAAGGTACTCAGGAGAATGAGATGGGAGGATTACTTGAGCCCAGGAGGTCAAGGCTGCAGTGAGCTGTGATTACGCCACTGCACTCTAGCCTGGGTGACAGAGCAAGACCCTGTCTCAAAAATAAATAAACAGCAATAATAATAATAATAATAATAATAATAATAATAATTTGTCGTTTGACACCTTTCTTCTCTATGTCTCTTCTTCCTCCTTCCAGAACAGTTCAGACATTTTAATTAGACTTGGATTTCAAAGTTCTAAATTCCTTTTGTCATCTAAACCCAGGAGTTTGGTTTGTGTTCCCTAATACTTGGGAAAGAAGAAGCACCAGAGTAGGGGTAAAGATCTAAGCACTACCTGGGTCTTGGTGTCAATAAATAGTAAATATATTCTTCAAAAAGTTTTCACTGAAGCATACAGTACTAGGTCTTGTGCCTGTATACTAGACAAACAGGTATGTAGATGCTAGAAATCATGTAGTGAAATCAGCCATAACCATAGTTGTAAAATAAAAGAAAACTGCTAACCTAAGATGTGAACAAACTTGTTAGGTTTCAGTGTTTTTAAAGTGTTGGGTTAATGGTAAGTATATAATTCAGGTGAGTTTGAGGCTTTAGTCAGTATTTTGTAGAATCATCAGTTTAGAGTTATTCAAAATATTGATGATTTACTTGAAACAAAAGTACATTGACTTCTCTTAAAGCAGTAACAACATGCGTTTCTTTAAAATCCATGTCAGTGAGTTCTGACTAGAGCTTTACTCCCACAATCCACGATAGCACTGGATTGAACGCCATCTGGTGTGACTGGATCACCACTTCAGAAGTTCTTTAAATCGACATGTTTTAAATGGAAAACAAGGGCTAATACACTGTGGTAAAAACACTTACTACAAATTGCTGATAATGCAGTCAGTCCTTGCTGTTACACTACTATTAATATACCATTTCTAATAATAAATAGCATTTGGCTTTTATTTGGTTTTCATCACTGATCGAAGATAGGTGATCCACTGCACCCCAAAATAAATATCAGTGTTCCGCGTTTACTCTCATTTCACATTTAAGGAGGCAATGGCAAAGAGAATAAGCCACTTAGCGAAGAGGAAACAAAGATTTGGATGATGATCTTAAAAGATTAGATAATATGTGTATATGCGCATAAGGCAGAAAAATAGAGATAAGTAACTCCCTAGAAGCAAACAACTTAATACCCCTAAGTAGAAAAGCATAGACACTGAAATAGAAATTCATAAGGGAAGTTGTCCAGATGTGTTTCTGAGAGAATGGAGGTACTTTTCACTGGTATTGCACAGTGATAGAACTTTCTGTGATGTTGGAAATACCGTCTATCTCCACTGTCCAGTTTGGTCACCACTAACCACATGCGACTTTTGACATTTGAAATGTGGCTAGTGCAACTGAGGAGCTGATGTTTTAATTTTGTTTTTGTTTTAATTAATTACATTTAATTAATTTAGTTTTTATTTTTATTTATTTATTTTTTTTTGAGACGAAGTCTCACTCTTGTCGCCCAGGCTGGAGTGCAATGGTGTGATCTCGGCTCACTGCAGCCTCTGCCTCACGGGTTCAAGTGATTCCCCTGCCTCAGCCTCCCGAGTAGCTGGGATTACAGGCGCCTGCCACCACACCTGGCTAATTTTTTTTTTTGTTTTTGAGACGGAGACTCGCTCTCTCACCAGGCTGAGTGCAGTGGCACAATTTCTGCTCACTGCAACCTCCGCCTCCCGGGTTCAAGCAATTCTCTTGCCTCAGCCTCCCGAGTAGCTGGGATTACAGGTGCCTGCCACCAGGCCTGGCTGATTTTTGTATTTTTAGTAGAGATGGGGTTTCACCATGTTGGCCAGGCTGGTCTCGAACTCCTGACCTCAGGCAATCCACCCGCATCGGCCTCCCAAAGTGCTGGGATTACAGGCACGAGCCACCGCACCTGGTCTACTTTTTGTATTCTTAGTAGAGACGGGCTTTCGCCATGTTGACCAGGCTAGTCTCGAACTCCTGACCTCAGACGATCCACCTGCCTCGGTTTCCCAAAGTGCTGGGATTACATGTGTGAGCCACTGCGCCTGGCCAATTAATTTCCTTTTAAATAGCAACTTGTGGCTAGTGGCTGCCAAATCAGACAGTGCAAATATACAGTAAAGGTGGAGTAGTATCAAAATCAGAATCAATGAGTTTGACCAGATAAATTTTCATGTTCCTGAAATGTTGATCTATCTCCAGATAGATGTTTAGGCCATATAATGAGTTTGTTTATATTTTTTTGTTTGTTTTGTAACTGATTCCTTTAATTATTCTAGTAAAAAGTCTAGAAAAGTACAGCTTCAAAGCTGCAATAGCACTTAAGGAGCATCAGTCAAGTCCTCTCACCTCAGTTCATCTTCTGATCTCTCAGGCTTTTAAAACTCAGATGTTTGTTTTCACCTTGTCATGTTTCATTGCATCTTTGATCACTTCTGCAGCAGTTCTCCAGAGAAAAGATTATAGGTAGTAACTCATAATATCCCTTTAGTATCAAGAACTGGTATTTACTATATACTCATTGGCTAACATGTTTCATTATCTGGAGCTTTGGGACTCATTGCCTCCAGGGTAACTACCTCAGAGGCGACATGCTAATCCTTATGTGAGTTTCCCTTCCTTCTCTCCAGGGTGACACCATAAAAAAAAAAAAAAAGAAAGAAAAAGACACTGTCCTTTTACCCCAGCCTTTGTGTCTCAGGAAGCAGATATCCAGAACTGTATGGTGGCTTTCTTCATATTGGTGAGCTTGTAGCAGTTAGGATAGAAATGACATGTACCTCATTGATTTGCAACTAGTACAAAGTTTAAATTAATTGACAGCAAGCAAAGAACTAGAAAAACTAAAAGAATTAAGTATACTCACATTCTGTATCTGTATACCTACCCCATTTGTTGTTGAAAACCCTGTGCCTGAATTAGTCTGCAGTTATTACTATGAACTTACCCATTTACAAGTGACACCAATATGAGAACTCTTGAAAACTAGAGATTGCCTTTCTCTGTAGTAAGGAGTATGCTGTATGTACACAAAAGAAATGTTGTTCTACAGAGAAACTTGATTATGAGAATTATTGTTTTGTTTTCTTCCAAGGTTAAGCAGCATATTGTTTAGTGGGATTTAGTTTATTATTTAGTTTAGATTTAGTGTCCTAATATCTGTTTTCCCTGTCTCCTAGAAGACTGTAACTACAGCTTCTATGATTACCACAAAGACACTACCTCTCGTCTTGAAAGCAGCAACTGCGACCATGCCTGCCTCTGTGGTGGGCCAGAGACCTACCATTGCTATGGTGACCGCCATCAACAGTCAGAAGGCTGTGCTCAGCACTGATGTGCAGAACACACCAGTCAACCTCCAGACGTCTAGTAAGGTCACTGGGCCTGGGGCAGAGGCTGTCCAAATTGTGGCAAAAAACACAGTCACTCTGGTAAGCCAGCAGCTGCTCCTCATGTGTGATCACATGAGAAGGTTAGGATACGCATTTGTATAGTATATCCCTTCTAGGCTCCTGCTGGATTTCTCAGTTTCCATCATTCTTCTAGCATACCAAATTCCCCTTTGGGGCTGACAAGGGAATATGGCATTTCTGCTATCTGCTCAAATCACTACAGAAGCGTCCTGACACCAAGGACTAAATTCAGTGCATTATCTGAGGTCAAAGTATGACTTGATTTTAGGGGGAAGGTCTCCTTCACAGAGGCATACACACTGTTTCATTTATGTCTCCCTCTCCCTTCACTCTCTCTACAGTGTTTTCCTGTGAAACTTGAGTGCTTAAACTCTCTTGTGCTGTATTACTGCCTTGGTGAAAACTCCCTGATAATTCTTTTAGTTTTAATATCTCTTTAAATTGATTGTACCCAGAAAGAACTGGAGTTAGTTGAGGCACTTTAAAAATATTCAAGAAACTCACAAATTAACCGTGTCAGTGCCCAAGTTTTGTTCAGGAAAAAAAAAAAATCCCTTTAAGGAGGAAGTACTTGAACAAGAATTTTCATGAGAGTTCTAGGATCAAGCCATTTAGAAAACTGATATTCTCAGAAGCTTGGGAGAAATATATCTAAATTTTGATGTAAAATTCCCTTAAAATGGCACCTAAGAGCTCTTGGTGGCTTTTGAATAATACCAGTGGTGAGTGAAACTAGAGAGCAATAAAGTGAAGGTTCACCGCTTATCCAGGAATCCTTAGAGAAGCAACGAGGTCACTCAACCAGATACTGAGAGTTAGAAAATTTTCTATAGGAATAAAGCCATTCACTGTTAGCTTATATCAGGAAAAAGCCTATTTGGCTAAGCAGCAAGTTTGATTTTACTTTGGATCCAGTCTTGACTTTTAAAATATGTTAATGCAAAAGTTCTTGAGTGTCAAAGAAAATTGTCTAAGATTTACTGAGCCTGCTATGTTCTCCATTAGGTGTAGGAGGAAACAGAAGTGTGGTTGGTTCATTTTATAGGGTAAAGCACACAGGTGGGAGAGTTAAAAAGTTTCCTAATGCAGTGTTAATTCAGATGATTAACTTACGATGAAAGCTTGTAGAAAATATTGTCTGATCCAAAGAATAGTGATGCTAAAAATACTAGCTTTGATATTGAAGAGTAATTGTTCTCTCTGGTTTATTTATCTTCCTCATTTTTTAGCAGGTTCAGGCAACACCTCCTCAGCCCATCAAAGTACCACAGTTTATCCCCCCTCCTAGACTCACTCCACGTCCAAACTTTCTTCCACAGGTGAGTAAACCAATGACAAGCTCAATGATAGGTTAGATGGGACAGAAATCCTCATGGGCTCTTTCTAAGTAGCCTGTAATGGGGCTTGTCAGCCCAGCTGTCTATCCCGCTTAGCTAAACATTCTGACTGTTGATTTCTGTACTATGAAGAAGTTTATTTTGTCATCATGGTTTATTAGCAATGACCAAAGGCAGTAGCAGGGGGAAGTAAAGGAAAGGGAACATTTTCTAAATTTAAAATAATTAAAACCATTATAAACCTTAAACTTACTAGAAGAATTTAGCCAAAGTCTGCCTGGCAGTGGGGAAAGAATGCAATTAACACTTCTTATTTCTTTCCTACATGCCAAAAAGAGTAGGGAAGGAAACAACAGCTAAACCAACTAGTAGAAACTATTCTTCAGTTCTGCCCTGGAAAGTGATGGTTTTGAGAATCATGCTTAAAGGCAAAGCCTTGCTTCTAAAGGCTTAGGCTAGGGGTCTGTACAGAGGACTTTCTCCCTAGGCCCGAGCAGCTCTGCATGACCATACTCTCCTGAGAGTGTTCTTCCAGCAATTAGGCTAACTTTCACCATTCCCAGTGCAAAATGTCAAGATTTCCCCATTCTGGACCTTGAGGAGTGTTGACTTCCTTGGTAGGAAGGCTGAGAGTTCCTATCTGAGGCCCTAGTTTTCAGACAAAGGGAGAAGAAGAAGGAGTTTTGTGGTCAGTAGTGTAAATGATTTCCAAATAGCCTCTGGGGAGAAGGATGGGCAGTGCTAATATGAGATAAGATGATATCATTTGTTTATCAGATAAATCCCTAGTAAATACCTCAGAGGGTAGTCTGAGAGCACATGGGAGGGATACCTGCCTATTTTTTTTTTTTTTTTTTTTTTTTTTGCAATGGAGTTTCGCTCCCATCGCACAGGCTGGAGTGCAGTGGCACGATCTAGGCTCACTGCAATCTCCACCCACCAGGTTCAAGCGATTCTCCTTCCTCAGCCTTCCAAGTAGTTGGGGATTACATGCATGTGCCACCACGCCCGGCTAATTTTTGTATTTTTAGTAGAGACGGGGTTTTGTCATGTTGGTCAGGAATGTCTCAAACTCCTGACCTCAGGGTGATCCACCTGCCTCGGCCTCCCAAAGTGCTGGGTTTACAGGCCTGAGCCACCGCGCCCGGCCTGCCTGCCTATTTTTAAGAGTATTAGAGAAGGTTTCTTCAAGCTTTCTTTGATGAGTTGACATTCAGTCTGACCTAAAATCCTAGCTGAGTTAGCCTGATAAAACTTTGAAAGAAGAATAAAAATGTCCCAGGCAGAGGACAGAACATGTATGTAGTTCCAGGGTGGAGAAATGTGTTAAGTTTAAAGAACCAAAGGAGGTTTGCTGTGGCTGAGCACAGAGGGCCATGTGGCTCATGCAGGCTAGAGTTAGTTAGAGTTGAGGTTGGAGAAGTCCACTAGGGCCAGAGCTGGTGGAACCTTGTAGGCTATGCAAGAACCTGGGCCTTATCCTAGGAGCAGCAGGCATTCATTAAAGCATTTTCAAGCAAGCACTTGATGTGGTCAGATTTATGTTTTAGAAAATTCCTTCTTGCCTCTGTGCAGAGAATAAATTGGGGATGGTCAAGACTGTGGGCAGGAAGAACAGTTAAGACATTGTCAATAATGGTAATAACCAATGTTGAGAGAATCTTGCTACATACTAGGTACTATGCTAGGCACTTTACATGGAGTATCCATTTTAATTGTTACAACAACCCTATGCAAATAGGTATTACTCTTTTTAGGGTAAGGAATCTAAGGTTTAGTCCATGTTTTTCAAACAGTGGATCATGACCCACTTGTTGTGAAAGCAGTTTAGTGGATTGTAACCAGAGTGTTTAAATAAAATGAATAGAATAGAATATGAACTATTAAGAGTACATAGCACATACTGTGTTCTCTATTTCAGAAAGTTTTTGTTTTAGAGATACATGTCTATAGGCACATGCTGATTACAGAGTAAAATATATTTCTTACTGTTAAGTCAGTAGCACCCACCACAGGGTCGTTTTAAGTTCAGTCAGACATTCATACCGACAAGACTTTCATGGGCCACACTTGGCACCAGTCTACTTGGAATGATACAGGACAGAAACCACAGCTTGTGAGCAAGATAGCATCAGACATTTGTCTTCAATGAGTCCATACAGCAGTCCCTACAGCTGTCCAAGGATAGCTCAGGTGTAAGGAAATAAGCTCCTTATCTAAGACAGTGGGAAAGCCACCTTGGCATAGAAGCCTTATGCCCACAGGAGCCAATGTATCTTATAAAAACTACATAGGCATGGCTTCAAGGTCCCCACAATGGATGTGCCCAAGTTATGAGAGTCACCCCACTTAGGGAAGCCCAAATCATGGGGTCCCCTCAAGCCCATCCAGATTTGATTTAGCAATAAGGGATTTTTTTTTTTTTTTTTAAGACAGGGTCTCACTCTATCACCCAGGCTGGAGTGCAGTGGCACTATCTCAGCTCACTGCAACCTCCACGTCCCAGGTTCAAGCAATCCTTATGTCTCAGCCTCTCAAGTAGCTGGGATTACAAGTGTGTGCCACCATGCCTGGCTAATGTTCGTATTTTTAGTAGAGATGGGTTTCACTGTGTTGGCCAGGCCGGTCTCAAACTCCTGGCCTCAAGTGATCCACCAGCCTCAGCCTCCCGAATTGTTGGGATTACAGGTGTGAGCCACTGTGCCCGGCCAGGAAAGGGTCATTTTTATCATAAGCAGTGTTGCCTGGTAATATAGTTGACATTCTTATTTCCAGGAGAGCAGAGCTAAAGAGTTAATTGAAGGTCAAGCTTCATGCATAAGGGGAAAGCGTTTTGCCCACAGGGTCACAGTTTTAAAAGTTTGAAAAATACTGGCTTATGGCTGGGTGCAGTGGCTCACATCTGTAATCCCAGCACTCTGGGAGGCCAAGGCGGGTGGATCCCGAGGTCAGAAGATTGATACCATCCTGGCCAACATGGTGAAACCCTGTCCGTACTAAAAATACAAAATTAGCTGGGCGTGCTGGCATGTGCCTGTAGCCCCAGCTACTCAGGAGGCTGGGGCAGGAGAATCACTTGAACCTGGGAGGCGGAGGCTGCTGTGAGCCGAGGTCGCGCCACTGCACTCCAGCCTGGCAACAGAGCGAGACTCCATCTCAAACAACAAAAACAACAACAACAAACAAAAAAACAAAAACTGGCTATTAAAAATCAGGTATGTTACCTCAGGTTACACAGCTAGTGAGTGGTAGAACTAGGATTTGAACCCAAGCAAGGCTGACCTCATGTTTTTAACTGTAACTTTTTTTCACTGTTTTTAGTGAGCCAAACATAAGCTAGGATAGTAGATAGTGGAGTGAGGATAGAAGTAGACAGATATTAGAAGTATTTAGAGAGTAGAGGGTGGGGTAGGAATCATCAAGAGTGATTCCAAAATTTGTCAAGAAAAGGGTACTTACTGAGGCAATTATCGGAGGAAGAGAAGATTGGAAGAAGAAATTGATGAGTCTTAGACATGTTGATTTTGAACTTTTGAGATATTCAAGTATTGTATAATTCTGAAGTTCAGGAAGTGTCTCAGGTTCTGAGGTAAAAGTGTGAGTCTTCAGTACATAGATGGTAATTGAAGCCATGAGATGGGCAAAAGCTCCTAGGAATAATGAGAACATTGGGAAGAAAAGGGGTGCCAGGGAAAAAAATCCTAAGAAATACTCACATTTAGGATGAGGCAGAGGAAGAGTAAGCCCACAAAGGAGACTGAGAGGAGGAGTGGCCAAGAACAGGGAGTTAGAGGGCCAGAAATGGGGGTGCACTGAAGCTGTGGATATGAAGAAATTTCAAATGCGAGTTAAGGCTATTGGCAACATTATGACTATACTGTGCACAAGTTCTGGGTGGGACCAGTCTCTGGATTAGGCCTTTGACCTCAGCTAGAAGAGGTGGCATGGTATAGAAGAGGGAGCTCAGGGTTTAGAATCAAAAGCTATGTTCTAGGGTGAGGTTTGGACCTCAAGAGCTGATGAGTCTTGTATAAGATTATATGCCCTGAGGTCTATAGAATTAATGTACCAAAATGAACATTAATAAGTGTATTAAACACCATTTCATACATAGAGTGTGGAAGATTTGCTTTTATAGGACTTGAGCAGCTTAAGTAATACAATAATTATTCTCTCTTTCCCCTATAGGTTCGACCCAAGCCTGTGGCCCAGAATAACATTCCTATTGCCCCAGCACCACCTCCCATGCTCGCAGCTCCTCAGCTTATCCAGAGGCCCGTCATGCTGACCAAGTTCACCCCCACAACCCTTCCCACATCCCAGAATTCCATCCACCCCGTCCGTGTCGTCAATGGGCAGACTGCAACCATAGCCAAAACGTTCCCCATGGCCCAGCTCACCAGCATTGTGATAGCTACTCCAGGGACCAGACTCGCTGGACCTCAAACTGTACAGCTTAGCAAGCCAAGTCTTGAAAAACAGGTACAGGCAGAGTATGTACCTGCTCTGGGCAGTAGCCTTGTCGTTGAGGCATATGGCTGCTGGGCTTTCTCTAAATACATTTTCTCAAGGGCTCTTCATCTCACCACCATTGTCAGTAAGCTGTCGCTTATGTGCGATAATTCATCCACGTGCAGAAGGGTCATTCTTACTGAAGAAAGTTGGTTTGCTTTTCCCACCATCCCCTCGTAGATGGGCTGGGATTCCTGTGTGAGTGAGCTCCCCCTGGTGGTTCTGATGTGGAAATTCACAGACAGGCTCTGCTGCCCTCCGTCAGTAAGCACAGATGAGGTAGTAAACAGAAAACGCCATGTTAGTTTCGGCCCAATAAGAATCCAGATGAAGGTAGGACTGTGAAAGTCAGGAAGAATAAACAAAACAGGGAAAGGGATTTCATTTCAAAGACTTTTCTTTGATTGTTACAGATAATGGGGAGCCAAACAAAAAAAATTAAAATTTCCAAAAAGCATTCTTTAACTTTAGAGGATGCAGATATTTTAGCTCAAATATTGAAACATTTCATTTATATTTCCTGAAGTCAGATTTTATCTTAAAAAACGAGGCTAGAGACATACAAGTAACCTGCAAAAATACTTGAAGGTTCTGTAGCAGAAAGACCTCTGAAAACAAGAAGGATTTATAGGCAGTCACCGTATCCTATTTGAAAAACGACTAGTGATGAGAAAGAAGAATTTGGCAAAGAAAAGCATTCTCTCTCAAGAAAGTTGCTTTAAAAAGTCATCGACCTATTTCTAATTGTTCAGTCTTGACTTCTCATTTATCTGAAAATAGTCTGTGGTGATCCTGAATCTTCTGCTTCTGGATGGACCATGATTCAGAGAGGCTGTTCAGATGCTGCCTGCTGCCTTAGTCTTCTTGAGCAGAGGAACCTATGCATAGGGTACTAGACCTTAAACCCAGGCAGCTCACAAATGCGGCAGACCTTGCATTCAAGAAGCTAGTTATCAAAATCTGTGCTTAGGAAACACAAGAACACATCTCAATTCCTGGGGAACCTATTCAAACCCCAGGAAGTGCTTTGAGAAACATTCAGAAATAAATTATTATTATTATTATTATTATTATTATTATTATTTTGAGATGGAGTTTCACTCTTGTTGCCCAGGCTGGAGTGCAATGGCACGATCTCAGCTCACTGCAACCTCCGCCTCCCAGGTTCAAGTGATTCTCCTTGCCTCAGCCTCCTGAGTAGCTGGGATTACAGGCGTCAGCCACCATGCCTGGCTAATTTTGTATTTTTAGTAGAGACGGGGTTTCTCCATGTTGGTCAGCTGATCTCAAACTCCCAACCTCAAGTGACCTGCCTGCCTCAGCCTCCCAAAGTGGTGGGATTACAGGCATGAGCCACCACGCCCAGCCCAGAAATAAATTATTTACACATATTTTAACACAGAAAATTTCAAACTTATTGACAGCAGAACTTTGGTATTAAACTACTGAGAGTCAGATGCTCAAGCTTAGGAGTTTGGGTGGGGACCTGTTGTTTTGCACTGGCTCTCAAAGAACCTCTGAGGAGCCTCAGTGTTCCACAGAACCTCGTTTCACAACACTATTTTAGGTTATTAAATATTATTTCTCTTTACCTCTTTTTTTGATAAAGATATTTTTAGGAGACAAATTGTTTTGGTTTCATTTTATTTTTACATTTCTTTTCTGATTACAAAGATAGTACAAGTTCATTTTTAAAACAGATTCAAACATTACAAAAATATAAATTGTAGAAGGTGCTTTTCCCCGTAATCTAAAGAGAGAGTAAACTTTTATCATAATTTTACCCCCAGGAGTTAATTACTATTAACAGTTTAGATTATATTCTTACAGATTTTTTTTTCTTTTCTTTTTTTTTTTTTTTTTTGACACAGAGTTTTACTCTTGTCACCCAAGCTGGAGTGCAATGGTGGGATCTCAGCTCACTGCAACCTCCACCTCCCGGATTCAAACAATTCTCCTGCCTCAGCCTCCCAAGTAGCTGAGATTACAGGTGCCCGCCATCTCACCCGGCTAATTTTTGTATTTTTAGTAGAGACGGAGTTTCACCATGTTGGCCAGGCTGGTCTCAGACTCCTGACCTCAGGCGACCCACCTGCCTTGGCCTCCCAAAGTGGTGGGATTACAGGTGTGAGCCACCGCACCCGGCCCCCAGATATTTTCTATGTACGTGTAAAACATTTTTAAAGCAAAAACCAAAATCAAACTTATGTATTTTGTAATTTGGTTTTTTCCCTACTTTAATAGATCTTAAGCATCTTTTCCTGTCGTGGCCTTCACGTTGATAGAGCTTTTTATTTTAATTATAATATTATAAAAAGATATCCTTGAAATCTTAAGAATTAAAATAATTTCTTTTGTAGCAGTAAATTTCATGTTCTCTCTTCTCTTTTTTGAGACAGAGTCTCGCTCTGTCGCCCAGGCTGGAGTGCAGTGGCACGATCCCGGCTCACTGCAAGCTCCGCCTCCCGGGTTCATGCCATTCTCCTGCCTCAACCTCCCAAGTAGCTGGGACTACATGCGCCTGCCACCATGCCCGGCTAATTTTTTGTATTTTTAGTAGAGATGGGGTTTCACCATGTTGGCCAGGCTGGTCTCAGACTCCTGACCTCAGGCGACCCACCTGCCTTGGCCTCCCAAAGTGCTGGGATTACAGGCATGAGCCACCACGCCTGGCCAATGTTCTCTCTTCTTTTTGGTCTAATAAAGGAATTCAGTCATTGTTATTTTAGTTTGCTGGGCAGCCTGGCATAATAGTCTTAGAGGTTACCGAGCCCGATCAGCAGAGACTCTCTTTAGACTAGATTGCATTCTCAGGATTCTCTTACTTCGTATCTTTCAACTATCCTTGTTTTCTATTTATATTTCATTTCCAGTATCACATTTATAGCCAGTAAGAGATCTCATAGATCATAGAGCTAAAGGTAAAACAATGTAATGTATGTAGCCATGGAAGAACCTGTTCACACCTGTTCACAGTTACCAAACCCGTATCCAACGTTCTCTCTATGACCAGGCTAAATAGGTTCCCTTTTGCTTTCTGCTATTCCCTTTAGATGATAACATCATTCATTTAATAAAAATGTGTTAAGTACCAGTTGCTATGCTGCATGTGATGTCTATATATAAGGTGGATAAACTAAAGCCCGTACCCTCACGGAACTCAGTTTCTAGTGTGTTTGGAGCAGGCACTGAGGCTGTGTCTCCAGGGAAGGAAGCATGGCCTCCCACATTGGCATAGGAATGGGAGAAGGCAATGCCAGTTATAACAGCAGTGGTCTCACGTGTCCTTCCCCTGTCAGACATAACCAACT
The DNA here is from genome assembly GCF_000001405.40 of Homo sapiens. Classification (NCBI taxonomy): domain Eukaryota; kingdom Metazoa; phylum Chordata; class Mammalia; order Primates; family Hominidae; genus Homo; species Homo sapiens. Next base: position 45,961,973 of record NC_000011.10, on the reverse strand, counting down.
TCCTTATCTACCCCAGATAAGAGATCTTATCCCTTATTAGAAACCACGTTACACTGTGGCTCTGAGAAAACAAGTGATAGGGTTTAAAAATCTTTGAAGCTGAAGACTCGTTTTAGACAGAAAAGTAGATGAAGCCAGAAGACTTACGATATAGCCTTCACATCACCTCCCCTGTCCTTGTCCTCTCCAGCGCTCTAAAATGGGGCTAACACCTGTTGGTGATGAAATGAAGTCAGGTATTTAATGTTTATTAGATTATGCTTGATGGAGTTCTCAGGAATTATGTTTCTTCTCCACCCCACTGCCACCCTGCAACAAAGACTTCTATGTAACATGTCGTCAATTCAGAGCTACTGAAAAAAATCCCAAGGTTCTGTGGGGAAAAAAATTGCCACGTTACCATAAATATTTTTCATAGGAATCTGCACAGTATCTTCTAAAGAGAAGTACTTACAAGATAATAATATTATCCAATGCATTATCTTCAAATTTCTGTTTTCCCTGTTAGTCAACCAGAGCTGATGCCTCCCCTTACCCCATTTTAATACTGGTGCAATAGTAGAGAAAATAGTTCCAAGTGACCAAACCATGGATTTTGCTTTGCCTTCAATCCCAATCTATTTAACCTTGACTAACGAAATTATTTGGACATTTATTTGCACCTGCCTACCTTTGATTTTTCATGCAGACAAGTATATAAAGTATACTTGATTAACTTCATTCTAGGTTTGTGCAGAGTTTTTGGATTCTTTTATTATACCAAAAAGAACAGGAGTTGCAAATTCCAGCAACCGTGGGTTCGAAGAGGAGATGTAAGTGAGTGAAACAGGCTAGGAGTAAACAACTGGACTTTTTATTTATTTTTCCACTTTCAGTGGGAACATGAGTATAACAGATATCCCGCTTTTATTCTTAATTCCCCTTTAAAATAATAAGTAAGACAAGCATGATAATAATTGACAATAGAAAATGGAAGAAACTGTGGCAAACTGCACAGTAATATGCTTCATCTCAAGGAAGCAGCTGCTTCTTGGCAATAACAAACTTTTATCACATGGAGACTTCTTCAAGAAAAGCCTGAAATCCAGATGTTTTTAAAAGTTGCCAAGTTGTTAAAATACTGGTAACTGTTTAAACACCATATATGCAGAAAATAACATCTGCAAGACAATTTCGAGTCTGCATCATGGTTTATAATCTCAGAGACCAAACTTTAGATTCATCGAAGGGATATCCATGAATTCTTTTTTGTTTTCTAAATCCAATTTTTTTTTAATTGAGGTGAAATCACATAAAATTAATCATTTTAAAATAACAGTTCAGTGGCATTTAGTATATTCACAGTATTGTGCAACCATCACTTCTGTTAAGTTACACAACATTTTCATTACCCCAAAATAAAACCCAGTATCCATTAAGCAATTATTTAACTTTTGCCCTCTGCCGCTGGCAATCACCAGTCTGCTTTCTGTCTCCATAGATGTACCTGTTCTGGATATTTCATATACATAGAATCATACAATATGTGATCTCTTATGGCTGCTTTCACTTAGCATGTTTTTGAGAGTCATCAATATGGTAATACATATCAGTGCCCCCTTCTATTTTAAATGGCTGAATAATATTCCATGACATGTATATACCACAATGTGTTTATTCATTCATCTCTTGGTAGACCTAGGAAATCATAAGACATTGGTTGGTTCCACTTTTTGGCTATTGTGCATAGTTCTGCTGTGAACATTCATGTGCAAGCATTTGTATGACTACTTGTTTTCAGTTCTTTAGGGTATATACCTAGGAGTAGAAATTGCTGGGTCATACAGTAATTCTGCTCAACTATTTGAAGAACTGCCAAACTGTTTTCCACAGCAGCTAAATCATTTTCCATTCCCAAAGGCAGTACATGAGCATTCCATTGTCTCCGCATCCTTACCACACCTATTACTTTCCTTTTTGTTTTATTTATAGCCATTTCAGTGGGTGCAAAGTAGTGTTGATGTGCATTTCCCTAATGACTAATGATGCTGAGCATCTTTTCATGTGCTTGTTGGCCATTTGTACATCCATGGAAAAAGGTCTATTCAAATCCTTTGCCAATTTTTAAATTGGGTTATTTTTCTGTTGTTGAGTTGTAAGAGTTCTTTATATAATCTGGATACTAGACCCTTACCAGTTACATGATTTGCAAATATTTTCTCCTGTTCCGTAGTTTGCCTTTTTGCTTTCTTGATACAGTCCTTTGATACACAGCTGATTTTTGTCTTGATCTTGTACCCTACAACTTTGCTGAATTTGTTTATTAGCTCTAGTATTTGTTTTATGGATTCTTTGAGTTTTTTTCTCTGTAAGATCATGTCATCTGCAAATAGAGATTTACATCTTCCTTTCCAATTTGGGTGCCTTTTCTTTTTCTTGCCTAATTGCTCTGGCCTAAACTTCCAGTACAATATCAAATAGCAATGGTGAAAGCAAACATTCTTGTCTTGTTGTTGATCTCAAGTGGAAAGCTTTCACCATTGAGTATGATGTTAGCTGTGTTTTCATAAATGTTTTTTATAAAGTCAAGGAAATTCCCTTTTATTCCAAGCTTTCTGAGTGTTTTTATGAATAGATAACTGGAATTTTTAAAATAAAAACTGTATATGTATAAGGTATACAACATGATGGTTTGATATACATATACATAGTGAAATGATTACTATAATCAAGCTAATTAATATATCTATCTCCTCACATAGTTAACCTTTTTTGTGTGTGTAGTGGGGTGCTAGATTTTGACAAATGCTTTTTCTACACCAGTTGAGATACCATGTTTTTTTTCCCCCTTGGTTCTGTTAATGTGGTATATTATATTGATTTTCTTACATTGAACCACCCTTCCACTCTTGGGATAAATCTGGCTTTGTCATAGTGTACCATCCTTTTAATATGCTCTTGGATTCAGTTTGCTGGTATTTTGTTGAGGAATTTTTGTTGTTGTTGAGGGTTTTTCATTTATATTCATAAGGGATATTGGTCTGTAATTTTCTGTTCTTTTGGTTTTTGTTTTTTTGGAGGCAGGGTCTTGCTGTGTTACCCAGACTGGAGTGTAGTGGTACAATTGCAGCTCACTGCAGCCTCAACCTCCCAGGCTCAAGTGATCCTCCCATTTCAGCCTCCCAAGTAACTAGGACTATAGGCATGCACCACCATCCCTGGCTAATTTTGTTAAATTTTATGTAGAGATGGGGTCTCACTTTCTTGCCCAGGCTGGTCTCGAACTCGTGGACTCAAGTGATCCCCCGACCTTGGCTTCCCAAAGTGTTGGGATTATAGGCATGAACACCAAGCCTGGTCTATAATTTAATTTTTTTCGTTATTTTTTGGAGACAGGGCAGAATCTTGCTCTGTCACCCAGGCTGGAGTACAGTGGCATGATTTCGGCTCAAGTGATCCTCCCGCCTCAGCTTCCCAAGTAGCTGGGACTACAGTTGCGCACCACCATGCCTGGCTAATATATATGTGTGTGTGTGTGTGTGTGTATATATATATATATATATATATATATATATTTTTTTTTTTTTTTTTTTTTTTTGAGACCAGGTTTTGTCATGTTGCTCAGGCTGGTCTTGAACCCCTGAGCTCAAGCTATCTGCCTGCCTTGGCCTCTCAAAGTGAGCCACCACGCCCAGCCCATTTTCTATTCTTTGGTGTCTTTGGCTTTGGTATCAGAGTAGTGCTGGCCTCATAGAATGATTTAAGAGTGTATTTTCTGGAATTTGAGACAGATTGGTGCTAATTCTTTAAATGTTTGGTAGAATTCACTAATAAAACCATCTGATCCTGTACTTTTTCTTTTCGGGGAGAATTTTGATTACTGTTTCAGTCACTAGTTGTTACAGGTCTGTTGAGATTTTCTTTATCTTGAGTCAATTTTGGTAATGTGTGTGTTTTTAGGAGTTTTCCATTGCATCTATGTTGTCTAGTTTGTTGGCGTACAGTTTTTCAATATATTCTCCTATAATCCTTTTGAATTCTGTGAGATGTAATGTCCTCAGTTTCATTTTTGGTTTTAGTTATTTGTATCTTCTTATTTTCTTAGTCTAAGCCAGAGGTTTGTCGATTTTGTTATTCTTTTCGAAGATTCACCTTTTGGTTTTGTTGAGTCTGTTGTTCTTCTCTATTTCATTTATCTTCATCCTAGACTTTATTTTCTTTTTTCTTTTTTTTTTTTTTTTTTGCTTTGAATTTAGTTCTTTTTCTGTTTCTTAAGGTGTAAAGTTAGGTTATTGATTTGAGCTCTTTCTTCTTTTTTAATATAGACTGTTAGCAGCTATAAGTTTCCCTCTGAGTACTGCTTTCACAGCATCGCATAAGTTTTGGTATGTTGTGGCCTTGTTTTCATTTCTCTCAAAGTATTTTCTAATTTCCCTAGTGATTTCTTCTTTTACCCATTGCTTGTTTAAGAATGTGTTGTTTAATTTCCATACACTTGTGAGTTTTCTAGTTTTTCTGCTGTCATTAATTTCTAGTTTTTTTCCATTGTGGCTGGTGAAGAGATTTTATGTGATTCTAGTCTTTCTAAATTTATTAATATTTGTTTTGTGGCCTAACATATAATCTGTCCTGGAGAATGTTTCATGTACACTTGATAAAAATATGCATGCTGCTCTTGTGGAGTGGAGTATTCTTTCTATGCCTGACAGGTCTAATTGGTGTATAGTGTTGTTCAAGTTCCCTATGTCCTTTTTAATCTCTGCACAAGTTTTATCCATTACTTAAAGAGGGATATTGAAGTCTCCATTTATTATTGTAGAACTGTTTATTTCTGTCCTCAATCCTTTCAATAGTTTCTTCATATATTTTGGGGCTCTGTTGTCTGGTACATATATGATTATAACTGTTATATCATCTTTTTGAATCGACCCTTTTGTCAGTATATTATATAATGAGGTTCTTTGTCTCTCGTAACAGTTGTTGACTTTAAGTCACTTTTGTCTAATAGTACTATAGCCATTCATTATAAACATCCTTTCACTTTCAACCTTTTTGTGTCTTTTTCTCTAAAATGAGTCTCTCTTACAGCATATCATTAGATCATGTGTTTTGTTCATTCTGCCAGTCGGTCTTTTAATTGGTGAGTTTAATCCAGTTACATTTAAGTGATTACTGGTAAGGAGGGACTTACGCCATTTTGCTATTTGTTTTCTGTATATCTTACGTTTTTTGTTCTTCATTTCCTGTAATACTGCCTTTTTTGTTTGATTTTTTTCTTAGTGTGTCATTTTCATGCTTTCCTCATTTCTGTTTCTGTATATAATTATTTTCTTAGTGGTTACCTTGGGGATTACAGTAAACATTCATACGTTTTTAACAATCTAGTTTGAATTAACCCCAGCTTAGATTTTTAAAACCCTGCTTGTATGGTTTCAGTTGAAGCCCCAATCTCAGCGTCATGCAATATATCCATGTAACAAACCTGCACTGTACCCTCAAATCTAAAATAAAAATAAATAAATAAATAATAAAAGCTTTGCCAGTGACAATGAAGGAAAAAGAAGCTCTGCTCCTATACAGCTCTGCCCCTCCTTTATGTTGTTACTGTCACAAATTATATCTTATACATTGTGTGCCCACTAATATAGATATATAATTACTTTGTGCATTTAAGTCATATAGGAAACAAAAAGAGAAGTTAAAAATAAATAATAACACTGGCTTTTATATTTATTCATCTAGTTAGCTTTATTGGAGTTCTTGTTTCTTTATATGGCATTGAGTTACTGTCTAGTGTCCTTTCATTTCAGCCTGAAGGGACTCCCTTTAACATATCTTTTAGAACTGGTATACTAGCAGTGAATGTCCTCTGGTTTTGTTTATCTGGGAATGTCTTAATTTCTCCATTTTTGAAGAATAGTTTTGCAGGATATAGAATTCTTGGTTGATAGGGGTTTTTTTGCTCAGCACTTTAAATATATTAACCCATTTCCTTCTGGTCTGCAACTTAGTTCTGGCTGATAGTCCTTCACAAGTTTACAGTCAAACTAGTTGGCTAGAGCTGCAGTAATTTTAAGGCTGTGCTACAGCTTAATAATCCACATCTGAGCTCATCACATGGTTGTTGGCAGACCTCACTTCTTCACTGGCTGTTGGCTGGAGGTTCCGTTCCTCACACCTGGGCCTCTCCATAGTGCTGCTCACAACGTGGCAGCTGGCTTCCCCCAGAGCAAGAGATCCACGAAGGAAAGACACCCTCCACCACCACCAATGTTTTGATTGTTTTATTTGTATTTTTGTTTTTGGATCCTTTTGGTATTATTTATATAACACTGAGATAATTGTACTTTTTCTTGCATGAGAGAGAGAAATTTGAACCATGGGTAATTTTTTAGTGGAAAGGAATTGATTTGCCCTTCCTTAAAAGCACTGCTGCTAATTGCTTTACTCAGCCTTAGAAATGGAAGTAAGAGACTCCAAGAGACTTCACACAGCCTTGGAATGGAACAGCACACCCTTATAGTTGACCTTCTTTTCTCCCTCCTCCATCATACTTCTCTCCTTCCTATTCAAAGAGACATGAAAATAAGATTTCTGGGCATCCAGGACTTTAAAATGTCACTGTAAACTACTTTCCCACTGGTGTTTTGTTTTATGGAGGAAATGTGTCCTTTTTGATTAAAAAGTGTGTGTGTGTGTGTGTGTGTGTGTTGGAGAGAGAAAGACTTGAGTGATTCTCGCTTAGATCATACTCTTCACCCAGAAGCCCAATCAACTCTTTACTATACACCCGCTCTGCATGAAGTACCATAATAGGCACAAAGGGATGCAAAAACAAGAGGTGCATAAAACAATTCCCACTCTTACATAGCGTTTAGTATAAAGGGGGAAATACGAGAGAACACCAGTGGGGGAAAATTACAAAGCCGCATTTGTGCCCCAGAGCACTGGTTGCCACAGTATTGATAAGGCAGATGCTTACGCTTTCTTTATGTAATCATATAAAAGCAGAAGGAAAATATGGAAGTGGCCAGGAAAGAAAATCAAAGATCTATGTGCTTGTGTTTTTCAGATCTAGTAAAATATTTCCAGCATAATGATTTTTGAGAGCTTTAGATGTCTTGTTTGTAGGACCAAAGTCTCATGTAGCCCCTGCCCATCAATAATCAGTTTTATTCTCACTTATTTAATTATTGTTGCCATATGAAAGGAGCATTACTTCCACATTTTTTCTAATTTTGAAAAAGTAAATTAGGTTTGTGTTTATAGTTTGATATTTTCTGTTTTAAAATTATTTCAGTATTTACGGAGAGCTTCATAAAATGAGTTAGACATTGGTCATGGTAAGAATAGGAATGCAAGCCCAGTCTACCAGTATGCTAGCTACCTTTTGTGTTTGAAGATGGTAATCAACTGGTGTTTCTTCTGCTTGAGAAGAGGCTTCTGGAAGAAGAGGCTTGGAAAAATTAGGAAGTCAGCCTCTTGCAAGATGGCCCACTCTTAGCAATTGCATCTCTCCTCTGATGGATTATATAGACAGATTTTTAATATTCCATGTAAGGGTGGTTCTGCAGTCTCTCTGAGATTATGACTGGAATTGTTCCGAAATAGGAGACTGTGTATGTGAGATGTTTTTAACATCATTCTGATCTTAAGCAGGTTGTGAGCTGGAGCTTGACCTATAATATAAAAACAGTGGGCTGGGCATGGTGGCTCACGCCTGTAATCCCAGCACTTTGGGAGGCTGAGGTGGGTGGATCACCTGAGGTCGGGAGTTCAAGACCAGCCTGACCAACATGGTGAAACCCCGTCTCTACTACTAATACAAAAATTAGCTGGGTGTGGTAGCGGGTGCCTGTAATCCCAGGTACTAGGGAGGCTGAGGCAGGAGAATTGCTTGAACCCAGGAGGCAGAGGTTGCAGTGAACTGAGATCATGCCATTGCACTCCAGCCTGGGCAACGAGAGCAAAACTCCATCTCAAAACAACAACAACAACAAAAAATAGCAGGCTTGCTTCTGGGCAACTATCCCCACATTCTAAAATACGTGGAAATCAGAAAGGACAACCTGTACCGTATTTCTATACTTAGGAATTAAACCATACTTTTCTTTTCATATACCTTATTTAGACTCGTATTTATAGATTCATATTTACTCTAGCCATGCAATTTAATAACTTCAACTGGGGCTTTACATTTTAGTTTCCCCTCCCCCAATGAAATCTATAATACTAACCTTTTTATTAATATGTTCCACATTTGAATATGTTGTCTTCTTTCTTCTTGACTACTACTATTAAACTTCTGATTGCTTCATCCTTTTAATAAAAAACGAATTCTGAATTTTTATTTAATTTTTCTCTCCTAGACAGTTAAATCTCACACAGAAACAGATGAGAAACAAACAGAGAGCCGCACCATCACCCCACCTGCTGCACCCAAACCAAAACGGGAGGAGAACCCTCAGGTAGGCCTATGTTTCCAAAGGCAGGTCTCAGTCTATGGTGTATGGTTTATTCTCATGTACCAGGAGGGGCACCTGCTCTCTGAATGATGAAATGAACTCGATGTTCATTTTCTTATGCACTTTTATTATTCAGCAATGTTATTGCCAAGTCAGATTGGTCTAGAGTGGAATTCTTAGACTGTAGTCTTGAGGGTCCATGCACTAGTACATAGGCATTTTGATTGTATCAAAGGAAAAGTTTTTTAAAATGTTATTCTTCATATGCATGTTACAAATTTGAAATGTTAAGATGAGCGATGATTTTCCCAGCTGTCCCATTACATTCCTAATCATTACTGTGTTCTGTTTGTCTCAGCCAACATTTATAAGATATCTAGTTCACTCAGCTAATGTGTATTTATATTATCAATTGCAGTTGTTAAGTGTGCGTTTTTGTTACAACCATTGTATTACATTAGAACCCCAAACCCCAAATGAATCAGTAGCTCAGAAGTAATCCATTGAAGCATAAAAGTAGGGATGAAAATAGTAACATCTATACTATAATTTAGGATAGAATTATAAACATAAATAGCAAAGAAGACCCTGATAAAAATGTAGAATGTGAATCTGTATGTCCTTAGACAAGCAAATTTTTTCAGTTTGATGTTTTTGCATAAGCAGCTATAAATGGAAAATGTAGACAGGTAATATGATGATGAATATCTGACAGATTTCATTTGGCCAGTAATTCTCTTGCCCCTATCCTTAGTGCTTTCTTCATAATGAAACCATGTGAAATAGTGGCATAAAGCCATCAAAGCTTCATGCCATTTTTTTAAAGCAGTGATTTATTGAGCCAGTTCAGGTTTCCTAAAACAAGTACGAAATGTAATTCTTTCTGATATGAAATGAATGAATTTTTAATTTTATCTTGAAAAAGAGGACCAAAACTTAAGCCAAAAAGAAGTACTAGTCACAAAAATTGCTGAGGAACTTGTGAAATCATCCACAGAATTAATGACAAGTATTATGCTCTGAGAAGGAAAAATTGAGCAAAATTTCCCTATCAAAGGAAACTGAAGGATCCAGCCTGGGCAAACATAGTGAGACCTTGTTTCTGCAAAAAATAAACAAAATTAGCCAGGTGTGGCAGCACATGTCTGTAGTCCCAGCTACCCAGGAGGCTGAGGTGGGAGGATCACTTGAGCCCGGGAGGTCTAGGCTGCAGCGAGCTGAGATGGTGCCACTGCACTCCAGCCTAGGTGATGGAGCTAGACCCAGTGTGGGCAAGCAAGTACCATCATGTGTAGTAGCATATAGTTCACCTTCTAGTTGGACAGAATCACTGCCATAAACAAAGTAAATTGCTCTTGGCATATGTGGGATACATATATGAGGTAAAAGTTTTTGACAGCTTTTTATTCTATCATCAAAAATTTAGGCTGGGCGCGGTGGCTCACGCCTGTAATCCCACCACTTTGGGAGGCTGAGGCGGGCGGACCACCTGAGGTCAGGAGTTTGAGACCAGCCCGGCCAATGGTGAAACTCTGTCTCTACTAAAAATACAAAAATTAGCTGGATGCAGTGGCGCGTGCCTATAGTCCCAGGTACTCGGGAGGCTGAGGCTGGAGAATAGCTTGAACCCAGGAGGCAGAGGTTGCAGTGAGCCGAGATTGTGCCACTGTATTGCAGCCTGGGTGACAGAGTGAGACTCCGCCTCAAAAAAAAAAAAAAAAATTTATTCCACAAGAGAGGACATTTTTTTTCACTTAATTATTTTATGAGCTTGATCTAAACTGGCAAAGATGATTTGGGTGTGAGTGGCCAATAAGGGTGCTGTTACTTGCTTAAAAGAGGGTGCATCTGAATATCAGTCCACACACTGCTTCATCAAAAGAACAACAGTTAGGGGAAAGCCTCTTGATCTTGATTATATTTCTAAGGAATAGTGAAAATTAGGAATGTAGTTAGTTGGCAACCACAAAGTGTATGTCATTTCAACATACAGTTTAGAAAGCAGGAAAGTCCAAGACTGCTTTTTCTTACCAGACTAATCTGGCTGTCAAGGGGATAGGTGCCCATCTCAGTTTTTGAAATAAGAAATAATATAAAAACATTTCTTCAGGACTCTGAAGTTACCAGTAAATGACATTTCTATGTTCTCAAGTGGCTTGCTGAAGAAGTTTATTTTCAAATAGGCTGAACCTATCACTTCAGGCCAAAGTAGGATAATATCGAGGATAAGATGTCAGGACTTTTAAAGATCAAATTGTGGTATAAATAACTCTACAGGAGTATGTCTTTTACAATTGAAGATGTTCTTTATTCATCAGAGAAATAAATTGATAATGTATTATTTGGCATATTTAGAAACTGCATGCAGTAGTACAACAGAAAATGAAGACACACTTTTCAGACCACATGCAAGCAAAGAAAAGAATAGAAATCAATTTGTTTCCCTCTCTGGCTTGAAGAGTCTTAACGTTCCATCTTCAGGGCCCAGTATTTTGACCAGCTTAGTTTCTGATGGAGCCCTAAGAGTGGTCTTCAGAGAGAAATTGCTCCATAATTTTTAGGTTCATGTGTGATTGAAAAATCATAGTATTCAGCAGAAACACCTGCTGTCATTCCTGAAAATCATTTAGCTGTGAGTTAGCATTGTGGCAGTATAAATGTGAGAAACTGACCTAGTCGTGACAAGTGAAACACTCAGGATTTGGAGCTTGTTAAATGGGAGGCTCTTTAAAACTCTCTGCATGTTTTGTGAGTATGAAATCCTCTTCTTTTTAAGAGGATTTTTCTGTGGGGCGGGTCACTCGGATCACACAAGATACTGATTTCTGTCATTGAGAAAGAAGATGTAGACCCCAGTCCTTCTCTTTTGGCCCTGTTAGACCAGAGAGCCTCTAGAGCAAACTTTCTAACCTGTGGCCCAGGATGGCTTTGAATGCGGCCCCACACAAATTCGTAAACTTCCTTAAAACATCATGAGTTTTTTTTGCGATTTTTTTTTTTTGAAGCTCATCAGCTATCATTAGTGTTAGTGTATTTTATGTGTGGCTCGAGACAATTCTTCTTCTTCCAATGTGGCCCACATTGAAGGAAGCCAAGAGCTTGGACACCCCTGCTGTAGAGGATCTCCATGGCTGCTTAGAGAATGCCTGCTCTTGTGCATTCATGAGACCCGCCCATTGGGCTGGCTTTCCCTAATGTCCTACTAGGAACTGGCAATTGGCTTTGTGAGAACCCAGACTGAAGCATATTCTTCTTTTGTTTCTCTGGCACAGAAACTTGCCTTCATGGTGTCTCTAGGGTTGGTAACACATGACCATCTAGAAGGTAAGAGAAGATATTCTTGGCACTGCCTTTTTTTCTGGCCCACAGCTTTGTTCCTGAAAATGATGTTTGATTGAATTCCTGGAATAGAAAATTGGAACACAAATAGAGTATGATTCAGCCAATGTGGACTTTATTTCCTTTAGTGGGAAAATTGCCTTCCCTCTGTCTAATGTTCCTATCATTATCCACACTACTGTCCTGGGAAAACCTCCCCAGTTGCCTAAATTCAGGTGACTTCTGTTCATTTAGGGGAGCTCTTCTTTTTCTGAACAGCACAGCGAAGTGCTCTTCTGATAAGCCTTTATATTTTCTGGTCACTCCAGGTTATCAGAATGTTGACAACAGTTACAAAGCTATACCTGTCCTGATTATTTAATTCAAGAATGATGAACTTTGGTTACTCAGTTTAAGTCTTATGGATAAAGCTCATCCAGACCTATATATACAGCAGTCTAAAAATCAGGACAACTTGTTTACAAGTGTTGTCTATTGTTAAACTCTCAACAGAGAACCACGTGTAGGACAGCGTGGTCTTGCAGGTGAGAGTAGATGGTCCTACATATTTGCTTCCAGTAGTGTGCTTGCCTCTGCTGAGGCTTCAGTGAAACAGAGACTTGTCCCTGATTCTGATTTCTTATGGGAAAACCAATAGATAAAACAATGAAGTTAAGTTTTTTAGGTTCTCCATGCCTCTCTGCTAATGAAAACCTTTTCTTCTCTCAAGAAATCCAAAGCAAGAGGCAAGAGCGAAAAAGAAGAACAACAGCAAATCCGGTCTACAGTGGAGCAGTCTTTGAGCCAGAGGTATTACTGGCCAGCATCTGGCCCTTCCCTCATGTTCCAGTTTTATTTATGAGCTGTTCAGTGCCTCCCCTCTGAAAACCTGCTGAAGAGCAGCACCCTGATTGTACTTGGCCAGTTCTGTGAAGTGGTAGATTTTTTTTGACTTATCATTTTTATTAGTCACTGCTTACCCCTTAGGTTTTTTTCCTAAGTTTCAGCAGATACATGCCTACCTTAAAATTTTAATTCACCCTGACTTCAATACAGCTGTCATCGGCAACAGAGGCAGGCTTCTCTGAGAGAGTCTCTGAGAGCCAAGTACATACAATAAAACCCTTGAGCATTGAGACCTTAGGATGATTAGCACTAACTAGTCGGCATGTTGACAGTCATGCCATGCTTGGTCTTTAGCTTGTGCCAGTATTAGTAATAACCACACTACTCAACAGTCACCTTTCCTCCTTCAACCCTCAAAGCGTAAGAAGAGTGCAGTGACATACCTAAACAGCACAATGCACCCTGGGACCCGGAAGAGAGGTGAGGACCTTTTTGTATCTCTCCCTTGCTGCTGTTGCTTTTGCTTTGTGTGTGTGTTTCTTCTCCTTCCCTCCTCCCATCATTATAGGACCTAACTCCTCTATCCTTTGAAAATAGTTTTGTTGTTGTTCTCTGAGAATGGGAGAGAAAAGAGAATGAGATTTCTTATTAGAGTTCTGTATGCTGAATCAAAAGCTGACTTTACTAGGATTCTGGCAAAGCTGACTCAGGGGAATGGCTTAATGTAGCATTTCTGCCCCAAGCCTGCCAGGCCATCCATGAATAGCACAGTGAACAGAACCCCATGTAAAAGGAAGCATTTGAGAGTCATTAAGCAGAACAGAGCACTGCCATTGCCAAGGTGTTCCTAATAGCGTCTTGGTTGTCCTGCTGCCGGCAAGGCCAGAGTGTGACGCTGAGTTTCTTGGAGCTGCAGACTTTCCAGGAAGGAAAGAGGTAGCCACACTTGAGAACTTAGAATCTTTGAGAAGAGGGCATCTCCAACTAAGGAAGAAAAGGTCACTCTCAAAACAGGCTCCCTAAAGAACAGATTCCTAAAGAGCTCCAATCCCATATTTCAGACCTTCCCATGGACATTCCAGAATCTTACTCTTAGGCAGAGCAGAAAAAATAGCAGTAGCAGCAGCAGTGTCTCTCACCATGCAAGTCTAAATAGGTCTTAACAGCTCAGGGTTTGAGCTCATAAACAAGGTACTGAAATTTTTCTTTGATGTCAGTAATACATCCCAAGATCCTTTTCTCCACATGGTAATGTGTCCCTGAATTATAGTTGCAGGCTAGAAAGGTTGCAGAGTGAGCGGAGTAGCATACTAATTTTTGCATGTGCACACACAGTCTCAGAGCTACTGGAAGCTCAGGAGGTCATCCTGACCCTTTGTCTGCCTTAGGCAGGACTACACTATTACCATTCCCTCTCCACAAAAGAGATATACCCACCCTTAGTAACCCATTCTAATGTTTCATCAGTCCTGTCCTTCAAGTACTCAAAAATATTTAGATGGGAAACCCTAAGTCATGGCTTTATATTGATTCCTGGGCCACAGTAACCAGTACTCTAAGTTATTTTTGTTTTGTTTTGTTTTGTTTTGTGCTTGGTGATTTTTTTAGTGACCCCTGATGCAGTTCTCGGAAAGGAGCCCCCCAGCCAGAAGCCACAATAATTGGCCTGATAGTGGGCAGTATCTGCTAAGAGGACAGGGGTTAAATGAGCCAGAAAGACCTTGGCATCTCTTGCTAAGGTCAGAGGATAAAAGCTTGCATCCACAGTGCCTAGGATATGCCTTTTGTGGGTAAACAAGAGAGCATTCATCTTGTTCTTCCCCTTCCAGCAGCACTGAACTCCCTAGAAAAGATAAACCAGTACGATCTGTCTTTGTACTATAGGCATCACCAATTTAATACAGAGAGGTAATATTTTTGTAACATCTGACAGAATCATGACTCTTGTGCATAATCCTAATATAAATGATAACTGTTGGCAAAGTCATGATCCTACATACCATTTACCAGTGCTTATAGGCAGTTTTGTATCTCTCTGGCCCTTTTTTTTCCTTTGGTGTGTTGGGCATATACTTTTGATCACTCATAGCTTAGAAGCAATGACCTTGCCCCTAGAAGACAAGGGCCCTGACTTAGATATGTGGTAAGGCAAGAGTGGCTGACCTAGACTTTCTGTACCCACAGGGCTCATTCAAGTTCCTTTGTAGCCTTGAAGTTTGAGTCAAAATGCTCTTACACAAATCAGGTCTCTCAGTTAGGAGTGCTGATGGGAGGGCCTTTCCTGAGACTTTTAAACAGCCCCAATTTTTAGAGATGTAGTTTATCAGGATGTTTGTCATGTAAAGTGGGGGAGACAGCTGCCAGTCAACTGGGGAGGGTATCCAGGGACAGAAATACTTAAACATTAATTGCTAAGCCCAGAGCATCTTTTAAGCTCTTAGGTTTCAGCTACTCCCAGAACATGCCTCTCAATAGCTCTAAAAGCAAGGGATAAGAATAGTTAACTTGAATTTTGCCTCCTTGCTTTGCCGGTCTCCACCCTCATAAAATGCAGACAGAATAGAGAAGGAAAAGCAGAAATCCTAAATAAATCAGTTTGTGGGAACTGAGAATCATTAAAGTATTGTGAGAATGCTGATTGCAGAGAAACCTTAGAGAACAGTATGCAAGATATGAAAAAATAATAAATTCGGCCAGGTGCGGTGGCTCACACCTGTAATCCCAGCACTTTGGGAGGCCAAGATGGGCGGATCATGAGGTCAGGAGATCGAGACCATCCTGGCTAACACGATGAAACCCCGTCCCTGCTAAAAATACAAAAAATTAGCTGGGCACACGCCTGTTGTCCCAGCTACGTGGGAGGCTGAGGCAGGAGAATGGCTTGAACCCGGGAGGCGGAGGTTGCAGTGAGCCGAGATCGTGCCACAGCACTCCAGCCTGGGTGACAGAGCGAGATTCCGTCTCAAAAAATAAATAAATAAAATAAACTCATTCCTGGCCCTGGCTCCCACTGGGCTTTGACATCTTGGTTCTTGCACTAGAAATCTCAAATTGCAATAGTCCAGGAACTTCACCACAATCTGCCCAAGGTGAGGTCTTTCTACATAAGCCAGCACCTTCTGTCATTCTCCAGAGCTCTCTTATCCTCCCTTCTCTTGAGAGTCATATAGTTGTTTCTAATGACATTTAAATCTTTGCTTCTCTTCCTTCCTTTGGGACTGTTGAATTAACCTTCTGTCTGCTACCTCACTTCCTTTTCCATGCTAGCCAATGAGGAACACTGGCCAAAGGTATGTAAGATCATTTTCCCCCTCTCTTTCCCTCCCCGTTTTTCCCTTTTGTTCCCTTCTCTTGGTATATAGGTCGTCCTCCAAAATACAATGCAGTGCTGGGGTTTGGAGCCCTTACCCCAACATCCCCCCAATCCAGTCATCCTGACTCCCCTGAAAATGAAAAGACAGAGACCACATTCACTTTCCCTGCACCTGTTCAGCCTGTGTCCCTGCCCAGCCCCACCTCCACAGACGTAAGTAACTTGGGAAAAGCACACTGTCTTTCTGAGAGCTTAAATTGGGAAAAGCGTTATCATATGTTGTCTCCTTATCGACTTGCACCTTCTTGACTAACCCTGGAACAGCAATTAAACACTATAGAATGCTTTTTATGCCATGTAAGGCAGCTTTCTTCTGAGTTTCCAGGCCTTCCATGTCCTTGAGAAACATGTTAAATATAACCTCATGGAACTCAGCCAGCCTTCAGAGTCTGAATTTGATCTACTGTGAATGAGTTCTCAGAAAACAGATGGGGTGGGGAGATCAGCTCATACAGTTGAGAGGTGTGCAGGTTTCTATCATCAGTGTTTTGGGAGTGGGGAAAATGAACAAGACATACAGTCCCCCAGCAGCCCTTGTTTGCTGCTTCAAATACAATTCCAAAAGTGGAAAGTTTTCTTTAGAGCAACTGTTGATCAGAAACTGTTGAGCAGAAACTCTGCTCTTTAGAGCAGAGTTGATCAGAAACAGGTTCCGGAAAAACTGTCAAATACTTAGTAGCCCTTCACCCACAAACTGCAGGAATGTGAACTAGTGCTCTAAATGTTTAAATGAACCTCAACAAAGCTCAGAATTCACTCAGCAGATACTCACTGAGCGCTACTCTGCTGAGCAAGTGCTATTCTTGAGGCTGGGGATACAGCAGGGAACAAAACCAACTCCCTGTCCTCAAGGAGCTCATCTAAAGAGGCAGATAATAAGAAAGTGAATATATAATGTCAGGTAATGATAAGTGCTATGAAGAAAAATGGGGCCGGGCATGGTGGCTTATGCCTGTAATCCCAACACTTTGGGAGGCCGAGGCAGGCAGATCATCTGAAGTCAGGAGTTCAAGACCAGCCTGGCCAACATGGCGAAACCTGGTCTCTACAAAAACACAAAAATTAGCCGGGCATGGCGTGCTCCTGTAATCCCAGTTACTCTGGAGGCTGAGGCAGGAGAATCCCTGGAACCCAGGAGGCGGAGGTTGCAGTGAGCAGAGATTGTGCCACTGCACTCCAGCCTGGGTGACAAGAGTGAGACTCCATCTCTAAAAAGAGATCAAAAATGGAATGGATTTAAGGGCATATAGCATACTGGCAGGAGGCTGATGTTTATGAAGAGTGGTGAAGCCTCGGGAGGATCTGGGGGAAGAGCCTGCCAGGCAGAGGGAACAGCAGTGCAAAGCCCTGAGGTGGGAGTGTACATGGCATCCTGAAAGAAAAGCAAGAGGGCCAGGATAGCGGGGGCAGAGCAAGCTGGCCAGGGTGGTGGGAAATGAGGCCTCAGAAGTGGCTGGGCCAGTTGCGCAGGGCTTTGTGGCTTTCGTTCTCAGTAAAATGGGAGACCATTACAGGGTTTTGGGCAGAGGAGTGACATAATTTTTCGGTATTTATTTTGAAAATTTTCAAACCTACAGAAAAGTTACAATAATGGTACAAAGAACCAATGTATATCCTTCACATTGATTCATCAGTTGTTAACATTTTGCCTATGCTTCTCACCTACCATACACACTTATTTTAGGGGAACAAGGTAACAAGAAGTTGCAGACTTCATGAATCTTCACCCTAAAATATTTTGCTATATATCTCATAAGAGCAAAGATACTGTCTTATGTAGGTACAATGCATTTATCAAATTGAGGAAATTTAACACTAATAAAATATTACTATATAAAATATACAGTCCATATTCAGATTGCTCCATTTGTCCCTTACTTACTTTTGTGACACTTTGTTTTTCCTGCTTCAGGGTCCAATTCAAGATTACTCTTGACATTTATTGTCATGATATTGTCTGTTTGGTAATCCTTTATTTTGGAAGAGTTTCTCAGTCTTTGTCTTTCATAACATTGACGTTTTTAAAAAGATAGCCAGTTCTTCTGTAGAATGCCTCTCCGTTTGGATTGTCTGATTTTTTTTCTCAGCAGTAGATTCAGGGTATGCATTTTTGCAGGAGCACTAATAAGTGACGATGGGTCATTATCAGGGCATCACAGCAGGGGGCACGTGTTGTCAGTCTCTTCTGTTGTTGGTGATGTTAACTTTCATCTCCTAAGATAGTTTCTATCAGATTTTTCCACCTGTAAATGTGCCTTTTTCCTGTGGTGGAGATAGCTTTGAGTCTGTATGAATATCCAGTTTCCCAACAAACTGTTATCTA
The DNA here is from genome assembly GCF_000001405.40 of Homo sapiens. Lineage (NCBI taxonomy): Eukaryota > Metazoa > Chordata > Mammalia > Primates > Hominidae > Homo > Homo sapiens. The sequence continues at coordinate 45,943,669 of NC_000011.10, read as the reverse complement.
ATGATAGCATCCTTTAATGATTCTTGCTTGCATTTATTATTTTTAAGATGTATGCAAAATCAACTTGGATTTTAAAAAGGATCACTGTGTCTAAAATATGCAGAAGAAAAGGGCCTATAGGGAAAATAGGATGGAAGCAGGAAGACCAGTTAGGAGGCTTTTGCAGTTGTCCAGGCAAGAGATGATGATGGGCAGGCACGGTGGCTCACGCCTGTAAATCCCAACACTTTGGGAGGCTGAGGTGGGTGGATTGCTTGAGCCCAGGAGTTCAAGACCAGCCTGGACAACATGGCAAGACCCCTGTCTCTACAAAACATTAAAAAATTAGCCAGGTGTGATGGCAATATAGTGAAACCCCGTCTCTACTAAATATACAAAAATTAGCCGGGCATACTGGTGTGCCCCTTTAGTCACAGCTGCTTGCAAGGCTGAGGTGGGAGGATCACTTGAGCATGGGAGGCTGAGGCTGCAGTGAGCCATGATTGCGCCACTGCACTCCGGCCTGGGTGACAGAACAAGACCCTGTCTCAAAAAAAAAAAAAAAAAAAGGAAAGAAAGATGATGATGATGATAGCTTGGAAGAAGCAGAGATGGAGAAAAGTGATCACGTCTGCATATATTTTGAAGAGCCATCAGGATTGAATATAGGTTATGAGAAAAAGAATGGTCAAGGAGAAAACCAAAGTTTTTGGCCTAACTGACTAGAAAGATGAAGCTTCCATTTACTAAAGATTAAGAGAGGAGCAGATCTGAGGAGGGAAATAAAGAGTTTCATTTCACACATGTTCCAGTTATTTGGTGAATTACAGAGCTTGTCATTGACCATCCTAAGATAAAATGTCCCTTGAACTTGAAGGTTCTCAGAACCTACTAGTGGCACACCCCTCTCCAAGGAGCAGCAGAATACCATATGAATATTCTGAGTTAAAATTCCAGAGGTAACAAAGAAAGTGTTACCTTTGGAGGACTAGGGTCATAGAAGAATTCTGTTCTCTTGACAGGTTTCCTTGTTTCCTTCCTTAGACGTCGCTGGTGGTTACAGATTCATCATTCTCTAAAGATTCAGCATTTTGTCTCGCTTTCCTGACTTTTGGCATTAATAATTGACACAGGTTTCCTAACTGTCCTGTTAATGAGCAGCAGGGTCTCTCTCAGAAATCTTGTTTGCTAGCGCCAAAGATTGTCCCAACTTTTTCTCAGTTGAAGTATTGCCAAAGGATCACCAGCTCATTGGCCTCTTGGTAGAGCTCTCCCTCTAGGGTGGTACACAAATGCTAGGGGACAGTTGATTTTGTGGTTCTGCATGTGAGTCTCTCTCCTAAACAGTGTTGTTTTTGTTGTATTTTTTGGGTCAATTGGGATTATGGTTTTCTTTGAAAGATTGAACCCAAAGGATCCACTCATCAACTCACAAACTAAGAGCTTCTGCCAGGTTTTTTTAAAAATTGAAACATTCTTTTTCTTTTCAGAAATCTACAGGTAAAAGAAAGCTTTTCTAAAGAACTCCCTAAGTTAAACTCAGCAGAAGGTATTTTTAAGATAATTGACTTCTCCTTTTACAGTATCCCAGTAGTGGCAGTGATTAAAATCAACACACAGGTCTCTGTATGTTTGCTGCTGGGTAGCATAAGTTCCAACAACATTAATTAAACAATAACACTTGAGAGGCAGGCATTTCTAGGGATCAATAACCATTTTGAGGGACTTGGTATAATACAAAACCTACCAGACACTAATCCTCTGGATGTACCGTGTTGCCACTATCATCATTTTTATGAGAAGGGAAGATACGTTAACATAATTATAAAAATTGTTTAGCACATGATGAAATTGCAGTTGGTATTGCCAGAGTGCTTCCTAAAAACATACGTCCTCAGCGCCTAGCAAAGCATCATGGGCCAGCTGTTTTTCAACTTACCTACCGTCTGGTTTATAGTAATAATTTGGTCAGTCATCAAAGCCTAAGCATTTTGACCTGGTATGGTGCCTCCGTAGGACTTCCTCTGCTCTTTTTAGGCAAAGAGCCGGTTCTGTATGGGTAAAATGTTTTGGCATTTTATATTCATTTCTATGGGCAGCAGTTCTCAAAGTGTAGTCTGGGAGTCCCCGAGACTCTTTCAGGGAGTCATAAAATCAAAGCTATTTTCATAATGATACTAAACCATCATTTGCCATTTTCATTCTCATTCTCTCAAGACCGAACAGTGGGGTTTACCAGATATTGCATGATGTGTGATGATGTCACTCTGGCAGCTAATGGAATGTGTACCTCTGTGTTTTGGAGTTTAAAAATGTTTTAATATGCTTTGTTTGTAATTTTTCATGGTTCTGTAATTCAGAATTGAAAGTTTTTACCAGCCTGGGTAATAAAGGGAGACCCCCATCTCTACAAAAAATAAAAAAATTAGCCGGGCATGGTGGTACGCACTTGTAGTCCCAGCTACTTGGGAGGCTGAGGTGGGAGGATTACCTGAGCCTGGGAGGTCGAGGCTGCAGTAAGCCAAGATCACAGCACTGCACTCCAGCCTGGGTGACAGAGCCAGACCCGGTCTCAAAAAAAATTGTTTTTTAACTGCTATTAACAGTAAATATTAATAGATATAACTCATATAAAAGCTCTCTGGGATCCTCAGTAACTTTAAGAGTGAAAAGGGATCTTAACACCAAAAATTATAGGGTATATACACCAGATAGGAAGTTTCCTTTGGGAACTTAAATAAATTATTTAATTTTTATTTTCTGTCTTTCTGCCTTCTGTTTCTTGATGTGCTCCTTGCTCAGGAGCAAAGGAAAGTGAACGCCTCTTCGTTTATCCCAAGTCCGTCTGAATAAGATGCCCAGTTTGTCTCATTCACTCCATCACTGATAATTTTTTCTGTAGTTCACATAAAACAGTCTCTAAAATCACACATTTTAAATAAACTTTCTAAAGACGCAGACTCACCACTTAGGGATAAGGTTCAAGAAAGGCTGACCCTCTAGAGGAAAAGAGTAGCCCTCAGCCTGATTTTAATAATGAAGGAAGAAAATCATAGTTAATCTAGGGATGAAACCTTACCTCTTTTGGTGCCTAGAAGTTAAACTATTAGGCTACATTCACATGTAATATTTTAGAACATATGTTATCTTTTTTACTGTCCAGTGGTCACATTTTCCTACTAAGAAACATTAAAATCTGCCAGGCGCAGTGGCTCACACCTGTAATCCCAGCACTTTGGGAGGCCGAGGTGGGCAGATCATGAGGTCAGGAGTTCGAGACCAGCCTGACCAACATGGTGAAACCCTGTTTCTACTAAAAATATAAAAGTTAGTCAGGCGTGGTGGTGGGCGCCTGTAATCCCAGCTACTCAGGAGTCTGAGGCAGGAGAATCGCTTGAATCCAGGAGGCAGAGGTTGCAGTGAGCCGAGATCGCGCCACTGCCCTCCAGCCTGGGCAACAGAGCAAGAGACTCCGTCTAAAAAAAAAAAAAAGAAAAAGATTAAAATCCATCCACACTATGATGTATCTTAAAACTTGTGTAGCCTTTTTTCTGGGCTGCCAGATACCCTAGTGGATTACAGAGCAGGTTTCCCTTGGAGTGAAATTGTAGGTCCATGACGATGTGTTCCTTCACTAGTGGTGGTGGAGGGATTACATCATAGAAAGGAAGGATTCACATTCCTCTCTATTATTGCTTCTTGTGCACAATTTCTGTATTAGACCTTCTGGCAGAATAGCCAGGAAATCCACAGCAGCACATTGGCTTGACTTGCTGGGTCACCTCTAGCACTTCCCTTCAGTCTTCCCTTCCCTGGTGTTCTTATCAGTGGATTTAATCCCATCCAGAGAATGAGCTAGGCATTGACTCTCTGGAAAAGACCTCTTTAATAGCTCTTTTTTTTTTTTTTTTTTTTTTTTGGGCTATGTTCTCCTCTTCCAATTTTAAGTAGATCTGCTTTATTCTGATGGTGCCTTCTGTTCAGAGGCTCCAGCAGACTTACCTGAGTCCTAACACTATCACTGTGATGGGGGTGGTAGAGAGACAGGACCAGCAGAACAGACTGGGGCTGCTCGTCTTTTTCCAGCTGGTGAAGTTTTTATAGGGATAAAGCCTCCCAGAATAGAATGGCCCATTGAACAGCAAACACAAAATACTGGTTTTAGGAGAACATTGTCAGCTGTTGCTTTGGCTTTTTAAATTCTTCATTTTAGAAAGAACTCGCATATGAATTTAATTTGTTTCTGACTTAATATTTTCCCATTTGAACTTTCACTGTATTTTTTTCTTCTTGAGCAAGCAAATTCAGGAAAACTCCAATATTTGTCTGTCTTCTTTCCCAGTCCTTCTAAACTCCCCCTAGAATTGATAGGTGATGAGAATTGTTTGTATCATATTGTGAAACACTTTGATGAATGGATTTCCGTACCTGTAAGATTTATGATATGTAGGTTGTCCTCTACCAAAACATAATAAAACTCTTAGGTATCGCCTATAATGTTAATTTTGGCCTTGGCGACTATAGACCTCTCCTGTAAACTTTAAGAATACAGTAGTCCCGGCCGGGTGCAGTGGCTCACGCCTGTAATCCCAGCACTTTGGGAGGCTGAGGCAGGCAGATAGCCAGGTCAGGAGATCGAGACCATCCTGGCTAACACGTGAAACCCCGTCTCTACTAAAAATACAAAAAATTAGTCGGGGGTGGTGGCAGGTGCCTGTGGTCCCAGCTACTCTGGAGGCTGAGGCAGGAGAATGGCGTGAACCTGGGAGGCGGAGCTTGCAGTGAGCTGAGATCGCGCCACTGCACTCCAGCCTGGGTGACAGAGCGAGACTCTGTCTCAAAAAAAAAAAAAAGAATACACTAGTCTCCCCCTTATCTGAAGTTTCACTTCTTATTGTTTCAGTTACGCATAGTCAACTGCAGTCTGAAAATATTAAGATGTTTTGAGAAAGAAAAAAGAAGATAGACCTCATTCCCATCTTTTATTACAGTATATCGTTATAATTGTTCTGTTTTCTTAGTCACTGTTGTTAATCTCTTATTGTGCCTAATTTATAAATTAAACTTTATTGTGGGTCTGTGTGTATAGAAAAACATATTTATAGGGTTCAGTACGGAGGTTTCAGGCATCCACTAGGGGTCTTGGAACATATTCCCCAAGGATAAGGGGGGACTATTGTACTGTCCCCACCCAGGGAGCCTTAGCTATGTGGAGTGAGTAGGGGCATGTGCTATTGGTGATTCCTGCTTCTCTTGAGTACTCCTGGAACGAGGCAGCTGATTGTCCTAAAACATTTATATGCATCTAGAATGTGCATGTTAACATTAAAATTTTACCTTTTTTGTCCTTTTTCTTACCTTTCCTCTCAACTTTATAGGGTGATATTCATGAGGATTTTTGCAGCGTTTGCAGAAAAAGTGGCCAGTTACTGATGTGCGACACATGTTCCCGTGTATATCATTTGGACTGCTTAGACCCCCCTCTGAAAACAATTCCCAAGGGCATGTGGATCTGTCCCAGATGTCAGGACCAGGTACTGTGGGTGGGTCCAACAGGGGAGGGGCCGAGGAGGACAAAGACACGGCCATCAGGAGGAATTCCTTTCCCGGGGAAATGGCAGTCTCTTCTCTCTCCCAGTCCGTCTCCGGGCTGCATCTTCCCTGTTTATGACACAGCACGCAGGCGCATGGCCTTCATTCCCTCAGAAGCCCTCTGCCATATTACTGAGCTGGATAGATGCTTCCTTGTATTTGAAATGACTTGTCTTCTCTTTAAAAGTCAAGACCCTTTAAAGTCCAGTGTGCCTCATTCTCTAGGAATGGTCCAGACCAAGTATATGGTTTTAAAACTCTTCTTTGGGAATGAAATTAAGGGAAATTGCCCAGTTGATTAATTAAAATAACACCCTGGGCCAGGCGTGGTGACTCAGGCCTGTAATCTCAGCACTTTGGGAGGCCAAGGCGGGCAGGTCACCTAAGGTCAGGAGTTCGAGACCAGCCTGGCCAACATGGCGAAACCCCATCTCTACTAAAAATATAAAAATTAGCCGGGCATGGTGGCAGGCGCCTGTAATCCCAGCTACTTGGGAAGCTGAGGCAGGAGAATCGCTTGAACCCAGGAGGTGGAGGCTGCAGTGAGCGGAGGTCACACCACTGCACTCCAGCCTGGGTGACAAGAGCGAGACTCTGTCTCAAAAAAATAATACTAATAATAAAACAACACCCATTTCACTTTTAACCTATTTTGTTATATCAGGCTCAGAGAACTAAGTGTAAAGTGCTGTCGATATTTTATAGACTTAAAAGGCAAACATATTAGTAACTGTCCTAGCCTCCCTCGTTCTCTCTTTGGTTTCTGGTCGCCTTTTCTCAACTATGCATGTATATTTATGTCTTTATGATTTTATTATAAGCTGTCTCAAGTCTTTTTTAGAGGTAGGCAAAGTATAAATAATAAATAAGCAAGCCCAATAGCTCAGCAAGTACTGGGATTCTGCTCAGTTCTTTGGAATCCTGCTTTGAACAAATTCTGGTTTTCCCTTGTAATATTGTCCTCATCCTGCAGCCTGTGGTGCAGCGGAACACTTCTCTCAGTGTCCTCCTCCTGATGCTGCTTTGTGACCTTCTGACGATTTTTGACATAGGGTCTAGATTATACTTTAGTATTTGGAACTAATATTTAATTTTCTTGGTCAGGCTGTCTTTGAGGGACATCGAAATCTAAAATTGAGACAGGCAGCCCATGTCAGGTCAAGGACGAAACTGCCAGTGGCTGCTGCCATCATGCTGATGTGCAGCTTTTGTGTTGGTGGTTCTAGCTGTCGGGAGTGGTTGGGTGTCATGTGGCGTGTGTGAAAAGATAGGAATGCTCAGCCAAGTCCCAGCTCCTTCTAAGCCTGGGCTCAAGTGTCCTGGCTCTTCCTGCCTTGAACTTGATTCTCCTAAGCTGATATTTGGAACTTTTTAGTCCAGAAACTATAGACCAGGGTTTTGCAACACTGCTACCATAAATCCTTCCTGGATTTTATCTGCCAGTAGCCACAGATACCACTGCTAGCTGTTACATAGAGGATGTGTGTTTAAACCTCCTTCTCAAGGTAAAATTCTAAAAATCTTTTCAGATGCTGAAGAAGGAAGAAGCAATTCCATGGCCTGGAACTTTAGCAATTGTTCATTCCTATATTGCCTACAAAGCAGGTAAGGAGTTATCCATACCCACTTTTTTGTAAGCTTCCCCTTGTTTGAAAAAAATACTGGCAGTATTTGTTTTATTCTCAAAAGGGAATTTAAATTTAAAAATGAAAACCTTTTGCCCTTAACTATTGGAGGAAACAAAGCAAATGAAAACTTTTTATTGGATAAAGTGGAAAACTTCTGTAGCATTTATTATTATTATTATTCATTTATTTTTTGAGACAAGGTCTCACTGTATCAACCCAGGCTCGGGTGTTGTGGCATGATCACAGCCCACTGCAGCTTCCTCCTCCTGGGCCCAGTCGATCCTCCTACCTCAGCCTCCCAAATAGCTGAGACTATAGGTGTGTACTACCATGACCAGTTAACTTTAGTATTTTTTGGTGGAGACAGGTTTCGCCATGTCACCCAGGCTGGTCTCAAACTCCTGGGCTCAAGTGATTCACCTGCCTTGGCCTCCCAAAGTCCTAGGAGTACAGGCATGAGCCATCATGCCTGGACTGTAGCACTTCTTGGGGGAAGAAAATGAGATGTGGTATCTCATTTATGTAAAGCCAGACCCAAGCCACTGACAGTTTTAGCATACTGTACACAGAAAAAGGAAAAGTCCAGGTGGGCAGATTCTCTGCACTGGGTTGTAGGACTCATGGGAGCTCTGGGGAAAATACCTTCTTTGGCAGGCATTCTGAGCACAGAGGACATTTCAAAGAATTAATTGTCAAAAACCGTTCCTTTTTTTTTTTTTTTTTTTTTTTAGCAAAAGAAGAAGAGAAACAGAAGTTACTTAAATGGAGTTCAGATTTAAAACAAGAACGAGAACAACTAGAGCAAAAGGTGAAACAGCTCAGCAATTCCATAAGTGTAAGTAAACCTCATGCCTTCAGCAGTCGATACATAGGTGCAGAGACCTAGGCCTTTCCAATATACGTAACAGTACGTGTGGGCCCCAGGCTGTTTCGGGTCCTTCTGTTTATTAACGTGATTAACTTGGGCAAATGCAGTTTGCCATCCAGTTAGAGTTCAGACCTCAGGTACAGGCGGCCAGTTGGTAGGTGGTGCCTTACCCAAGCTCTGTAACATCCTCTTGGCTTTAATCAGAGAGAGGATTTTCAGTCTTCAGGCTGAATAAGTAACAGCTACAACAGTGTAGCCATGGCCCTGCGTATTCCTGACAGTGTGTGGGGGGAGTGTAGCGCCTCACCTGACACTGAGCAGACACAGACCAGGTCCCCTCGTGTGATTCTTCCTAGTCACCTGAGCGAGTGGGCCCATCCGTACGGCCCTCCCTCGCTCTTTCTTCCACACCATGCTGATTGCATTTCCCGGTTTTCCTGACCAGTGTGAGGAAGCGGGCTTTCTAGAGACAAGTATTGGAAGTAAGTACTGCCCAGCCCGGCCTGTCCAAGTGGGAAAGAGGGTTGTATTTGCAGCAGGGGGACAGAGGCTTCTCCCAGGCAAGGAGCCAGTCTTCTTTTCCATTGAGTAGGTCACCCTTGTTGGAGTGAAGTGACCTCAGCCCTCATGGATACCAGGTGGTGCCTTGTACTTGGTGGCAGTTGAACTGTCCTGCTTACCTGCTTTCTCCTCCTCACCATACCTACCCATGGCATGCAGATTTAACACCTCTTTCCTCTCTTTCCCTGCCTAAAATAGAAGCCAGCAGGTGTGGGAAGCTGAGGGCAAAAGGGCAAAAGACTCTAAGTCCCCGGCTGAGCAGAAGGTGTACTGGCTGCAGGCCTTTGTCCTTGGGGCTTCGATCCTCCTAAATGCTGCTGGCCTGTCGTCTCACTTCCTGCTGCCCTCAGATGGAATCCAGATAGCACTGTGTGTTTTCCACCCTGGAGAGCTCAGTCCAGTCCTGAAGGCTCCCCAGTTAGCATGACAGAAGCATATCAAAACCTGCCTAAACAGGCTGCAGGACAGCTGTGGGAACTTTTTTTTTTTTTTTAAACAACCTTTGTTTGGAAGTCTGATGGCGGCTCTGCCGGTTTGTTTTTAAGCGTTAGTACTCCTGTGTGTTGGTGCCCGCATGCTCTTTCTCCCTCTGTTGCCTCTGGGACCTGGGACCCCCCAGCCTACCCACTCCACCCGCCCTGTTCCTTAGGTGGTAGCCGCCCACTCCACTGAGGAACACAGCAAGGCCCAGGGGCTGCACAGCAGCCAGCAGAGCTTCTTCTCCCTGGGCAGAGAGAAGGCGCTCTGCTCTTAGGGGCTGCCAGGCCTGTTAGAAACCAGGCGGCTCAGTGCCACTGCCCTTGTCATTTGCTGCAGAAATGCATGGAAATGAAGAACACCATCCTGGCCCGGCAGAAGGAGATGCACAGCTCCCTGGAGAAGGTAAAACAGCTGATTCGCCTCATCCACGGCATCGACCTCTCCAAACCTGTAGACTCTGAGGCCACTGTGGGGGCCATCTCCAATGGCCCGGACTGCACCCCCCCTGCCAATGCCGCCACCTCCACGCCGGCCCCTTCCCCCTCCTCCCAGAGCTGCACAGCGAACTGTAACCAGGGGGAAGAGACTAAATAACAGAGCCCCTCTAGGAGAAGCCACGGGATCCCGGCGGCAAGGAGAACAGAACACTGAAGACTCTAGAAAAGCAAAGCCGGATTTCTGGAAAGTGCAGAATTCTTTTGGTTCTTTGGTTCCAGAGAGAGAGAAGATGCTTGTGCCAGGTGGCACCAGAGTTTGCCAATTGATCCTTCTTATTCTGTGTGTACATGCAAAGATTGGACCATGTTACATGAAATAGTGCCAGCTGGAGGTTCTTTGCCAGCACCATGCCAAGTGAAATAATATATTTACTCTCTCTATTATACACCAGTGTGTGCCTGCAGCAGCCTCCACAGCCACGATGGGTTTGTTTCTGTTTTCTTGGGTGGGGAGCAGGGACGGGCGGAGGGAGGAGAGCAGGTTTCAGATCCTTACTTGCCGAGCCGTTTGTTTAGGTAGAGAAGACAAGTCCAAAGAGTGTGTGGGCTTTCCTGTTTCTAAACTTTCGCTACTATAAAACCAAAAAAAGGAATTGAGATTTCACCAACCCCAGTGCCCAGAAGAGGGAAGGGGAGTGGCTGGAGGGAGCAGGGGGTGGGACAGTGTATCAAATAAGCAGTATTTAATCACCTCTGGCGGGGGCCTCGTGCAAGGGGAGACTGACACCAAGAACAGCCAGTAGGTTCTTCTCCCCTGCACTCTGCTCCCTGCGCGGTAACCCCACCACTCCTGAAGCCTGCCCAGTCTCCTTCCTTCCCTGCTTGGTGAGTCGCGCATCTCCGTGGTTATCCCGCTGTCTCCTCTCCAAGAACAAGCAGAGCCCGGGCCACTGGCCCTTGCCCAAGGCAGGGAAGAAGGATGTGTGTGTCCAGGAAGGAAAAAAAGGTGGATCAGTGATTTTACTTGAAAACAAGCTCCATCCCTTTTCTATATTTATAAGAAGAGAAGATCTTGAGTGAAGCAGCACGCGACCCAGGTGTGTGTGAATTGAATGGAGACGTTTCTTTTCTCTTTCTTTAATTTTTGTTTTTGTTCTTTTTTTCTTTAAGGAAAGTTTTATTTTACTGTTCATTTTACTTTCTTGGTAACAAAAACTAAAATAAGGAATAGAAAAGCTGTTTTTCAGGCTGACAGTCCAATTAAGGGTAGCCAAGACCTTGCATGGTAGAGTAGGAATCATAGTGTCAGTGAGGTCCCGTGAGTCTTTGTGAGTCCTTGTGTCATCGTTCGGGCACTGTTTTTTTATGCAAGGGCAAAAATCTTTGTATCTGGGGAAAAAAAACTTTTTTTTAAATTAAAAAGGAAAATAAAAGATATTGAGGTCTTCCTAGTGTTACTTAAATTAAGATCAAGGTAAGAAACATTGTAAAAAAAAATTACAAAAGTGCTATTTGTTTCCTAAAAACAGTGATTTCTATTAAAAAGGTGTCAGAACTGGAGAAAATGCCGTGTAGTTATAATTTTTTAGCACAGACCCTGCTGATCACGATGACATTTTGCCGTGTGTGTGTCTCTAGACTGGTGGGCCAGTCTCCTTGAAGGACAGAGGCGGAGCTCCCCACCCTTCTCTCTCCTCAGAAAAGACCGTGCTCTCTTCTTGGTGCAGGGATCTTGTCTCCTGTTGTGAAGCCCAAATGGAAGCGTGGATGGTATCAGGGCCCTACCCGTGGTCTTCTCAGATTCTGCTAGAGCAAAAGGCTGGTGCCTAAATAAGATCCCTTCCTTTGGTGCTGCTTTTGGTCTTTCAGCCACCAGCATTATGAGTGCCTGGGGGACACCTCCGAGGGAACTGGCCAGCGGAGCTCTGTGGTGCGCACGCACCCTGGCCGTGACAGGAGGGTGCGGGAGTACAGGCTGGCTGCATCAGCCCTTGGTGCTTAGAACAGAGGAGGAGTGACATGTTTTGAGGGTACGTCTCTGAGACAGAGCCCCAGCGTGGCCTTCGCTCTGTCTTGCCTTTGGGGAGAGGTCTGAAGCTCCCACTCCTTTCTCTGCCTGTTGGCTCCAGGCACCAGAAATTTACTCCACTCCACCCACCCACAAGCCTCCTGGGTGACCCTGGGCTAGAATTGCTGCGCTTGCCTCGGCTTGGCCGGTTGTGGCCTCTCCTTGAGAAAACCAGGGTTGTGAAAGACTCAGACCATTCTCTCATCTTGCCTTGTCAGAAGTAAATTGTGTCAGATTTGTGCTCTCGCTGGAGACCTTTGCCCCTTGCGTGCCCCTGGCCGATGGGAGGGCGGTGGAGGCTCTGTACCCTGGCCCTGCTGGAGCATCTCCCCCAAGCCCACTCCAGGCCCTGGGAATGGCCAGAGTCTAGGAGAGGTAGAAACGATCCTATCAGCTTCTCTCCCACCCAATTAGGCCCAGAGAGACAAAGACAGATCTGAAAGCAAATGCAACAGAGAAGAGACACTTCTTAGAGTAAAATGTGTCTCATCTCTATCAGCCATCGCCTTTCATCTTCCCAGGGGCCTCAGAAGAAGGAATTAAGTTAGGCTGAACAGGCCTCAGAGTTAGGCCCTGGCTGCTTGATTGGCTGAGGGGGAAAGAGTTCCCTTTTCTCATTCAGAAACCAAGGTGCTGTGTCTAGTCAGGGAGCCTTGGAGATGCCTGGACTAGTTGGAGGAATCGTTGGCAGAGGATCAGAGACCAGCAGCAGGCTGTCTGCCCTGTCTAGAGCTCTTCCCCTCAACTTGTCTGGGCCCATCTGGGGGTTGCCACACAACACCTAACTTACCTTTTCCTGAAAGAAGTTGGGAAACCATCATCACTAGAGGCCTTTGCTCAGAGAGGAGCTGCCTTAGGAGTCTTGGGTCGGAGGACGGGGCTAGGAATTGACCAGGGCTTTGCCTGCCGCCCTCAGCAGTGTCGGGTACATTCTGACCTCGCCTGCAGCTGGGCTGTGGATTCTTCCTGACATTCAGATGTGAGCTGTTTTGGGAGTCAGCTAGTATGGAGTACGAGATGCAACCCAGCCCCCAAACCTACATTCTGCACTCAAATTCCAAAACACTGCTTTACTGTAAAGAAGAGGCCCCTGGCACCCAATCTCCCTGTCCTTCACTGTCCCCTCAGACCTGGGCGGGGAGGGGGGGGGGCCTGTGACCACCTGAGACATACGCTCGTGACACTGCCCCACCCCAGCCACCTCCACTTGCTTCCTCCTCCTTCCCTCCGCTGCTCTTTCCCCACGGCCCAGAATTTAGCTGCTCTGACAGCCACTTTTGAGACCAGCTGGCTTTGTAGTCACTTCAGAGAGCTGGAGCGGCTGCCCACTGGGCCCTGACTGGGAGTCCCCTGCCAGCTCCTGATCAGGCGCTGCGCCCTGGTGGCAGTGATGACTGGGAGTCCCCTGCCAGCTCCTGTCCAGGCGCTGCATCCTGGTAACAGTGAGGCCATGTTGCTGTCATCTCCACCTCTGCATTCTTGCTGCCTGTGGGTCCTTTTTCTTTCATGGAGCCTGCTGGGTCTTGTCTCACCTGTGCTGAGCTCCTCTGGGGTTTTGATTTCTTCCTTCCTTATCAGGCCCTTTGGGGTAAGCCTGCTGGTTGTACCTGACATAGGGAGGCAGTTAGGGGCAGTCCCTGGTGGGGCCGCCCTGGCAGCCTCCAGCTGGCACCATCGTGTGCCTGGTTTCCCTGCAACACCTGCCTCTCTGTCCCTGCTGCTGCTTGGCTCAGGCCCAACAGGCAGCGTGCATGGAGGTGGTTACACACAGCTGTTTCCGTGAGGGTGACCGTGTCTGCAGCACGCTTCCGTCTCCGCATGCACGGCTGCCTCTCCAGCCACCTCTGATACTTCTCTCTTGGGGCCATCAGAGCCTCCCTTGGGCTGTCACCTCCCAGCTCACACACACTCTTCAGTGGTTTCCTCTCTTCATTCTCTTATAGGGCGTGGTCCTTCTTATTTATCTAAAGGGCTGAATTTAGGAGACTTTTTACCCAGGGGCAAAAGGCTCTTAGGGTAATGAGATGGATGGTGGCCCAGGTGCATTTTCCAGGGCCTGGGTTCTCCAGATCCCGTGGCTTCTGTTGAGTGGAGGCAACTTTGCTCTGTGTGAACCTCGCCCCTGTCCCTCTGCCGGGCACCCCTGGCAGGAAGCAGGACTCCCATCCTCACCCTGACTTAGACTGTCCTCTGAGTCAGCTCCTCTCCAAGACAGGAGTGGGCAGCCCTGGGCAGTCTTCTGGCCCCTTGCTAAAGTGAGGGGCAGGAAGCTGGGGCTGCCCTCCAGAAAGCCGGGGTAGGAACTCTGAAAAATACCTCCTCTAAACGGAAGCAGGGCTCTCCAGTTCCACTTGGCGCCCCCTCCCACAAGGCCCTTCCTCCCTGAGGACCCCACCCCCCTACCCCTTCCCCAGCAGCCTTTGGACCCTCACCTCTCTCCGGTGTCCGTGGGTCCTCAGCCCAGGGTGAGCTGCAGTCAGGCGGGATGGGACGGGCAGGCCAGAGGTCAGCCAGCTCCTAGCAGAGAAGAGCCAGCCAGACCCCAACCCTGTCTCTTGTCCATGCCCTTTGTGATTTCAGTCTTGGTAGACTTGTATTTGGAGTTTTGTGCTTCAAAGTTTTTGTTTTTGTTTGTTTGGTTTTTGTTTTGAGGGGGTGGGGGGGGATACAGAGCAGCTGATCAATTTGTATTTATTTATTTTAACATTTTACTAAATAAAGCCAAATAAAGCCTCTCAGCCTCATGGTGTTGGGTTTGGGGCAGGGGAGGGTGGGCAGGACACATTCCAGTCCCAGCCTCTGCCCTCCCTGACTGGCTGTCTGGGGGTGGGGGGCGGGGGGGTGCTTGCCCTTAAGGGCCCAGGCCCTCCTGTGACCCCAGCTGGATGTAGCACCTCCCTTGTGCACTGACGCCCTAGCCCCAGAGTGCCCTTGCTCCCCCAAACCAGGAACACAAAAAAGATGTTTTAAAACTTTAATTATGAAAAAGGGATAAACAATTCAAGATGGGGGAACCAGCCCCAAACTGGCTGGGGCAGAGAGAGACCAGTCCCCAGCCATACAATAGCAGCAAGGGGAAGACCCCACCCCACAGATGCTCTGCCCCAGCCCTTCCCAGAGACCTTAAATAATTTAAATAGCAGGGATGGCGGAGGGCAGGTTGCCCTGGTGTCTGCCCAATGCTAAGATGAGGGGCAGCGCCGGCCCAGCCTCAGCCTCGGGCAGGGCTCTGGGGCTGCTGCAGGGCTGGGAGGTATTTGAGGGCAGCAGCCCCATGGTGGCGGGACAAGTCCTGGTGGAATTCGTCCTTGAGGGCCTGGAGGCAGTCACGATAGGTGGGGCTGGAGCGGAAGCGGGAGATGTCCAGGCTTGGAGCGTGGGGCAGATGGATGGTGAAGGCCTCGGGCAGCACCAGGAGCTCATATTCCTGCAGGGTGGGGCAGAGGAGCAGTGGCTGCCTGGCTTGCCTGGCCTGCGGGGAAGGTGCAGCTCCAGAGAACAGGCTTACCCTGTAGCCCCTGAGAGCTAAAGCAAGGGCCAAAGGGCAGATTATTTTAATTCCACAGAAGGGGGACATTTCTAACAGTGTTGCCTAGTGGTGTGGTCCCCCATGCAGGTGTCGTGAGTTCCCTGGACCTGGAGGTGCTCGAGTCAAAGGTGGAGGCAGCAAGGTGCCCTCCTCACCTGGGCATCCAGCTCCACAATGTGGGCCACTTTGTTCCAGCCGAAGCCCACAAAGCGAGGATCATAGCGGGGACAGTCTCGTGGCACCACCACGTAGGGTTCATAGTTGGCCGCCCATTGCACACGGTACGGGGCCTGAGCCTCCCGCCAGCGGGCATAGTCTGTGGGTGCGTGGCCTCGGGGCCACTCGTGGTACCTGTGCAGCAGGGTCGGGTGGGAGCCAGGCTGAGGCTAGGAGCTCGTGGGTAGTGGGGGCCAGTGTGGGCAAGTGAGTGGAGTGGGCAGAGAAGTAGCCTCTCCTACCTGAAGGTGTAGAGAGTGCCCGCATCCAGCAAGGCCAACAGCTCCACCTTGGAATGGGGGAAGCTGAAGCGGTAGCGCAGGGTCTCGAATGCCGGCACCACCAGTGCTGCCTTGCGCCGGCTGCCCAGCCCCAGCTGCTCAATGGAGGCCCTGAGGAGGAGCACCCATGAGCAGGGGAGAAGAGCGGGGCATCTAGGACTGGGCCAGTGACACTCATCAGGGCATTAGCCACAGGACTAGACCACCATGGGCCATCTTGCCTGATGCGACGGGTGGGCACAACCACAGGTGGAGCTGCTGTTGAAGCCGGCCCTGGCCTCCCTGTTGACAGCCCAGAGAAACAGCCTAATACAAACCCCAATTGACAGAGGCCACTGAGGCCCAGAAAGGAGCAGGGACATGGAAGCCTGGGGTCCCACGCATGCCCCGTCCACGTCCACCCCATATATTGTTCCCCTCTCTGCCTGCAGGCCCACCTGAGGTAGTCGTAGAGAGAATAGGCAGGCAGGAAGTCAATGTCACTGAGGAAGACGTAAGGCGTGAGGGCCTGGGCCAAGGCCACGTTGCGAAGCTGGTTGACGGGGTATAGGGGCCCCTCACGGTACACCACATGGTAGGCCACGTCCTGCCGGGCAGCAAGCACTGGTGAGGCCTCGACGAAATGCAGGAACTGCTGAGCTTCTGCGTCTGTCAGGTACAAGGCCAGGCTCATGGGGCCAGGCCAGTGCCTGCACAGGGCTTCCAACATCTGCAGCCTATGGGGAGAGGGAGGTCAGCACAGCTCTGCCCCTCTTGCACAGGAGCTCAGGGAGGCCTGGCAAACCTCCCCAGTTAGCTGCTGCTGCCACCTCCTCAAGTGACTTACTGAGCACCCTTCAAATACTTTTAGAGCCAGTCTGATTGAATCTTCACAACTACCCCCACCAGGTGGGTACTTTCTCATTTGAGAGAGAAAACTAGGGGCCAGAGATATGAAGACTTGCTCATGGTCCCACAGCGACCGAGGGGCAGCTCCGGGCATCTGAATGACTCCAGAGCCCAAGCTCTTTCCACCATATCCAATGTCTCCAACTTCTGGAACTCCCTGAGGGACAGGTAGCTCACTACCACAGCATCAGGCTGCCAGATGGAACCTCCTCTCAGAAGTGTCCAACCCCAGCCCATGCCATACCCCCTGGGCTGCCCTCTGCACCCTCACCGGTCCATGGACAGCTGGGCCACAAGGGTGACATCGTGAGGCCGGGGGGGTGGCGGTTCATGGGGCAGGAAAGTGACATGCACACGGTGCACAGTGAGCTGCTGCTGCCGGAACTCAAAGCAGGGGTCTTCCTCGTCCAGTTGTGCCAGGGCCTGCTGCAACTGAGGGGGCAAGGGGTGACAAGGACCGGGGATAGGGCAGAACAACACATCCCCCAGACAAGGCTGGGTCCCACCAAAGCAGAGAGGGGCAGGGGAAGGTGACTCCTTCTCACCTGCTCAGCACCAGGTGGGGGCTGGCTGGGGCACACAAAGAGCTCTCTCCGCAGCAGGTTCCCATCGTACTCCAGGAAGGTCAGGTAGAAATTGCGGAAGAATTCCACATGCTTGTTCTTCACCCGAAGCTTCTTTGGTGAGTTCCAGTGGATCACCTGGGACCCAGGAGGGTGTTGGGGCCATGGGAGCAGGGAGCAGAAGTCTCCATCCATGGCCCCCCACCACCACACAGCCTCTTGTCCCACTCACCTTGAGGTCAGACGCCTCAGAGTAGCAGCGCTCGGCCAGTGTGTGATCTGACAGCTGCACATTCCAGACACAAGGCAGACGCTGCACTAGCCCCGGGTGCTCCTTGATCACAGCGTTGAAGATGTCCTGAGCAGAGACACCCATCACATCCCAGCCCCCAGCCTGCCACACCCCACCCGGCAAGGCTTCCTCAGACCTGGTCAGCCAGTGAGGTGGCAGGCAGGCTAAGGAGCTCCCGCCTGGCTGTCAGCCTCCACATCTGCTCCCAGCCAGCCTGCCGGAGCCGGTCCAGCCGCAGCAGGATCACACCTGCCAATGAAGAGATGCTGTCATGCCCACCTGGGACGACCAGCTCCTGGGGGACATGGGGGTCATGAAGGTGTCCTTTGTTTTTTGACATTGGTATTTTCTGACTGTTCAGACATGATCATGGACTACTTGTTTTTTGTTGTTGTTGTTTGTTTTGTTTTGTTTTGTTTTTTAGAGACAGGGTCTTGCTTTGTCACCCAGGCTGGAGTGGTGCAGTGGCACAATCATGACTCACTGCAGCCTCGACTTCCCAGGCTCAAGCAAACCTCCCACCTCAGCACCCCACCACAACCCCCACCGAGTAGCTGGGACTGCAGGCATGCCACCACACCTATCCTTTTTATTTATTTACTTATTTTTTATTTATTTACTTATTTATGTATGAGATAGAGTCTCACTCTATTGCCAAGGCTGGAGTACAGTGGTGTGAACTCGGCTCACTGCAACCTCTGCTTCCTGGGTTCAAGTGATTCTCCCTCCTCAGCCTCCCAAGTAGCTGGGATTACAGGTACGTGATACCACCCCTGGCTAATTTTTGTATTTTTAGTGTAGAAGGGGTTTTACCATGTTGGCCAGGTTGGTCTCGAACTCCTGACCTCAAGTAATCTGCCTGCCTCAGCCTCCCAAAGTGCTGGGATTACAGGTGTGAGCCACTGCGACTGGTCAATTTTTTAATGTTTGTAGAGACAAGGGTCTCACTATGTTGCCAAGGCTGTTCTCGAACTCCTGGGCTCAAGCGATTCTCCCACCTTAGCCTCCCAAAGTGCTGGAATTACAAGCCTGAGCCATTGCACCCAGCTTGCTCGTAGACTACTTTTGTCAATAGTCAATCCTCGGGGGTGAAGAGGAGGCGCTGTCCAGCTTACAGAGCACATCCATGGCCTTCTCACACTTGGTGATCCCAGGGCTGTTAAAATTATCCCCCATTTAATGGATGAGAAAACTGAGGCTCAGAGGGAGCACGAGAGCTGGCCAAAGTCATCCAGCACACACAGGACTGTTGGAACTGCTGTCTGTCTCTTCATCCAGGGTTCTTTTCACAGCAATGTTCTTCCTGGGGGACTTCCTAGCATTCTTTGCCCCACCCAGCCCCAGGGGCCCAAGGACCAGCAGACCACCCCGCCTGCCTCCCCTCACCACTGTCCCCACCTGTGTTAAATCCCCGGCCCAAGGCAGGCCAGGGCCTGTGGTTCTTCCAGAGGTTGCCCAGGTACCAGTCACTCTGGTTCTCCACAAGACCGATCGCCTGCGTGTCTGGGAGGGGAGGGCATAAGGGAGCTGTCTGAAGCTGCCACAGGACCTGGGCTCAGGGCTGGATGCAGGGATCCTGGGCAGGCCAGGCAGGCTCCCAGGCCTCTCACCAGAAAAGTGAGCAAAGAGGGCCCAGAGCTCCGAGATGTCAGAGGCGAAGGTGACATCCGTGTCCAGGACAATGACGCGGGCCAGCTCAGCAGGCAAGGCACTGGGCAGCACCAGCTTCATTAGCCCATAGAGGCCGGAGTAGTGCTTGTTGGGGATCCAGGAGACCTGGGGCTGTGTGGGGGAAAGGCAGGAGATGAGATGGCAGAGAGGGGCCTATGAGCACCAGAACACATGCTTGCAGTGACACAGAGGAGAGGGGGTAAACCCCCAAAAGAGAGGGGTTTGCGCTTCAGTAGGTGGAGGGGGGACTGATGATTCTCTTCTCCAACCCCACCAGGTCTTGGAGAGAGGAGAGCGGTGGACACAGCTGAGGGGAGGGGGGAAGGGCTGGGCCCCTGCCTTGAGCTGGTCGGCATGATAAAAGCTGACACGGACAGCAGGCACCATCCATGTGTGGAAGAGCGTCTCCAGGATGTTTCTGGCCACGGCGTCAGTCACCAAGTGGAGGTGCAGTGGATTTTTCCTTTTGGGTGGGCAAAGAGGAAGCCTGAGAGGCCCCAGCAGGAGCAACATGGGACAGCCCCCACCCCGAGGGGCGCAGAGATGGAAGCGCCATCTGCAAAGAGCTTTTCCACGCCCGGCTCAGGATGTTCTTTTTTTTTTTTTTTTTTTTTTTTTTTTTTTTTTTTTTGAGACGGAGTCTCGCTCTGTCGCCCAGGCTGGAGTGCAGTGGCGGGATCTCGGCTCACTGCAAGCTCTGCCTCCCGGGTTCACGCCATTCTCCTGCCTCAGCCTCCCAAGTAGCTGGGACTACAGGCGCCCGCCACTACGCCCGGCTAATTTTTTGTATTTTTAGTAGAGACGGGGTTTCACCGTTTTAGCCGGGATGGTCTCGATCTCCTGACCTCGTGATCCGCCCGCCTCGGCCTCCCAAAGTGCTGGGATTACAGGCGTGAGCCACCGCGCCCGGCAGGATGTTCTTACAACTGCCCTTCTAAGGGAGGAAGGGGACACTGTCCCCGCGTCACAGATGAGGAAGCTGAAGCTCTGAGACCAGCAGCCTGTCCCGGGCTTTGTCCCTTCCCCACTCCTGACCCTCCTCCACGGACACCTGGCTGTACCTGTAGAAGAGCATGGACTTCACCAGGGTGATGACGTCTCGGCTGGAGTTATGCCCCGCACACACGATGGCCACATGCAAGAGCTGGGGAGGGACGCCCAGGTCGGCAGCAGCCCCCCTTCTCCGCTAGGCGGTGAGGACCCATGTTGAGCTGCCCCACCCCGCAGCAGAGCCCGGAACAGTGTGCGGAGGGGGCAGCAGGAGCCAACCCTTCATTTCAAATGGGGAAATGAGGTCGGGAGCAGAGGAGCTGCACGTTCGAGGTGCGCCCCAGCCGGCTGGCCAGTGCTGGACAGACGCCAGGTACTGTGATTCCCGCAGATGTCCAAGAGGCCGGGCTCGGGGGCGGCGCCCCCAGGACTCCCGCCGCCAGGGCCGCGCGCACCTACCTCGCACTTGGGCGGCGGCGGCGGCTGCGGGCCGCAGTCGGAGCGGTTGTGGTCCCCGGGGCCGGCCCCCGGGTCTCCGTCGAGGGCGGCGGCTCTCCGCAGCCTCCCGTCTGGGGGGACACGTGGCATGAGCGGGCCGGGGAAGCATCCCGGGGCCCCCGCTCGCCCGCCAGGCTCGCGGCGCTCACACCCCAGGTCCCCACCGAACAGGAGGAATCCGAGCAGCAGCAGCAGCAGCAACAGCGCGGCGGCCCCCAGCGCCCGGGGGCGCCCTCGGGGCAGCATGGCCGCCGACGGGGGCGCTCAGGGAGGGACGCGACCCGGGGCTGCAGGCTCCATCGCAGGCCCTGCGGACCGAGGGGCGAGATGGGAGACTCAGCCCTGGGCGGCGGGGCCCGACGGCCGGGTTGTGCGGCTCGCGCCGAGCCACCTCCCTCACCTGCTCCAGCGGCTCCCGGGCTGGGCCCTGCGCTCGCAGCCGCCGGCCAGGGTGCGGGAACCAGGGGAGAGGCGCGGGCCGGTCCCGCCCCCGACCTGGGCTCAGGTTTCACCTCAGCGGGGCTGAGCGCGAAGGGGCGGGGTGACCCCCCCGGGGTCCTGGCCCCGCCCCTTGGGCCGGCATCCGACGGTTCCCCAGCCCGCGAGGAGCCCCCGAAGCCCCCTTCTGGGCTGAGTTTCCCACCAGGACGAGGGGAGGGCTGGGGGAGCGGGAGCAGCCACCCGCGAAGGCCCGGGCCCCGCTACCTGCCCTGACCCCCTGCCCTGCCCCCGCTCTGGGGCCGCGTCTCCTCCCCTCACTCCCCAAGGGGAGGGGCCAGTGTCCCCGGGCCCGGGATCAAAGACACTGCGGGAGCTCGACACGAGGGAGGAGGAGGGGGCCGGAATGCAGGCCGCAGGGTCTGGGACACCTGCTCTGGGGACAGGGGCGGAGCCGGCCGACACCTGCGCCAGAGCCGCGGAGCACCTGAAGCCTTCGCCTCACTCCCCCACTCTCAGTCCAGGTGGCCCGGCCGGGCCCTGCCGGCGCCGCCAGGACAAAGCGCCCTTGTGAAGGCCGCCTCCCGCCCGGGAGCTGGCGAGGGGCCCCAGACGCGGGCGGCCTAGGCTGCCTGGGCAGGGCCGGGGATCCCCACTCTTGTCCAGATCGTCGTGATTGTGCCCGGGCGCACCGGCCTGGAGCTCGTCTTTCCTCCCTCTCCCCCGCGCACCCCATAGCAGGCCAGGGAATGGGTGGGGGGCGCTCTGGACCCTAAACCAGCACAGCGTGCCAGGCCCTGTGCTAAGGATTTAATCACCCTCGATTAATCCCATGATGCGGGCTAATTCTCCCCCGGAGAGTTTAAGTGACCTGTTAGACAAGAACACCCTCCGGCCCCTCCCGTCTCAAGCGGCCCCACTCCGTTCCCCAGGCTCTGCGCTGCAGAAGCAGCTTTCTTGCTCCTCCTCCGGAAGGGTCTCCCGCCCCAGGACTTGCCCTTGACGTTCCTTCTGGCAGCGGAGCCTCCCAGGGCTGGCTAGCACTCATGGAAAGTTGAAGTTGTTTGCTTGTTTATTGCAGGTCTCCCTCCCAGAATGTAAGCTGCTCACCGGACTGGAACCTTGTCTGTCCAGTCCCCAGTGCCCAACCAGGGCCTGCACATACCAAGTGCTCAATACCTGTTGAAAGTGGATTGGAATGAGAATCTCCCCTCCCATGACCTGGAAAGGGGGCTCAGGCTGTGTCATTTGCCCAACTTCTGGCTGCAAAAAGTGAGGCAAACTCAAAAGAAGCTGTGGAAAGCAGCCCAACCTGAGACCCCCTTTCTCTGGGAGATGGGGAAGGTCAGGCTTTGGGTCTCTGGAGGGCAGGGATAATGGTTGCTATGGAGACTGATGGTGGCTCCTTGTGCACCCAGAAATTGAGAAGGGCCATGCACTGGCCACTCAGGCGTCTGGAGCTTGAGCCTCCAGCCTCCCTGATCTTCATCTGTAGCCTAAAGCTGGGGTGGGGAAATGTGATTCCCTCTCCAGGACCCTCAACAGAGACGGTTTGTGGGGGTTAAACATGTGAGACCAGGCCAGAACAGTGGCTTATGCCTGTAATCCCAGCACTTTGGAAGGCCAAGGCAGGTGGATTGCTTGAGCCCAGGAATTTGAGACTAGCCTGCTCAATGCGGCCAAACTGTATGACTGCAAAAAATACAAAAATTGCTGGGCGTGGTGGCATGTGCCTAGTACTTGGGAGGCTGAGGTAGGAGGACTACCTGAACCCAGGAGGTCAAGCCTGCTGTGAGTTGTAATCACACCACTGCACTCCAGCCTGGGTGACAGAGTGAGACCTTGTCTCTAAAAACAAACAAACACCATATGGGATCCATAGTTGGGTGCTGGCCCAGGATGAGTCTTCAATAAAGGGGCTGGGGGAGTCAGTGCAGGAAGCTGGGTCTGCAGATCTCACTGTAGTCACTCACAATGTTGGCCCTTCTTCTGGCTCAACCTCACCACTCAGGGAAACTGAAGTGCTGAGATACCTGCTAGGCCCCCAAGGGGTTGTTCTGGGGGCGTGGAGGGAGAAAGAGGGACACGTATGGGCATATAAACAGGTGCTGTTCCTCTTGGCCTAAGACCCATTTTGACCCAGCTCTGCCCAGGACTTTGCTGTGTGACCCTATTAGACGAGTGAGGCTCCATCTCTGGGCCTCTGGTACTCTCGTAGGTAAATGTTGGACTGGTCTACCTCTCTTCCCCTGTGACTTGGGGCAAACTGAAGGAGAGAGGATACGGCTCAATCTGCCCAAAGGTCCTTCCAGCCCAACAAAGACGGCCAAGCCCAGGCAGGGGGCCAGGGAGCAGGGGAGGGGCCTCCTGCACACACCGCAACTCTTTGTCTCTGGGCCCTAATCCGGCCTGGGATCTAGAGAGGAAATTCAGGCAGCCCTGCTGCTGCCAAGCTGGCTAGACCCATGCTCCCCTTCCCAGTTCTGCAGGGAGGGAGAAGAAACTGGTTCCAGCCCAAGCCCCTTCCTATTCTGTCCTGGGGAGTCTGCCCCTCTCCCCTCCACACCTTGCTCTCAGAATCAGGACCTCCAGCCCAAGGAGTGCTGAAGAACCTCAAATTCTCTCTCTGTACCCTCTCCACAGCTGCAGAGGGAGGGCTGGAGGAGTGGCCAAACTGGAGGTTTGAGGAACAAGTTCACTAAGGTGTTGGTGCACAGCAGGGCCCTGCAGGGCTCAGTGGCTCACACCTATAATCCCAGCACTTTAGGAGGCTGAGGTAAGCGGATCACCTGAGGTCAGAAGTTCGAGACCAGCCTGGCCAACATGGCGAAACCTCGTCTCTACTAAAAATACAAAAATTAGTCAGGCGTGGTGGCGGGCGCCTGTAGGCCCAGCTAATCGGGAGGCTGAGGCAGGAGAATTGCTTGAACCTGGGAGGCAAAGTTTGCAGTGAGCTGAGATTGCACCATTGCACTCCAGCCTGGGCGACAGTGAGACTCCGTCTCAAAAACAAACAAACAAACAAACAAAAAACAAGGTGGGGCAGAGGAAGGGAGAAGGAGCCTCACCTTGAGGGCCCTGAGCCTAGGTCCTAATCCCAGTTGCTAACTGGCCTTATGACCAAGGAGCCTCAACATGTCACAGCTTTTGTGGGCTGTGGGCAGTAGGAGAGAGGGCACTGCCACTGGAGACCTGCGCTGTGGCCTCTTTGGCCAGTGCCTTGCTGTGCCATGTGGGACAAATCCTTTCCCCTCCTTATTGGGCCCTAATTTCCCATCTGTGAACAGTTCATAGCAACTTGGGGCTGCTGGGAGGAGGGCAAGCAAGCCTGGAACCCAGAGCGTGGCCAGAAATGATGTCGACGATGCCCATGACCACCTCCTCTGTTCTCCAAGACCTTTGCCTCTCCTCAGGCCCCTGGTCACCTTTCCCTGGGTCTTCGTTCTTTGATGTGAGAAGAGGGCAGCTTTAATCCCCCACCTGATAGAGAAGAAAACTAAGCTGTGGAGTAGGGTGGAGTGAGGGAGTGGAAGGAAGGTTGTGGTTTCCTGGTGAGGTGTGATGCTTAGACCTGGTCTCTAAAAATAAAATTAAAGTTAAAAAAAATGAATTAAAAAAAACCGCCTAGTCTCTGAGGTCAGAAAAGACCAACACTCAAATTTTGGCTGGGCGTTCTTAAAAGGATGCTTTCTTCATCTGGAGATATCTGGTGGAGAGGATTAGGTAAAATAATGTATTACTATTCTCAGGGTACCATAAATCCGCTGGCCCGCTCCCTCAGGCCACTGGCCCACGGCTCCACCCATGTCACGCCCCTTTCCCCGCAGCCAATCAGCGCTACCTCCCCAGAGCGCCCGTTCCCTCCACCACTCGCCGCAGATCTCCCGGTGCCACCCGTTCCAGGGAGGCTGCTTGGTTTGGGAAGATACTCCCCAGGGGTCTCCCCTTCCCTTGGGGGCGCAGCTGAGGACTGCGAGGTGCGTCCGAGGGCCAGAAAGCTGAGATCGATTCTGAGTTCAAGGATCAAGTCTGCCCTCAAACCATTTTACAGATCGGGAAATCCGAGACCCAGAGAAGGGATACTCCCGCCCAAGGGCCACCGAGCCGAGAGAAGCCCGGGCCAGGGCTTTCTTCGCGTATGTGGGAATGCAGGCGCGAGCCCTTTGGGGGGCACAGTCCATACGGGAGCTGAGGCCGAAGCCGGAGCACTAACTGTGCTGTCTAGGGGATCGAGACGGCACTAGAGGGCTGGACTCCTTACTGCCTCAGTTTCCCCAGCACTACCTTTGTTGAGGAAACGGAGATGGGGATACTGGCCGAACGCGCGCCTGCTGAGACACAGTGCAACTGTATTTAGACGCCCCGCACCTCCCCAAATCTGATCGAGGCTCCTTTTTTCAAGCACCCGCTATCTCTCAGCCCTTTAAAATCCGGCCCTGCCGTTCGAGTCTCTCGGCGTTCCATTGGAAAGACTCGGGGCTCCAGCTCCCTTCTCTAGAATGAACTGCTCTGACTGCCGCCCGGCTTTACCGGAGCTTTAACTGCGCAGGCGCAAGGGCAGCCAACCCGGTAAACGGAAGAGCTGGGTGCTGACGGCGCTGGGCGGGTCAGGGGCGGAGAGCGTGCTAACCAATGACTTGAGGGAGTAGGGGGCCGGGTTTGGGCCCTCAGTTGCTAAGGGCTACCCGAGTGGGAAGCGGTTCAAGAGATGGGGTGAAGGGTGGTTCACCGGTTCTTCAAGTCCTCAGCCTTCTGGCCCGCGGAAGTTAAGCAACCAAGAGGCGGGCCTAAGACCGGAAGCAGGAAGGAGGGCGCAGGAAGCAGGGCGCCGCAGCCTGTCGTACGGTCCTTCTGTGGGTCTGTCGGTGCCGAGGGCAGGATGGAGAAGCTGCGGCTCCTGGGCCTCCGCTACCAGGAGTACGTGACTCGTCACCCGGCCGCCACGGCCCAGCTGGAGACAGCAGTGCGGGGCTTCAGTTACCTGCTGGCAGGTGCCACCCTGACCTTTGATCAGTTCCTTCTGGGCCCTGACCTATGACCCCAGTGGCCCCCTTCCCTGCGGAGTCAGGGTAGTGATCGCTGTGCTTGAGAAGACCCGTCCAGGTTCCCAAAGGGCGTAGGGAGGGGATTTCCGGGACCCGAAGACGAAATGTGAGGCAGATGCTCACTCACACCTCCTTCTGTACCCTCTCCCCAGGTCGATTCGCCGATTCGCACGAGCTGTCAGAGCTGGGTGAGCCGGGCTCTGGGGGTGGGGGATGGGGGATCGGCTGCCTGGCCCCTGGTGAGTTCCCCAGAGAGGGTGAGCACCCCAGCCCGAGGACCTGGGCTGCCCGTTAGACACCTTGTGCTATGACTGAATCGGCACAAGGTCTGTTGTTCATTGTCCTGGGCCCTCCATGTCCCTAAGTCAAGAGACACGTCTGGGGACCTTATCTGAGTATTCACTACTGGCCAGGCGCTGGACTAAGTGCCTTTCTTACCTTTACTTGTTAATCCTCCCTACAGTCATATTAAGTGGTACTTATTGTCATCACTGTCCATTTAAGGAAGAAGCTCAGTGAGGTTAGAGAACAGTCACTGATGGTCCCAGAACCAAGATTCAAGTCTAGATCTCCCAGATTCCAGGATTCCCAGATTGTAACTACCTCAAGAGTGTTTGCCCAGTGACTGCTGTCACAGTCCTGAAAGAATGCACTGGGTTTTGAAAAGCAGAGGTGAGGCCAGGTGCAGTGGCTCACACTTGTAATCCCAGCACTTTGGGAGGCAGAGGCAGGTGGATCACGTGAGGTCAGGAGTTCGAGACCAGCCTGGCCAACATGGTGAAACCCCATCTCTACTAAAAATACAAAAATTAGCTGGGCATGGTAGCAGGTGCCTGTAGTCCCAGCTACTTGAGAGGCTGAGGCAGGAGAATTGCTTGAACCTGGGAGGCAGAGGTTGCAGTGAGCCGAGATTGTGCCATTGCACTCCAGCCTGGGCAACAAGAGTGAAACTCCGACTCAGAAAAAAGAAAAGTGGAGGTGGAATAGACCCTCAGGAACAGGCTGCCAAGAGAGAAAGGGCCAGGAGGTGGGACCGTGTATCTGTGGCAGTTCAGAGAGCGATGGGCAGTTGTGGGCAGCTGGATGACCAGTGCCATCCAGCAGGGCAGTAACTGGCTTGTCACTGAGATTGACCCATCCTTTCTTGGTCCAGCCACCCTTGTGAGATCATGTTGGGGAGAGGGGAGTGCTGAGGAAGTGGGTGGAGAAGAAGGTTGGTTTCCACATAGTCTGTGGGTGTCTGAGCAGAGCATGTGACAGGTGATCCCTGCAGCTCTGGGGAGAAGGTGAGAGGGATGGAGGCTGCAGAGCCAGCCTCTCAAGGCCACTCTCTACCCCTCAGTGTACTCTGCCTCTAACCTGCTTGTGCTGCTCAATGACGGGATCCTACGGAAGGAGCTTCGGAAAAAGTTGCCTGTGGTGAGAATTCTGCCAAGAACAGGGTGGGAAGCATGGGGACTCAGGAATGAAATAGTAGCAGCTAGCCCATGCGTGCAGCACATGTCTCATGGAGTATGAGACAGGCCTATGTCCATCTGAGCCTCAAACCATCTCATTAGGTGACCTGTAAAGTGTGAGTATTCCCATCTTAGATGAAGAGACTGTCTCAGGTGAAGAGAGGTAGAGTCAGCTGTTTCAGGTCCCCCAGCCTGTTAATGGTGGAGTTGGTGTTTGAACTCACACCTGCACAGTTAGGCTTGGAAAGGGGAAGGTCCACATCTCTTGTCAGAGAAGCTCCCTCCTAGGAGAAGGGCCTGGGACTCCCTGTAGTCCCAGGCCCCCTGACTTCTTGGCCTGGGGTTCTTGCAGTCGCTGTCCCAGCAGAAGCTGCTGACATGGCTGAGCGTGCTGGAGTGCGTGGAGGTGTTCATGGAGATGGGAGCTGCCAAGGTGTGGGGTGAAGTGGGCCGCTGGCTTGTCATCGCCCTCGTCCAGCTGGCCAAGTAGGTTGGGATTGTGGAGAGGGTCCTGGGTGGGGGTGACGCAGGCTAGCTACACAGATGGTGCTCAGCAGAGCATCCCTGGCCTCCCGCCGGCTAGCCACCTCCCCACAACCCTGACATACTCCCCGACCCAGGGCTGTACTGCGGATGCTCCTGCTGCTCTGGTTCAAGGCTGGCCTCCAGACTTCACCCCCTATCGTTCCACTGGACAGAGAGACCCAGGCACAGCCCCCGGGTGAGCTACTTCCCCAAGCCCTGGAGCGGAATGGGCCATGGGACTAACTTGAGGATTTAGATCCAACCAGCATGAATACAGTAGTATCTGTTTATGGAGCACGCCTGTCCCTATCAACTATGTGTTCTCATTGCCATGTATTCGACAGAGAAGACAATGATGCGGCTAGGGACAAAATCAGAACACGAACCCAGTACTTGTCATGGCCAGAGTCATTCATTTTTGTAGCCTGCAGGAAGAGGGAACAGATGGGATGCCGCCAACCTCGACTCTGAGCCTGGTTCTGTGTCCAGAACCATAGCCTCTAGAGGCAGGAGGCAGGGCACGCACCACATCTGTCCCTTCAGGGCTTTGGGCCCATCCCGTCAGCTTCTGGGCCTCACTCTCTGGACATTGAGTTGGGGCCGTTCATTGCCTCTCATCATGATTGTTTTGAAGGCAAAGGATTGAGAGGAGACGGCCCCTCTGGTGCTGTGGTCTCCATAGATGTGGTCAGGCTGGGCCTTCCCTGCCTTGCCTGTCCATGGGTTCCGGGAGGCTGGCTCTGGCCACAGCTATGCTGAGCTTTCCCCAGGCTAGGGAGGGCTGCAGAGTGCTTTCCTCTGTGGACGGGTCTTGTGCTGAGCCGCCACCCTGCTTGTAGTTCCCTTGACTCAGCTGTTGCCATAGTACAAGCTCATCTGTTCTCCCCTTAGCTCCTGAGCATTCACTGCACACGTTCTTTGCAGGCTCCGCTGGAAGCATGTCCCTCTGACTGTATGGCCTTCTGTCTATCCCTGCTAGATGGTGACCACAGCCCTGGCAACCATGAGCAGTCCTACGTGGGGAAGCGGTCAAACCGGGTGGTGCGAACCCTCCAGAACAGTAAGTGGAGGATGTGGCTGGCCTGGGCACCTAGGTGCTGTCTGCCTGGGCTTGAGGGACTGGCTTTGGTCAGCAGCCACCTTCCCCTGCCCCAGCCTGGGCCTGGCTCGCTCATCTGCCGCCCTTGTGTTCTAGCGCCGTCCCTGCACTCCAGGCACTGGGGAGCTCCCCAGCAGCGGGAGGGACGGCAGCAGCAGCATCACGAGGAGCTGAGTGCGACCCCCACCCCCCTGGGGCTGCAGGAGACCATCGCAGAGTTTTTGTACATTGCCCGGCCGCTGCTGCACTGTATCCTTAGCGCGGGGCAGGATAGGGCTGGCACTGTGGGCTGGGGATTGAGTGGGGAGTGTGCTGAGCAAGGCCCCTGTGCTGGAGACATCCTTGACGCCTTGGCCGTCAGTGCTCAGCCTGGGCCTGTGGGGTCAGAGGTCGTGGAAACCCTGGCTCTTGGCTGGTGTTGTGGACGTGACCAGGTGAGCCTGGGCCTGCCTGGGGCTTCACTCTCCACTGGGCTTTCTGCTATAATCCTGGCCTCACATAGGCGGGGTGGCAGCGGCCCCTGCTCCTCCTGTTGCTGCCCCTCTGGACACCCAGCCCATGGCTCCTCCCCTTCCGTGGGCCTAGATCATGCCCCTGGCCCTGACCATGTCCTCCCTGCCTCCCAGCCTGAGCCTCCTGAGTGACAGAAAGGGCCTGACCCGGAGGGAGCGGCGGGAGCTGCGGCGCCGGACCATCCTGCTGCTCTACTACCTGCTGCGCTCTCCTTTCTATGACCGCTTCTCCGAGTAAGCACCCAGGACACCCTGAGCCAGGGAGAGGGCTGGCAAGCGGGCACTGGTGCTCCGGTCCCTGCTGGCGCCTTCCCTTCCCCACGCCTCATCCAGGGTTCACCAAGCACTGTGTGTTGTCCGGGTGGCAGTCACCAGATGCCAGCCCAGTCCCGCCCGCAGAGCTCTCTGGGCCATCAGGCCACTTGAGCAGGAACTTAAACATTGGTTGGCAGGAGAGGCACTGAGGGCAGGGCTGAGGGCATTGCCAGGTGGCCCACAGGGATGGCGACAGGGCGGGCGCCCATGGCCTCTAGCTCATTTCCACTTCTTCCTGCCAAATAGTTTGGCTTATCCTCACTTCTCAGAGGAGGACCTGGAGGTTCAAGGAGGTTGGGCAACTTAAAGACACCCAGCTAGCCAGTGGTAGAGCTAGATCCCAAACCCAGGATCTCCCCTGGCCTTCCCTGCCTGGCCCAGCCCCCACTCAGTCACCTGCGAGGGTCCAGAGCTCCCAGCCTGAGAGAGGCCTGCTGGGTTGAGCAGGGGGCAGCTTGGGACTAGTTCTTCCACAGGCCTGCCACTATGACTGCTTGAGGTTAGACCACAGTCTGACAGGGGGAAACCCTGTGCAGTGGCTGGGACTGTGAGGCAGACAAGGCTCCCGGGACCCCCTTTGTCTAGGACCTAATAATAGCTTAAAAACTGGCATAGGCTGGGCAGCAGTGGCTCACACCTATAATCCTAGCACTTTAGGAGGCCAAGGCAGGAGGTTGGCTTGAGGCCAGGAGTTCGAGACCAGCCTGGGCAACCCAATTCTACAAAAAAAAAAAAAAAATAATAATAATTAGCCAGACATGGTGGTGTGCGCCTGTAAGTCCTAGCTACTCAGGAAGCTGAGGCATGAGGATCAGGCCAGGAGGCTGAGGCTGCAGTGAGTTATGATCACTCCATCCCACTCTAGCCTGGGTGACAGAGTAAGTCCCTGTCTCAAAAAAACAAAACAGAAAAAAAAAAACAAAACTGGCATAGTTTAGCCAGGCACGATGCCTCACACCTGTAATCCCAACACTTTGGGAGGCCGAGGCGGGCGGATCACAAGGTCGGGAGGTAGAGACCATCCTGGCTAACATGGTGAAACCCTGTCTTTACTAAAAATACAAAAATTAGCCAGGTGTGATGGCACACGCCTGTAGTCCCAGCTATTCAGGAGGCTGAGGCAGGAGAATCGCTTGAACCCAGGAGGCAGAGGTTGCAGTGAGTCGAGATCGCGCGACTGCACTCCAGTCTGGGTGACAGAGCGAGACACTGTCTTTTTTTGTTTGTTTGTTTTTGAGATGGAGTCTGGCTCTGTTGCCTGCCTAGGCTGGAGTGTAGTGGTGCAATCTTGGCTCACTGCAAGCTCTGCCTCCCGGGTTCATGCCATTCTCCTGTCTCAACTCCTGAGTAGCTGGGACTATAGGCGCCCATTACCATGCCTGGCTAATTTTTTTTGATTTTTTAGTAGAGATGGGGTTTCACCGTGTTAACCAGGATGGTCTCGATCTCCTGACCTCGTGATCCGCCTGCCTCGGCCTCCCAAAGTTCTGGGATTACAGGCGTGAGCCACCGCGCCTGGCCTGACCCATCTTTTTTTTAAAACAGAAAAAAGAGTAAGGCTGCTCCTTCTGGACCACACCCTGGCACCTCTCTGGACCCTGCTCCCTGTCCTTTAGGGAAACAAAGGCCCGCCTTGGCCTCCTAAAGTGCTGGGATTATAGGTGGAGCCACTGCACCCAGCCAGCCTTCTTCTTTTCTTTTCTTTTGTTTTTTGGGACGGAGTTTCACTCACGTTGCCCAGGCTGGAGTGCAATGGCGTGATCTCGGCTCACCGCAACCTCTGCCTCCCGGGTTCAAGCAATTCTCCTGCCTCAGCTTCCCAAGTAGCTGGGATTACAGGTGCGCGCCACCACGCCCGGCTAATTTTGTATTTTTTAGTAGAGATGGGGTTTCTCCATGTTGGTCAGGCTCGTCTCGAACTCCTGACCACAATTGATCTGCCCGCCTTGGCCTCCCAAAGCGCTGGGATTATAGGCATGAGCCACCACACCCGGCCCCCAGGCTTCCTCTTTTCTTGCTGCTCAGACAGACATATAAGGAGTCAGGCCGCCTTCCAGATGTGTAGCCTTGGGCAAGTTATTTGATGCGCCTGTGCCTCATTTCCTCACCTGTAAGATGGGGATGATGACAGTACCCACTTTGTAGGGGTTCAGTGACTAACGCGTACAGCAGTGCGTGGGGTGTAGTAAGCACGTAGCGCTATGTATTGTCATCAGCATCCTCATCTCACCCGAGTTCCCCTGTGGAAAACCCTCCTGTCTTAAAAATCAGGGCCTTGGGCCTTGCCCCTTCCCCTGAACCAAAATGTGCCCTCTTCAGTACTGTGTCCCCTACCAAGGTCCTGACTACTCTCATTGGTGGCTTGTGAGGTTTCCATGCAGCCCAGCACTTCTGCCAGACTGGGGGGCTTCCCGAGGGCAGGGTGGGGTTGTCCTCCCTGGACCCTCCACCATACTGCCAGGGCGCTGCTCCACATGCGACCCTCTAGAGGCCTTCAGTGTTGGATGTCGGTGGAAGGGGAAAGAGGAATGGGAGGAGGTGTTGTGGGTCAGCGGCCACCCCGAAGCTGAGCTGGTGGAGGGTGGAGGCCAGAGCCAACCCCAGAGGTCTTGCCCTTGTGTACCGGGCTTTGTCCTAGCTCCCAAGAAAGTCACCTTTGTTTTCTGGAATGCGCTGCATTCGGCACGGTGGTCAGTGAAGGCCTCTGGGCCTCCTGGTTTGCAGGGACCCACCCCCACCCCACTCAGCTTGCTCCCCATTTATTGCCTCCCCCAGGGCCAGGATCCTCTTCCTGCTCCAGTTGCTGGCCGACCACGTCCCTGGCGTTGGCCTGGTCACAAGTAAGCAGGGATGGGGACGCGATGACTGTAGTGCTGGAAGGCGCATGCATGCAAGCACCTCCCTGACTCCTCTGTCTCCTTGCAATTTGATTCTTGGCACAGTCAGGAGAGGAAGTCGGGAAGTCAGGATTGGGTGGGACTGCCCCTGGGCATAGGCCAGGGTGGCCTGAGGAGCCAGGGATGGCTGGAAGGAGGGTGTCCACTGGTGGGGGGACCACATCAGCTGCCAGCTTTTTTCTGGTCACAGTATCCTGGAGCGATACGGGACCATCTCATCTTGGGGGGATTCAATGGCAGAGAAGGGGTCCACCGGGCTGCTGAGATCCTCCCTCAGCAGAGGCCCACTGGGCTTGGGTTGGGTGACTGGACCTGACTCAGGCCCCTCAGTGTCTACCCTGGCTGAGCTTCTCTGGGCCTGAGGGTCTTTGTAAATGGTGCCAGAGTCCCCTGCAGTGCTGCCTCCTGGGGGCAGGGCAAGACAGCCAGCTGGGCTGGCTCCTGGGCCGCAGGGGTGAGGTGCTGTATGTGGCGCCACAGTGCAGATTGGGGTCTGGCCTGCCCTGATGTGTCCCTCTCCCACTGCAGGGCCGCTCATGGATTACTTGCCCACCTGGCAGAAAATCTACTTCTACAGTTGGGGCTGACAGACCTCCCGGAAGGAGGGTGTGGGGAGGGGTGGGGCAGGGAGCCCCTCTTCCCTAATAAAACTGACTCCGGCAGCGTCCCAGCGTGCGGCCTCTCCGTGCCTACCGGCCAGGCCCCACACACAGCCCTGGTCGCCACCAGCGTTCCTCCCAGGACACCCTTGACTGCGCTCTCCTGTGACGATGCCACTGCAGCCCGCACCTTGTCACTGCTGGGCCAAGAAGCCTTCACTAGGAGTGGGATCCAGGCTCCTCTCCCACAGAAAGCGGTGACTTCACCTCATGGAGCCCGGGAAGCTGCTCGCCTCGGCAGCCATAGGAGCGAACACTGCTGCTCTCTCGCTGGCCCCTGGTGAGGACAGGAAGCCTGAACCCGGGTGATGGCTGAACGCTGCCCAGCGTGTCTTCTGGCTGGGGCCCTCCGTCTGCCCCTTCTCCGCAGGGCCCTGTGGCTCTGGCAGCCCCAGGCCATGGCGTTGCCAGCCTCCCTGTGACAGAGCCTGGTGAACAGTGAGCCTGGCTCCCACGCAAGTGGCACTTTAAGCCCTGCATCCTCGGTTGAGAGTAAAAGGCTTTTCTCCCTTAGAAAAAGGACATCGGGCACTGGCCAGCACTGGGGAGGGAGTGGGAGCTGGACAGGCTCGGGGAGGAAGCCGGGGCCAGTTCAGGGGGTATGAGCTGGGGTTTCCCCATGCTTGCCCTGCAGGCTCCAGAGGCCGGGTCCACCTGGAGCCATGCAAGCTGCTATGGGGGAGGGCCTGGACAGGGTGGGCCGCAGGCTGGTCGTCTTCTCCCTGAACTTAGCCTGTCCTCAGCCACTGGCCCTGTGAAGAGCCAGCCTCTCATGCTAGAGTTTCAAACCCACAGAGAGGGCTCCATCTACACCTTGGTCCTCCATGCCTCAGCTCCTCCAAGACACACTGCTTTCCCCAGGGCCCTCTGAGGAGCGCCCCCCAGGTCCTCACCCACAGGCAGGGGAAGGGGCTGCCTGGGCTCCCATGGCCTCCAGCTTAGTGGAACAGGCGTTTCTGGGCACATGCCTGGCCATCAGAAACCAGCAGTGAAGCACAGTCCCCTGCCCTCCGCCTCTCACCAACGGAGGAAACAGGCATGTGGATGCAGGCACCACACTGGGGACTTGGCAGGAGGTGGCATGTCCAGAGCGGGGTCTAGCTTGGGGGTGCCCCGGTAATGGCAACTGCCTACCTGCAGTGGTGACAGAGGTGAAGGGTTTCATCGGGCTCCATTGGCCAAGCCTTGACTCAGGCAGGCTTGAAACCGGTAGAACTGTCCAGTTTTTCGGTAGACAGCCTGCAAGGGGCCGCTGTGTGCCCAGGGTCACAGCTCTGTGGAGCCATGGGAGGTGGGAGCTGGACGCTGGAGGGGAAGGTCGGGGCCAAACTGAACATAGCATCACATATCCAGGGGAGAAACTTGGACCTGGTCTATGGTAGGCGGGGAGGGGTCTGTGTTTGTAAATATTCCAGCAGCCTGGTGGAGGATGCTTTGGTGGGCAGAGGTGGAAGAATGGGGGCCGTGACATTGGAGGCAGTGGTCTGTAGCAGTGGGAGGGGCAATGGCAGTGGCAGCAGACATAGGGAGATTAAGGGTAACCCCAGCTAGTCTTGGGGACTGGCGTGGAGGAAGAGGGTGGTGTCTAGGAGACGAGGAGCAAGAAGGACGAGGGGCTTTGGGGTTAGACAGAGTGGACAGAACTCCAGGTTCCTGGCAGGGCAAGCCTTGGTGGGCACAGGATGCTGAGGCAGGCTCGTGGAGACGTGTTGTCTCCAGGACTTATAAAGGGAGGTGGCCACTGGGAAGTGAGTGCGGGAACAACATGCAGAGGGTGACGGGGCTGAAGGAACCGCCAGAACTTGTCAGCCTCCGGTACTCAGGACCAGGAGCATGAATGAGGCCACTGGAGGAGCCAGGGTTGGAAACAAGGGACTTCCCTCCCTGGGCCCCTCAGCTGTCAGAGGAGAGCGGCTGGGCCAGCTGGCAGGTTGGCCATCTCAAGCAACTGGATTACCAAAGCTCCAGAGCCCTGGGCTCGGCCCTCAGGTTCTGATACTACAGATCTGGGGTGGGGCCAGGGATTTTGTTTTGAAGGCTTGCCATGGTTCTGGTGAGCCAGGTTCGCACTGCAGGTATAAATGGGCTGAGCCTGGCTGCTGAGTGGAGAACCAGGAGCCAGCCAGAGGCCTTCTGGTGGCACCTGCAGCTGAGCCCAGGCCTGCGAGGGGACGGTGTCCAGTGCAGGGCCGAGCTGTACAGGCTCACTGGGCGCCTACCAGGGGTCCAGGGCTGCAGATTCCAGTGAACAAAGCCCTCCCTGCCCTCCTGAAGCCTGCACTTGAGGGGCAGGTCCAGAGCTCTGCCACCATATGTCTGGAAGCCCTCCATCCAGCCTCAGGCCGCTGTAAGCTGCAGAGAGCGGAGAGGGAAAGGCCCTGAGCTGGGGACACAGGGAGCCTGCACACTCCCTCTCACGTAGACCCTGAGACAGGCAGGGCTGAGAGAGCCACTCTGGGCTCCTCAGCTGGCGGGACCTGCTCGGACCTCCTGCCATGCCAGTGGGGGTGGGGGGGGGGTGCTGTAGGAATGGCTGGGGCTCTGGGTGGTGAGGATCCCCTGCCCTCTTCGGAGGGCCTATGTCTGTAGGGTGTGTAATGGACTACGTCACAGATGAGGAAACTCCGGCACACAGAGATGAAGTGACTTGTCCGGCTAGTAAGAGGCAAGGTCAGGACCTCAACTGAGATCTGACTCCACAGTGTGTGCTCTTATTCCTTGGACAGCAACACTAGAACAAGATCGGGTTTGGCACCTATTAGCCAACAGCATCAATAAGAACAAAAACAAGCCTCGGGGGAGACTGCTGGCCCTGCCCCAGGGCAGGTGCTGACGCAGGCTTGGAATGAAGGCCCTTTGTGAGGTGGCCCTGGGAGCCGGCAACGGGTTCCGTCCTGCCAGCATAGGGACGACAGGAGCCAGGACCCGTGTAGGAGATGGTTCTCGCCATGCTGGGGGCTCTGCACCCCCGGGCTGGGCTCAGCCTCTTCCTCCACCTCATCCTGGCAGTGGCACTGCTTCGCTCCCAGCCTCTGAGGTGACTCCTGGGGCACAGAGGGCAGGGCACTTGGGCCGGATGGTGGAGGTGCTGCCCCTCCCCTCTCTGGAGTGGGGCTGGCCCTGGTACCCTGGGCGTTCGAGGGCTTGCCAAGTGCCCCCACACTGAGCCATCCCCCCATTCACAAGGAGGTGGCGGTGGCCTTCTGGGCCAGGGCTGAGCACCCCGACATCTCCCACAGGTCTCAGCGGTCTGTTCCTGAGGCATTTTCCGCCCCCCTGGAACTCTCGCAGCCACTTTCCGGCCTGGTGGATGGTAGTATCTCTCTTGTCCCCTTCCCCTACCCATCCCTGACAGTGGAGACGCCCCTAAGAGGTGCCCCAAGTCCAGCCTTCAGGGGCTTGTCATCCCAAACCACATCTGTTCAAGGGTGACTTCAGTTCCATCAGAGCCAGCTGCCCCCTACCACCCATGCCCTCTTTTCTCTCTTTAGACTATGGCATCCTCCCCAAGCACCCAAGGCCGCGAGGGCCTCGACCCCTCCTGTCTAGGGCCCAGCAGCGCAAGCGGGACGGGCCCGACCTTGCCGAGTATTACTATGATGCACACCTATGACCCAAGGCCCTCATAAAGATACCATGTGTGACAAAGGCTTGGCTTTCCTGGGCTGGGAGCGAGACGGGGACGGGAGGGGCCCATGCAGATACATCCACTGCAGTCCAGACAGGAAATGGCACTTTAATAGTTGGGGCCAGGGTGACAGGACCAAGATGGGGCTGGCCTGTGTCAGTCAGGAAGCCTCCCTCTTCTGCTGGGACAGGGCCTTGCGGCAGCTCCTCCTCCCCGCCTGAGGTCCTAGGCCTGCCACAGGCCAGCATGCCGGTGAGGTCAGTGGCAGGAGCCACCCAGAAGCCCCGCAGATGACGGAGCTGAGAACAGGGACTTCACCTCCACGTGTTGCCATTTCCTCACTGGAAAGTCCTTGGGAGGTGGCTGGGCTCAGCCTGAGCTCAGGGCTCTTCGGTGGGGGTTGGGGCAGGGGCAGGGCGGGCACTTGCAGGTGGCACAGGCTTCATCAAGGCAGGACACGGGCTTCATCAAGGCAGGAGCCACAGCGCCCGAGCCCTGGCAGGGGAGGTAAGGCCCAGGATGGGGCAGGGCCGTGTGCTCCTGGAACGGACATCCTTCTCTGCCAGAGACCTGCTCCCCAAGCCCTGTCCCTCCCAATCCCCAGGCAGCCCACTCTGCCCTCCATAGATGAATCTAATCCCATATATTACAATAAACTGCATTTGCCTCTCCCCATTGCCCCACCCTCCCCTACCCTGGGCCAGCGGCCCCCACTTCCTTGTCCTCTGGCGGTGGCAGGTGCCCCTCCTCAAGCAGTGCCACATCCTGTCAGCAGCCAGCTGTCCTGGCACTGGCCTGAGGGCTGGGGGACGCAGAGGGCGGGGCTGCACAGCTACTCCAGGTAGATATCTTCTGTGGGGCAGGTGTACTCCACAAACTGCTTGTAGAACTGCTGGAATGCTCTCCTAGAAGCCAGGGGACACACAGATGGCTCAGATCGCCACTGGCAAGGGAGGAACAGGATCCCGACCCAGGGTTTTCCCGCTGGAGCCTTGGGGCCCAAGTGCAGCTCTGGTTCCTCTGGCTGGGGCCACTTGGCTCTGTTCTCTACAGAATTGCCATCGCGTTTCCCAGTAAGATGTCAGTTGAAGACATGGCCCAACAGCTACCAAGCTTGGAAGCTGCTCCTCAGGCTCACCCTGCCGCGCCACCCTCCCTCCAGGCCACCCGCACTGGGGTCCGGAGATAGTTCTCCAGAGCTGCGGGGGAAACCGAGGGGCAAAGCTGAGCGCCAGGAAGCAGCCCCAGGGCCTGGGATTGGGCGTGCTCCCTCGGGCTGGGTGCTCAGCAGGGTGTACACGTACCCCACGGACTCTGCCAGGGCTTTGGTGGAGTCTTCAGACACAAAGACGTGGCAGGCAAACCGGTGGTCGGCGGGGTGCTTGGTGATGAACCCAAAGTACCTGCAGGGACAGGTCTGTCTGTGCTGGGACGGGGGCTCGGCCCACACCCACCCACCTCAAGGCTGCAGACCACCCGTGCCTCCTCCACTGCCATCCCACCCCCACTTACTTGTTGTTCTTTGGATGATATCCGCAGAAAGAGATGTTTTTTAACTGGAAAAAGTGGCTACATTTATTCCCCTACAGGAGGGAGAAAAGAAGCAAGAGGGCGGTCACCTGGCCTGCAGTGAGGGTGACAGGAGATGGCCTCTTCATCACAAGTCTTGGGGGAGAGCTTGGGGCCATGGAAGGAAGGGGCTGGGTTGGAAGAAGTCACCTTGGCCTCCTGGGAGTCATCGGCCTTGACGCCTATCTTCACACCCCGCACGCTGATCTCCAGGACACAGCTGGAGGGCGGGTTAAAGTGCACGGTGAGCCGGCGGGTGGTGGCAATCTACAGGTGACAAATGGAGCCACGTCAGCTGCTGTCTGTTCCTCTGCTGATCCCTCCTGTCCCAGGGCCTGAGCCCTTTACTGCCTCTAGACACCTGCGTCCCTCTGCCCCAGGGACCCATCCAAGGGAGGAGAAGGGAGAGGGCTCAGGTACCTTTTGCATAGCAGCACAGAGGACGTCATTGCCCTTGTGATAGGGAACCTGGACTGAGCCCAGGAACTTCACCCGGAACTGGTCCACCCAGTCACTGTTTTTGGCCAGGGCTGGAAAGCAAGCGTGAATTGAGGAGGGGCAGAAAGAGCAGGAGGGAGCTGAGCAGCCAAGTGAAGGAGGGTGGGTGAGGCACGGGGAATGGCAGAGCCCACAGAGGCTGCCACAATCCCTGGCTGCCCAACTTGGCCGGGCCTCACTTTGCTTGATCGTGAAAAGGACCTAAAATCACTTCCACTCAGCCCCCCACCTGGCTGGCTGAGATCTGGAGTACACGTTCACCTAGCAGCAAGTTGGGGCAGACAGATGTGGTGGCTGGGGGCACAGGCCAGGGAGGGAACACTACCTGCCATGTGCTCGGGCTCCTTGGTGACCTCGATGGCGTAATAGGCAGGAAAGACACCCCGGGCACCAGTGCGCATGTTGTAGGCCTCGTACCAGTAGTCTTCAGCCTGGAGCTCCACTAGCAGAGGGTCATCCACTTCCAGCTCAAGTTCGTCTTCGTGTCGAGGCACAAACCTGTCCCCAGCAAGGACAGGTGAGAAATTCGGCACCAAGGCCTGTCCAGCCAGGCCTACTCTGGGGTCTGGGAGCCACAGCAGCATCGTTATTTCAGTAAACATTTGCAAAAGCATCCTGTGTGCCTGTTGCAGTACTAACCCCAGGGGAGAGCAAGGTCAAGCAGACATGCATCTGCCATCGAGGAAACACAGGCCAAGGGAGGGTGTGGGCAGGGCCCCCTCTAAAATGGAGAGGCTGTGGGAAGCGCAGGCTTTTGTCTAGAGAAGGGTCAGGTGGGGTGTGGGCAGGCATCCTCCTGGTCACCCTCCTGGGTGCCCTGCCCCTGGCCAGACTAGGTGCACAGTTCTGGGATCCCTCACTGTAGCCATCCTCTTTGTCACCATACTCTGAGTCCCTAGAGAGTGGACACTGTCCTCCCAGGGCTGAGTGGATAAATGAAGGCTGATGGCAGGGGTTAGGCTGAGGCCATGTAGGGGTGACAAGTAGAGGGTGGTGTGTGGCCCAAACTGCTGCCTGGCTAGGCCCAGCCAGCCCATGGCTCTCACCTGAATATGGCCCGGTGGGTCTGCTCCTGCTCCTCCCCGTTGATGATGCAGGAGAACAGCCCGAAGGACTCAGCACCTGCAGGTGAGGTGGTGTGGCTGGATGGGGGGTCGCAGCTCTGATCCAGGTTTAGCGGGGCAGGTAGAAGCCTCAGTCCTAACCAGATGGGGCCTGGGGTCGCCTCCCAGAACACTTCGCATTTTGGCTCTGCCCCCGCTAGGGACCCCCCCACCCCACTGCTTCCCCTTGCTGACTCACTGGAGGAGCGGGAGCGGCCACTCATGAAGACGTTCAGGAATTTCTTGGAGAAATGGACGTCGGGTTCATCAGGCGTGGAGTCCTCGGAGAGGCAGGCAGGGGGCTGGGGCCGCGGGGCCTCCTCATATTCCTCTCCGATGGCCGACTCATAGGGCGAGGAGACGGAGGCACAGTTGTCATAGACGGTGGCAGAGTCACTCTCGTCACTGTAGTCTCCGAAGCACGGCCGCAGGCTCACCAGCTCCAGCTGTGCATGCTCATCTACCACCAGCGTGTACTTGACAGAGTCATAGGACAGGGCGCTGGTGTCCGAGCTCAGAGAGGCCCGTGGAGGTGGCGGCGGCTCCCCCAGGCTCCCCCGCCACCCTCCGCCTGGGGGCTCAGCCCGCTCTGGGGACGACAGGCAGTCGAAGCCCTCTTCCTCTTCACTGATGGAGGGGTGCGGCCGCCCTGCCGTGGAGGGGTAGGCGGCAGGGTCTGGATCGGAGCTGACTGACATCCGGCTCTCAGTGGGCGGCAGGAAGGCGGAGGTGGGCTCTGCAGCGTCTGGGGGCCTCTGCACTGGGGTCAGGTAGATCTCCTCAGTGGCCTCTAGTCGCACATCGGCCTGGTAGTGGATTCGGTCTCGATGCGAGTGGCCCCGACCCCCAGGCGGGGCAGCAGGGGGACCACCCGGAGGTGCCATCTGGGTGGCTGTGCTGCGGCGGCAAGGGCTGTCGGTGGAGGTGCCTCGATCTGTGGTGGGGGCGGGGCCGCTCTGGGGGGGCAGCTCATCGCTCAGGCAGATGTGTTCATGCGGTGGTGTCTGCTCCCCTGGAGAGCAGGCAGGTCATGAAGGCAGGGGCTCTCTCCCAACTCCCAGCTACCTGCACCTGCCACTCTCAGCTTGGTGACACAGAAACCAAGACAAAGCCTCCCTGGGCAACAGGCCCTTCGCAGGCTCTGGGGCCAGTCAACTCACTCATGCCACCACTGATCTCAGCCCCTGGATGGGCTCGTGCAGGGATGTGGGTGGGCAGTTCACCTCTACTCAGCCCTTTGGAGACTGTAGGGTTTGCTCTCTGTAGTGGGGACTGAGTCAGGGCAGGCGGAGGTCCAGGTAAGGAAGAGGGCCCTGACTTACCTGTCTTCAGGGGTGAGGATGATCGAGACACCCGATCCTGCCAACTGTGCTTTTTGCCCAGAGAATTATTATTCAGTGTGTCCTGTGCAGGGAACAAAAGGCTCTTGTGATGGAAGTGGTCAACAGTGCCCGGCACAGGGAGGCCCCGGCCCTGCCCCCTCAGGCCATCCCTAGGGCCATTTGCTGTGTCCACCCCGCCTCCACTGTCAAAGGCCTCACTCGTAACTCTCCTCTGGAGCAGGCAGGAAGGGTGGCAAGTCACAGCCAGGCTTGCCGGCTCTGGATGGCCCTCCGCCTTGCTCAGGGAAGCTGGCCAACCCTCAGGGAGATGCTCTTATCAGCCTTAACAAAGGTGGTGATGGCCAATGTGTGTGGTGGCAAGAGGGGGAGGAGGCAGGGGAGAAGAGAAGCAGGAGCTCTCTGGAGACACAGTCAGACCCCCAGTCCCAGGTACTGAGGGTTACTTGGAAAATGCTCAAATCCAGCCCAAGTCAGAGACAGGTGACTCTCTGCTCTGGAGCTTGGGAAGTTATGGCCTAGAAGGGGTGAGGACCTTCTGGTAGAGCCTGGAAAAAGCACAAGGAAGGGTCTCCCTAGCAGCTGGCCTGGGGGACCAGGATGAATCATCCCAGTGACAAATCCATAACAGAGTTTTCCTGCACCCCCCACCACAGTGGCATGAGACTGAGGAGTGACAGATGCAGTTGTCAGCAGCCCTCCTTCCTGGATCTCCTGGGCTGCCCATTCTACATTCTCAGCCCTGGGACCCCTCCCCACAATGCCCACACAGGGCTCCCTCCACTCCACGGAGGCTCCCTCCCCTGGGAGCTCTCTCCCAAGCCCTCACGTTCCTGAGCCGGGCTGCCAAAAGCCATTCACAGGATCCTGGGAAAGGGACCAAGCCTTTCCCCGCAGCCCCAGCCGCCCCACCTCCCAGGAGCTCCTTGCCTGCACCGCTCCCGATGGGCCTGGAAGACAAAGGGCCACAGCCAGCTCCCCCAACCCTATTCAACTCTCCTTGGCATCCAGCCACCCTCCCAGGGGCCCTAGGTCCCCAACTTAGCCAAGCAGCTCCATCTCCCATTCCTCCCCCCTGCCTTCTGGGAATTCGCAGCTGCCCAGATCTTAAACTGGCTGTGGCCCCTGAGCTTCCCATCCCCACCTCGCCACGATCTCCCACGGCCTCCCCCACGATGACCATTTCAGATGCCCTTTTCTCCAGGCCCTGCTCCTGCTCCACTTTCACCAGGAGCCCCATATCCTAAAGGAGAAACCCTGTCACAGCCTGAGGTCCCAGGCTCCAAACCCTTCGAACCCCTCAAAGCCTCATTCTCTTAATTCCCTACTCCTCTCCTAACCCCAGTCCTTCCCTCCTTCAATCCCGCCTCAAGGCTCCAAGCCCGGCCAGCTGGACTCAGCCCCCTCTTCGTAAGGATGGTTCTGCCCGCTCCTCGGATCCCAACACCGGGAGCGAGCCACCGCGGCCCCTATGCAGGCGCTGTCCCCAGGCACTGGACCCGTGGGTGCCCCTTCCCGCTGCAGCCCCTCTGCGCTCCCCCTCACATCTCCGCGGCGGCCCAGGGCGCCGCCCCCCACGTTGGCGCCTCACCTGAGACCGCGGCACCTGCGGAAAGAGGTTGAGCGTGGTGGGCCGCTTGGGCCGGTACGTGTCCCCGCTGCCCGGGCCCTGGCTCTGGCCTTGGCTCTGGCCCTGGCCGCGGGACGCCGGCTCCTGGCCGGACTCGGCCTTGGGCGGCCCCGCTCCCGGCCGCCGGGCCGCGCGCTCCTCGTCGTCGTCCTCCTCGTCGTCCTCGGCCCCGGGAGTGTCCCCCGTCGCGTCGATCAGGTCCATCTGCAGCATCTCGGCCTGCAACCGGCTCCCCGCGCCGCCGCCGCCCGCAGAGAGCAGCCCGGCGCGCGGGGGCTGCACAGCGCACGGAGGGGCGTCAGGGGGCGGGGCCGGGGCGGGGCCGAGGCCGCTTGCACCGCCCCCCGCCCGGGCGAGTCCATTCTGTGGCGCGAAGGGGGCACGAGGGGAGCCGAGCAGGGGCCGCCGGAGACTGGGGCGCTCTCGCCCGTCCGCCGCGAGGAAGCGCGAGGCCGCCGCCTCCCCGATCCAGCCGTGCCTCTGACGGCCAGCACCTCCCCACAGTCCCCACCCCGGACTCCTTGCGCCCTCCCGTTCCCCTGGCAACGGCCGGTGACCTCACCGGGGTTGTAAGCCGAGCCCAGAGTGAAGTCACCGCTGTTGCTATGGGGACTCAGTG
Organism: Homo sapiens; assembly: GCF_000001405.40. Taxonomy (NCBI): domain Eukaryota; kingdom Metazoa; phylum Chordata; class Mammalia; order Primates; family Hominidae; genus Homo; species Homo sapiens. Next base: position 45,899,794 of record NC_000011.10, on the reverse strand, counting down.
GTCGCCAAGGAGTTCGGGGTGGGGTGGGCAAGGGATGGGGGTTGGGGAAATAGTATTTGAAGGGGTCTTGAGGAAAACTGGAAAAACTGAGGCTCAGCCAAGCAAGGAACGGCGGAGACCTGAGAGGGATGGGAAGGAGACGCCGAGGGGGAGGGGCGAGCGGGGGCCAGGAACCAAGGCGGTGGCAGCCGCGCCCTAAGCCAGCTGGCCCGGGGCCCCTCCAGCCCTAGATCGGTCCTCCACGAGCCTGCCTTGAGGATGCAGAGCCCCATCTAGCTCCAGTTCTGCCGCCAACTCCCTGGCACCTTGGACAGATCCCCTGATCCTTCAGGCCCCCTCATCAGTTGAGTGGGGATAACACTACTGCCTCCCAGCCTCTGAGAGAGCTGAGTATTCACTGGAACGTGTGTGAAGCCCGCTGGAGCTTGTCTGAGGCCCCTTAGGGGCACACCTCTGGCCAGTAGTGCCTGGGGCCCCTGCCTAGCTCGGAGGCAACCCTCTCCAAGGCTCTGCTGGTGCAGCTGGGGGAGAGGGCAGGGTGAGAGTCCAGAACAGGTGCCTGACCTCTGAGAAGCTAAGTCAGGGCTCTGAGACCATTCCCCAAATCTAGAGGCCTCTGCCTCTTCCTGGCCTGGCCAGAGAGTGGAAGGTTGGGGTACTGGGGACTAGGGGATTATCCTCACCCCTTGGTTTCCTCTTGCAGAGCTTACTGAGTCTCTGGGAGTAGCAGGAGGTCAACACAGAGACAGGTACTCCCTCCCCAAGGCACACCTCACGCTCCTATGGTAACCACTCTCCTGACACCGTATCTGGCTACCCGCCCTCTTGGGGGCTCAGAGGAGCTCTGGGCTCTAAAACCTAGCCCTGTGCTCTGTCCTCCATTTCCTGGCAAGCCGGCCCCTTCTTCCTGTTCTGAAAAGACATAGTTGGGATCCCCATCTGACCCCAGTTACCCAGGTGCTGGGGACCTCCTGGCAGCATTCAGATCTTTAGGGACAGGAGAGAGCCATCTTCCCTATGACAAAGCCAAGGGGCCCAAACCAGCAGCAATGCTGGGCAAACCCCTCAGTGGGGGCCTTTAGGACTATAGGCCAGAGAGGGTCTGGGAGGCCGCGTGGTGCCATCTGTCTGGTGTAATAGCAGCCAGCAGCCACAGGAGCTATTCCAGGGGTGCCTTGGCTGTTTCTTCCTGCCCTAAAGCACTGCAGATTCCACCAGACTCCACCCTGTCTGCCTCAGGCCCTCTGCCAGGGCTGCTCCCAAAAGGATTCAGGGGTAGCCCTGAGTCTCCCTTAAGTCTGGTCCTAATTGTTACTGCCCTAGGTCTCAAGACTTCCTGGCCTCTCCCATCTCGTGGGCAGTTGAAGGAGCTACTTCCTGTCTTAGTCCCCGACAGCAGTAATAATAATAATAATACCAAATGAAATTCTGATTGTACACTCAAGACGTGCCAAGCAGTATACCTATGTTTCTTGCACATCATTTCATTTCATGAGGGTGCCAGCACAGACCTGAAACCCCCTTTGTCACTATGGGGATACCCTTACCCCTGTCCCTAGCCTTCCTGCCACCCCACTCAGGAGCTCCTGGGAGCTTGCCCTTACCCGTAAGGACAGGGTGTCTTTGCACTGTAAGCTGATGCCACACTCATCAGTGATCTCCGAGAGGTCTTCATCCTCAAACTCCTCCAGGCTGATGTCATGGGTGAGCCTGGTGGGGACAGGAAGCCAAAGTTACAACTCAGGGGCACTATGCCTGCTCACATCTCCCTGTTACCTCTTCCAGGGTGCAGCCTCTTGAAGGCCAAACACAGCCCCCAGAGGACAGGATTTGGGGTTCATCTGTATCAATGCAGGGGGTGGTCAGCAGGCAGGGAAAGAGCGAGGGGCTTGTGCCAAAAGGCAGTCCTCCTAGGGTGGCAGTGGAAGAGGAGGCTCCAGGTCACTCTGGCTCCTCCCTGGAAGCTGTCATTCTGTTGCCAACCAGCAGGCAGTGCTTAGAAGGCCCAACTGGTCAGAGCCTCCTCCCAGGGTCAAGGCAGGTGCCAAGGCCAGTTCACCATGGAGAATGTGGACTTGAGAAGAGCAGCCTGGAGTAGGGGAGCTCCCAGTGCAATCCCTGCAGTAGCAAGACCCGAGGCGCCGGCAGCAGCCTCAGAGGAGTGCCCCACGCCCCAGCTCAGGAAGACTCATGCCCCTTGAGCCCAGGGAACAAGCGAAGGAAAATCTGGTGTCAGTGTGGGTAGTTTCAGCCTATTCCAGAAAGGACTCCAGCCTCATGCTGTGCACTTGGTGGTCTCATCTCTTCAACCACAACATCTTCTCCTTATCCAGTGTAAGGACCCTGAACAGGAGGCTGCACAGATGGGGTCAGGAGAAGCCCCAGGTGGGACCAGAGGTGTTACAACCTTGGGAGACAGCTCAGAGCACCAGGGCACCAGAATACTAACCAGCTCCACTAGAACCCCCCTCTCCCTAGGCCAGCCCTGAGTCCCCACCTCAGAATGCAGGGCTGGGCCAGCCACTGCAAGGCAGCCTGTCTCTTGCTCACCTCTAGGTCCTGGGCACTCTGCCTGGCTTGCTGGGGGGGTGGTGGGGGGGTAGAACATTTAGGAAGTTGGGGAGAATGTATGAGCCTTTTCCCAAATAAGTCCAAGAAATTGAGGCACAGAGCAAGGGAAACCCACTAGTTCAAGGTCACCCAGGAGAGATGGTGGCTTAGCCCCCAGGGGAACCTAGGAGGCCCAGACTCCCTGCCACTCGCCTCATTCAGATCAGAGACCCTGAGCTCGATGGAGCTCACCCCAACTCGGTCTCCACCCCCGCCAGCCCCGGTAGCCCCTACCAGCGCTCCCATTGATCCTCCAACCAGCTGTCATTGTCTGGGCTCGAATCCATCTTCAGCACCAGCTGCATGGAGAGCCCTGCCCGGCCGGGGGGCTGCGGGGCCCCAGGGCTGCCCTCTCATGCCCGGAAGGGTGGGGGGGCCAGGGCTCAAGGCAGGGCTGGGGGCCTCTGGCCTCCACCGCTTGGGCCTGTCTTTCTGCGTCCTGCCTGCTGCAGAAGCCTGGGGAGCTCATTAAAAATAGACAGGCCAGGAGAGGAGGCTGCAGCTGCCGACCCGGGTCCCAGCCCCAGCTCTTCCCAGCGCAGCCCTCAGCTGCAGGCACCTTCCTCCCGGCTGGCCTGGCCCTTGCGCTGCTGCCGCTGTGGCCGCCTCCCTCACGGGATCAGGTTACTGCAATCAATGCCACTGGCTCCACCTGCCCTTCCAATGCCCCTGTCGGGGGCTGAGTGGCCCCCCCTCCCTGGCCCAGGCTTGTAAGTAGATGGCAGAAATCTAGGATGTTTCCCCCCAAAAGCCAGCCCTTGGTTGGCTTTAAAGGGCCAGTTCCCCAGTCAGGGTGCCAGGTGGGAGATGAAGGGGGGCTTCCCAAACACCCTAAGAATGAACACTCGGTTTGCACTGCCATAGGCTCAGCCCCCCGACCTCATCAGAGAGGCTTCTGTGGGCCCAGGCTGCATCCAAACTGGGTTTGATCTGGGCTGCCTCCTTCTGCAGCCAGAGCTTGAGCCTTCAGGACCCAGGAAGGCAGGGCCTATGGAAGCAGGAGGCACCAGAGCCACAGCTAAGGGCAGGCCAGTGTTTGGGCCCTTAGAGCAGAGCTGGAAGGGCTGCTGTGTGGTAATGAGCTTCCTCTCCCTTTGGAATGACATAAACAGAACCTGGAGGCCCCTGGAGGGCACTGCACAGAGGGGTGGGGAATGGGGGCTGGATGGACAAGGTGCCCTGTAGGGTCACGTCTGACCTGCAGCCCAAGGGTGGTGGTTCCCCAGGCCATGGGGAGGGTGTGGCTGGCCAGCTGGGGTGGAAGTGGGGAGGAGGGCCTGGCCCAGAAGCCAGAGCAGCCCTCCTCCGTCCGGCCAGGGCAGGGTGGCATCTCAGGCTCAGGGACAAAAACCCAGTGGCCAGCACCAAGTAAGTGTTCAATTCACACTGGTTGCCCAGATGGTCACCGAGAAGGCCAGTGGTGCAAAAGGGAGCCCCTGGTACTCAGATGGCATGGGAGAGCTGCAGGACCGCTGACCCAGAGGTGCCCTGAAATGCCCCTGCTCTGCCAGTGACCTCTGCACATATATATATATATATATATATATATATTTTTTTTTTTTTTTGAGACGGCCTTTCGCTCTGTCACCCAGGCTGGAGAGCAATGACATGATCTTGGCTCACCGCAGCCTCTGCCACCTGGGTTCAAGTGATTCTCCTGCCTCAGCCTCTTGAGTAGCTGGGATTGCAGGTGTGCATCACCATACCTGGTTAATTTTTGTATTTTTAGTAGAGACAGGGTTTCACCATGTTGGCCAGGCTAGTCTTGAACTCCTGACCTCAGGTGATCTGCTCGCCTCGGCTTCTCAAAGTGCTGGGATTGCAGGCGTGAGCCATGGTGCCCAGCCCCCCTGCACACATCTGTGTCTCCTCACACATGGCTCCGCTTCCTCACTGCCAAGCCCTAGTCCAGCTCCTGCCTCTGCCCTCCCAGATGTCCCCACTGGCCTGTCTGTCTCAGTCTCCCTATGCCTGCACCATCCCACTCCACCTGCCACTATCAGGCAAAACTGCCAGAAATGCCATCATCCCTCCCGCCCCACTTGGAACCCTCAAGGCTCTCCACTAGCAGCAGGTTCCTGTGCCTGCAGGCAAGGCCTCCAGCTCCATGCGTAGTCTGCGTGGGCACTGTGTCTCCCCAGTGCCAAACCCAGTGCTCAGAGGGAGCACGTGGCAGACTCTCAAACCATGCTTGCTGGAAGAGTGCTCAGTTAAGCTCATTCTTCCAGGAAGCCCTCCCAGCCCTTGCATGTGGCTGATGTCACCATCTGCCTGGATGTACAGTAGTGTGTGCAGCAGACAGGGCCAGCCCTCCCTCAGAAACACCCACTTCCCACCCCCTGGCTGCTCCAAAGGTGGATGGGGCCTGTATCCAGCACCCTGATTGATGACCCTATACTGTACCCAGCAGGTGATCAAGACCCCTTCCTCCCCTTGCTCCTGGAGGGCAGAGCTGGCGAGTTCATCCTGCATACACTGAGTCCTCAGCATGAGCCTGCTAGATGTCTGTCACAGGACAGCCTCTGCCTCCACCTGCTCCTCTCGAACTGCAGGCTGGAGCAGGGCCTGCAGGGTCTGGCTTAGACCTGGGTTAGAGGCTTCTCAGTTCACTTCTACACCCTCAACATCACCTGATATTCCCACTTCCTTGGACAATAGGTCTGGGTGGGGCAAGGACAGCAGCATTCTTCCTGTACAGCTGAGGGCACTGGGCTTTAATTGGGCAATGCTAGAAAGAATACTGGGCTGGGGGTCAGAGAGCCTATGCCTGATCCCTGGCTCTACTGGGGTGGGTTAAGGGGGATGCTTTGTCTGACTTTTTAGGTGCCTCTCATAAGTAAGGCAGGATGGAAGAATGATCACCATATCAGGCTTGGAAGCAGGAGGCCTGAAATAAATCCTGACTCTTTCACGTTGAAGCTGCCCCATCTTGGCCCCAACATTTATGCCATGCATCTCTCTTAATCCTCATTGCAACAACCTTGGGAGAGGGTTTGTTCCATTTTTCCCATTTTACAGATGAGGAACACTAAGGCTTAGACATAAAGGTGCCTTATGCTTCAGCTTCCCAGATACAGGATGAAGCCACCAATCCCTGCCCACCCACCTCAGAGGGCTGGTGAGGGTTAGCAGAATGGAATTTGTGTGAGTAGGAGGTCACTACCAAGGATCAAGGGGGACTGATTGGTCAAAGAGTACCCTGTGCAAGTCACCCCCCATCCAAGACTCTGCCCTTTCCTCTTTTCCAGGCACCAGATGTTCTGGCCTCCCAGCTAAAACCCTGGGGGGTCCCTTTATGGAGAGAAGGCTAAACAGACACTTGGTCCCTGAAGGCTCATGGAAGGTCAATGTGGGGAAGGGAGGGAAAGGAGGAGGGAGGAAAAGATGGAGGGGAGAAGGGAGGGGAAGAAGGGGAAAAGAGGGCGGTTCCCTCCTGTCCCGCCTGATCCACCCTGCTCATGGCAGCCTTAGCACCAGGAGGCCTCCAAACTGAATCCTACGGCCCTCCGCAGGCCGGCCTCCCTCACCTCTGGGTCTGGAAGTTTCAGCAGTCTCCTGTAGAAGCAGCCCCTGCCCACCCATCAGACCTGCTTGTCTATCCTGGATGCTGTGATCCTTGAGACGTCATCCATATTAACGTTTGGTGGCTCTGAGCTGTGAGTTTGGTCTCTGGAGACCGCCCTGACCTTTCTACCTGAGGCCCTGTTCCTGCATTCACCTGATCCCTCCTACTCTGCTGCCCCAGTCCTTGCTTTTGCCCTGCCAGCTCCTCACTGTTCTCGCCATACCAGCTCCTGCTCCCACCCCACCCTGAGCTGCACTTTTCTAAATGGCCCTGAACAAACATGCCTTTTGTGTTCTGATGTTGATTTCAGGCCCTTTTCCCCTGCCTTGCTGGGTCACATTTCCACCAACCACAGTCCTGCCCTTTCTAACGGACTATTTCAGCTCCGTAGTAGGCTGAGTTAGAAGTGTATGTAAAGCAAAGGTTAAGTGGTAAAGTGCTGAGGCTTTAGCTGAGCAAGGCCAAATCTGAGCCAGGCATTGGCTGTTCAGATGTCATTCTTGGGCCTTTGTGTTCCTGGCTGTGCTGTGGTGAGGAGGTAAGGATGCCAGCTGATTGACCTTGGGTCCTGGCCACAATGCCCCACAAGCCTCTCTTGTGACAGAGGGCACGTGTGGTCCAGGGATCCAGCCTGCCTCTTTGCAGCCCTCTAAGTGCTGAGAACGAAGCTGGCTCCCAGTGAGTTCTCAGGACACCTGTTGACTGGCCGCTCAACCCTAAGTGGGTTCCCCATTTCCCTCTGGTTCCTCTACCAGCCACTCTCCACCAGGTAATGACAGCAAAGCTGACCTCTGAATTACAAATCTGGTCTGGTCACTCTTCCCAGCTCAAAGCCCTTTAATAGCTTCCCCTGGTCCTTAGGAGAAGGGGCCCAAATTCTCATCTGTGGCCTGAAGGCTCTGTAAAGCCTCCTTTCCCTCCAACCAGTATCATTTCCCTTCATTCCCCCCACCTCCCACCTTTATCTCCTCCTTCAATAGCGCAGCTCCCAAAGCAGTAGCATGGTCTCCTCTGCAAGCCTTCTCTGACCTCTGGGACCAAGCCAAACCGCCCTGCTATGGGCTCTCGGAGTCCCTCCTGGCTGTGGTTCCGTATCACTGTAATTTTACCTTTGGGTTATGCGGCCCGCGGTGGCCTCCCCTTGGAGTCAGTTAATCCATATGGGTGGGATCATATCTGTTTTGATCAACATGTGTGGTGCCTAATAGGTACTTGACAAATGCTGAATGAATTAACCACAGGTGTCCCAGGGCTCTCTGGATTTTTGCCTTGGAAATCTCTAAGTTAGTCCACTTTTCCAATCAACTTCCTGTGTCCCCACCTACACCAGAGTCTGGGCTAGGATGTCAGGTCCTCTGGGAAGACGGTGCTGGCTGAAACGGTGGGGTGGGGATGAGCCAGACCCAGCATCCCTCTCAGGCCCTCGCTCTACCCCCACCACCTGGCTCTGGGTGAACATGGGGTTGGGCTGGGTTTGTTCTTTGGGTCAGAATTCCCTTCCTGACCACCTCCATACGGAGGTCATCTCCAACGAAAACTGAATCCAACCAAAGAAATGAGCCCCGAGGGACAACCCCACTTGCGGTTATAACATGTTTGATCTGTTTAAACATCTTCATGCTGATACATTGCAAGAACTCTGGGATCCAGTTGTTCGACTTTTGGGAAACTGCTTCGAGGAAACAATCCCACATTGTTTGGAGAAGAACTGTTACACACAGGATGTTCATTCCTCATCACAGCAAACAACTGAAAACACCTGCGTCACCCAGCACCAGGGGGCTGGTTCCATCGTGGCCATCAGCAGATGAAATGTGATGCAGTCTTTTGGAATCAACATTATAAAGTCTGTGTATTAAGGTGACAACTAATAAAATGAGCAAAAAGACAGCATATATGATCCAGTGGTCTCCCCAGGATGATATTGCACACAGGAAGAAACACTCACATGGACACAGAGTTGTGAGATGGGGTAGAATCTGGGGCGCTCTTTTCTCCTTTGCTGTCCTTCACAGACTTTCATCTTGGGTCATGCCAGCCTAGCATGGGCTCCCCGTCTGCTGCTGGGCTGCCTGCCCTCCCCAGAGCTGCAAGTTTCCTGAGGGCAGGGTCATCATACTCACCTGGGCACTGACTCCCCACCTTTGCTCCAATCTATGCACAAAGCCCAAAACCCTGCACACCATAGGTGCTAAATCAGTGCCTATTAAAGAGGCACTGCAAGCAACATGACAGCAGGAGCCATGAGCTCTCCACTGGCATCTCCAGTGGCGGAACAAGGCAAAGCACCCAGAGACGCTCCTGCTATTTTGGAATGAATACAAGAGTGGGGCCAGGGAACAAAGATGGCATCATAGAATGATTAAGAACTACGTGTGGATGGTGGCTGTGACCCAATTTGTGGGAACCATGGGGGCCCCAAGCTAGAAGTGTGTTGTGGCCCATTTCCAGCAATCCAGAGACGAACTTTAAAGCTCTGCCATCAGCGAGCTGGGGTTGAAATTCTGCCCTGGCCACTGCCGGACTGTGTGAGGCAAGTCAACACTCTCTGCCTCCACATCCAAGGTCCATCAGGAGCCAGGCCAAGGCGGTCCTGGGCATGAGGCAGCTCCAGCAGCACCTCCCCACCTCCACCGAAACATGGTTGGCTGAACAGGCCACCGGCCAGCCATCTTCCTGCCCTCTGCTCAGTCTCCCTGGACAGTGATGTCCTCTCTGAGGCTTCAGTGGCCATCCCTCCAAACTCAGACTCCCAGGGTCTTTGGCCCCAGCCCTATCCTCTCCTCTGAGCTCCAGACCCAAAACCGACTGACTGTATGATTCCTCCAATTGGGTCCTCCAATGATCCCCAGTCTCAAATTCAGCAGGTTCCCACATGATTTTCACACCCTGCCCACCGCCCTCTGGTCTCCCACTGGACACCCCACCCACCAAGGAGCCCCAGCATCATCCTAGACTCCTGCCTCCCCACTCCCTATTCTGTATCCCTCACCAAGCAGGCTAATCTGCCCCCTAACTCTTCCTCACACCCTGAACCTGTCCCTCCTTCTTACCAGCAGGATGGCTAGTCCCCTGGCCGCTCTCTACCCAGCAGCCAGGTGATCCTCCTAGAACAAGCTTGTCTAACCCATGGCCCATGGGTGCGTGAGCCCCAGGATGGCTCTGAATGTGGCCCAACACAAATTCATAAACTTTTTTGAAACATTATGAGATGTTTTTGTGTTTTAGCTCATCAGCTATCGTTAGTGTTAGTGTATTTTACGTGTGGCCCAAGATAATTTTTCTTCCATGTGGCCCAGGGAAGCCAAAAGATTGGACACCCCTGTCCTAGAGGATCTGTCTGACCCTGTCATTCCTTTCCTAACCCCCTGCCAGCTCCTCTGGCTGTTGGTGAAGAGGTCGGCATCGTCACATGGCCTACAAGTTCCTGCACATCCTGCTCTCCACCCTCCTGCCAGACTGGGCACCAGACACCCTGCCCACCCGCTCTGGTCTCCGCCCTTCACTCCAGTGACACCCTTGGGTGATATTTTTATGCGTCCACCAGGCCTAAGCTGAAATGTCCCTGCCTCTGGGGGGCCTGTCTAGACCCGCTGAGCCTGGGTCCCTTGACCTGAGCCATCATCACACCGACCAGCCCATCTGTAAAGCCGTCTGTCTGTCTGTCTCCCCTCTACAACACCAATAGCATGATGGCCAGGCCCACGTCTGGGCCTTTGCAGTGTTTCCCTGGTGACCTAGGCAAAGTGCAAACGTTTGTTGAGTGAATGAAGGAAGAAGCCTCTCGGTGGCCCCATCTCTCATCCCTGAGGCAGGGTGCTGGGGCAGATGGCAACCATCCAGGCAGCCATGGCCTGGCTCTATCCCAGCTTTGCCACTAATTTGCTGTGTGCTCTTGGGGGAGCCACTCGCCCTCTCTTGTTTCCTCATAAGGGGAGGGAGCTGGTTGGACGAGCTGGTCTCTAAGGTCTCTCAGATCCACGATTCCCCTTCTACACACCCCAGACAGGCCGCTCGCTCCCTTCTTGTCCATGAAACCCCCTTTGTCTCTGCTGTTCCTCCCACGTGAACTGTCCTTCTGCCCCTCCTCTTTGTCCCACCTACCCAGTGCCAATGTCTCCACTGTGTAAATTTCTAAATTCTCTTTTCTAGAGTTTTCTTTATAATGAACATGTATCACTTTAATTTTGAATTTTCTTTTATTATTTTGTAAGACACAGAAGTAACCTATACTCATTATAAAATAAGAAGTCAAATACAGGTGAGCAGCCCTAATCCAAAAACCTGAAATCTGAAATGCTCCAAAATCCTAAATGTTTGAGCACCAACATAACAGCACAGGCTGTAAATTCCACACCTGACTCCACATGACAGGTTGTAATCAAAACTTTGTTTCATGCACACAATTATTTAAATTATTGTATAAAATTACCTTGAGGCTATATGTATAAGATATATAAGAAAAAATCAATTTCATTTTTAGACTTGGGTTCCCATCCCCAAGCTATTTCGTTATGCATATGCAAATATTCCAAAATCCAAAAAAATTAGAAATCTGAAACACTTCTGGTCCAAAGCATGTCAGATCAGGCATACTCAACCTGTAATATAAAAGTATGACACTGGGCGTGGTGGCTCGAGCCTGTAATTCCAGCACTTTGGGAGGCTGAGATGGGTGGATCACCTGAGGTCAGGAGTTCAAGACCAGCCTGGCCAACATGTTGAAACCCCGTCTCTACTAAAAATACAAAAATTAGCCGGGCGTGGTGGTGGGCACCTGTAATCCCAGCTACTTGGGAAGCTGAGGCAGGAGAACCGCTTGAACCCAGAATACAGAGGTTGCAGTGAGCTTAGATCATGCCACTGCACTCCAACCTCCAGCCTGGGCGACAGAGTGAGACTCTGTCTCAAAAAAAAAAAGTATGTAAAATAAGAAGTAAAAATCCCTCACCCCATACCATACCCAAAGGTAACCAACCACTATAAACAGCTGGAGCTATAATCAGAACAAAAATTAACACGTATTTAACCTACCACAAACAAACGAATGCTCCCACCCCTTCAGGTCAGGTCCACATGCTCGCCCCCTCCGCACATGCTCTTCCAATACTCTAGGGCTCTTTCTTTTTGGGGTGGCTCTGACATCAGACTGCCTGCCACTTACAAGCTCTGCCACTTACCTAACCTCCCTCTGCCTCAGTTTCTTCATGCAAGTGTGGATAATAACAACGCTCTGTTGATACAGTTATTGGGAGGAGTAAATACTCTTGCACATAGGAAACTCTTAGAATGGTGCCTGGGCGAACTGAGTGCCTTCCAAATGTCAGCGCTTACCACTGTTATTGAGTAACTATCCCGTGCTGAGCAATGGGGATACCAAAGTTTGGGTACAGACCCCCTTTATTTTCTGGGAGCTGACAGTGGCACTGGGGGTCAAGGCGCCTGTGTGTGTGTGCACACACACAGCCCTGCCTACAGGCGGCTCTCCTCAGCCCTTGAAACACTCAACACGTGTTATCTCATCTGATTCTTAGGACCATCCTGAGCAGGGGCCAGTGCTGGCATCTCAGAGGCTCAGAGGGCTTAAGTGCCCAGTGTCAGGGCACACAGGTAAGAAGGGCCAGCCAGGATTCAAACCCAGGCCAGTTGGATCTATGACTCCACCAAAGAGCCACAAGAAAGCACTATCTACCCACCCAGGGTTAAGTGGAGCCTGGCCAAGCACAGTGAGAGGCGGGCCAGGAGAAAGGGCAGCGGGGGCTTTGGGAGCAGCGGGGCAGGCCGGCAGGGCCTGAGACACTGACGCTTATTATTCCCACGCACTGGCCTTGTCTCCGCAGCCAGGCCACCATGTTCTGGAGTGCTGGCCCACACCTCAGCCTCGTGGCCTACTGCCACCCTTGTCCCACATGCCGCAGAGCTGGCCACACATTCACTGGCTGGTGTCTGCTTCCTCAGCTCCTCTCATTAAAGCATCTATGACACCTGGGGAAGCAGGTCGAGGAAGAAAAGCTGCCCACTGGGCCAGAGGCAGGGCTGGGACGTAGAGTGGACTAAACACGCACAGACCTGGGTCCCAGTGTAGCCTTAGTCTCTGACTCTTTTGTAGTCTCCAGATGAGCCACCCTGCCTTTGTTAATCTCAATCACCTCATCTATAAAATGGGCAGGTCACTACCCTCTCTTGGGGCAGTTATGAGGGTTAAAGGAGGGGCCTTGGGAAGACACTCTGGACAGCAGCGAGCCGTAGTGTTGTCTGCTAGTGTGGGGGCTGACACTTGTTGAACACTGACCTGATGTGCTTTTTCTCCTTTCCAGGCAAGAATCAATATTAATTAGCCCACTTAACAGATGGCACCCAGAGAGGACAAAAACCTGCCTGGGTCATGCAGTTAGAAAGTAGTGGAGCTAGGATTTGAACCCAGGTCCCTCTAAGCCCCATGTGCTTCCACTGCAGAGGCCTCCAGGTGGGGAGGCAGTATTTGCATGGAGGCCTCATGCACCATGCCAGGTGGAGTCTCAGACCTCAGTCTAAGGCATTATCAGAGAGCTGCAGCCCTGGAGCCTTCAGGCCTGGCCTCCTCCATCTGGCCCCCTCTGGTCCTTCCAGCTCAGCTCAGGGCCTCAGGGAAGGTTTCTGAGTTTGATGATGCTATTAGAGATCCCCAGGGGTCTCTGCCCACCTGAGGACCTGGGAGCCAGTGACCCCTTGCTCCCAGGAGGGGCTGGCACCACAGCCCAGCTGGAGCCTGGCTGGGGTGGTGCCCCAGGAGAGGGGAAGGCGCCAGTTCTCGAGATGGGGAAACAATGGGGTATGTCTAAGCCTCCCTCTCTAGGCCGGGAGCAGTGACTTCGGCCTCTTCCTCCCCACCAACTAGGGTTCAGAATTATGGGGGAGGTACATCTATTCCTCCTCCACACAACACTCACCCCTCACTTCTCTGAAATGCATCGGGCCTAACACCAGATTGGGGGGTGGGGGTGGTGGAATAGGAGCTCAGGTCAGGGTTCTGGGTATTTACCCCAGCAGGGATCCCCTCGACACCCTCGCTGGCCCTGGCTACTCCAGAGCCGAGCCGACTTCCCTTCCCGCAGCCGGGCCTAGGATTCCCCTGGTTGAGGCTGAGCCTTCAGCGCCTGCCCTGAGAGACACACCTGCCTAGGTCGGTGCTGCCCAATCCAGAGAGGGGCCCGGCCACGCCAGGCCTGGCAGGTAGGCCCATCTGGCCAGGCAGGGCTCGGGGAGGGGCTCAAACATCCTCCTCCCAGCACCAACAATGTCGTTGCCCCAGGAAACTGCGACCCGCGCCCCTCCAGGCTGTTCCCAGCTCTATTCACAGGCTAAGATGCAGCCTGCCTGCCCGCTCCGGGATCGCAACCCCGACCCCAGACCCTGCCGCAGCCCGGAGGTTGGGGAGAAGGAGGCCTCCGAGCCCCCTCCTCCAATTCCAGCGCAGACCTCCCAGCCTAGGACCAGGAATGGCGGAGGGAACAGCCTCGTGAACATGCAACGGCTACCAGTCCGGACTTGAGGCTGGCGGGGCTTCTGAGGGGGGCTCTGTCCCGGGAAGAGACCCCACTCCCACGCAGCCCTTTCGTTCCCGGGTTCCCGAGGTTCTGGGGTGGGGGGCGGGCAGGGCAGCCAATGCGGATCAGTCCCCGCTGAAGGGCGAGGCGCGCGGCGGCCGGGGACTCTCACCTGAAATTGGGAGGCGAAGCGATGTGCAGCCCCAGGAACGGGGAGGCGGCGGGCGGGGACGCGGCCCCCCCTCCCAGGCCGCCGCTTTCTCGCTCCGCCATTCTCGGGCACAGCCCTGGCCATCCGGGCGGAGCGCGGCGCGGAGGAGGCGGCGGCTGCGAAGGAGGCGGAGGCGCGGCGAGAGGGCAGCCGCCGCCGCGGAGTTCGGGCTAGGCGGGCGCACCTGTGTCTGGCAGGGCGCGGCACAGCACCGCGCACGGCCCGCGGGACTGGCGAGAGCGCCCCGCGCGCGCCCCCGGGACCCGGCCGGGGTCTCGCGCGCCCCGCCCAGGCCCCGCCCCCACCCCGCCAGCCCCGCCCCCGGAGATGGCGCTCTCCGCGGTGCTGAAGCCACGGCCCCCGCGGCCCTGGGCTTGGTTCAGCCCCGCCCTAAATCCGACATCGACTCTCCTCCACCCCGTGGCCGGTGTGGGCTTTGTCCCTCCGGTTGGGCTTAGTGCCCGGGTATCAGATGACTAATGGCAGGACACTGGACCCCAAGGTCCAGGTTGGCCCCCCGCAGCAGAGACCAAGAAGGCAGGCGGAAAAGGAGGGTCGTGGAGGAAGGCAGAGAAAGGAGAGGATGTCAGTGGGCTCTTAAAGTGTACAGGTTTGGAGTCAGGTGGTGTGAATTCACTGGCTCCACAAGTGACTGGGCAGTGGGGCCTTGCATTAGTGACTTCAGAGCACTAAGGTTTGGTCTTCTTATCTGTGAAATGGGACAATAGCAGTCCCTCTCATGGTTGTTGTGAGAATGTAACGTAACACAAATGTGTTGCCTGAGACCCAGAAACACTCCACCTCCTGCGCTGGGATCCAGCCCTCACCCCAGTCCTGTCCCTTTACCTTGAGGGGACCCTCCCAAAGACTCTCCCTAGAGGCTGTCTTCTCTAAAGATTGACCCAAATCTCTCTTCAGCCCCAAACAGCTACTCGTGGTGAATTGAGCCCTCCAGGCTTCTCGGTCTCTCGCCAGGACCTTCCCAGCATTCTCCTTCTTAGCGCCTCAACTGCATTTCCTGCAGAGCACCCCTCTTCTGCACCCACAGACACACATTCTAAGACTTGGCGCCTTTCCCTCTCCTCCCACTGTTGACTTCTTGGGATCATTTTGGTTGTTTCTGTTCCCTCTGGCACCTCCATCCCTGCTAGGCTTTGGCCATGGCTTCTTCCTCATTGTCTCTCCCTCGAGAGGGTGTTATTCCTGGGCTTCCAGGCCTTCAAGTCCCTGAGTTTCCCGATTGAGTTATTTCAGAGTACGGACTGCCAAGGCTAGGGCCTTAGCTTTGCTGGGTCGTAGAGCCTCTGGTCAAACCTCATTGGCTTCTCTGGTCTCTCGAGAGAACCCTAGAGACCCTGTCCACAGGGCAGAAAACGTGCAGAGCAAACTGTGCCACAACTCGTGGAGTCCTATTTGCAAATCTGGACTGCCGACCAGTCATGCTGGCCCCTTTCCTTCAGTGCGGCACCTAGCAAGGAGCTGGAGGCACCTTCCGTGCAGAAGGCAACCTCCGACCACCAGCCCTGAGAATATCCCAATACCTAGAGCCAAAGGTCATGGCTGCTTCTCTTTTCCCTGTCCCTGGGGCCCAGAGGGGTGGCCACTACTTTCTCAGCTTTCGTGATCAGGCCCCTTTCACTGGGCCCTCACGGTAATCATCTGCTGCCATGGTGCCTGGCTTTTCCTCTCAGGAAAGCAGTCTTGCCATCATGGCTACTAATCGTTCCTTAGAATGTAGACCTGCCTCAGCTAGGGAACATCCTTAGCAGGTCAGGGGTGGATGTAAAGGACAACTCCCTCTTCCAGAACCTTTTGCTCAAGAGCAAAGTTATCTTAGCTCCAAAGACCAACCCAAAGCCATTATTAGAGAGAAGCCAGAAGGGCAAGAAGGAAAGGCAGGCCCAGGTCTTGGTATGAGGGAGGCCAGCAGGAGCTTCAGAGCAGAGCCAAGAATGAGACAAGTTCCCAAGGCAGGTTCCTCCCCTTTTCTCCTTCTTCACTCTGTGCAGGCCAGACTGTGATATTCTTGGGCCTTGCCTGGGCCCCTTCCCAGAAAGTTGGGGTGTGAGCTAATAAAGCTTTCAGTCCAAGGCTAGCATCCCCTAGCATGGAAGCAGGGCACACTGCACAGAGAGGGGCCATTCTCTGGCCAGGAGACAAAGCCAGCATCCAGGCGCCCTAGGCTTGGCTGTGGGCAGATCTCAACCACCTAGTCACAGCCAGAGAGCCTGCATCCCCTCCTCACCACAGGCTGCAGCTTAAGTGGCTGCATTGAATTAAAGGATGGATTGAGGGCGTGGAGCAGGCCCTGCACTGACTGACCCCCAGCCTGGGAGGGGGTTTAAGTGGGCTGCAAGGCTGGGTGGCACTGCAGGATGGCACTTAGGACCCTCACTCTGGGCCAGAGTGCTCTGTACTATTTTGGCCAATTGACCCCCAACTCTTGACCAAGCTCTGGACCAACTCTTGACCAAGCTGCTCCAGTCTGCTCTGGCTGCTCCCCCTTCCTAAGGAGGAATAGGAGGCTCCTGACTCCCACAGAACCAAGATGGGGTGGCCGACAGCTTCATTCAGGCTCAGGCTTACCAAAACCCTGGTTCCCAGGCCTCCCACAAGATTGACGACAGCACAAACTTACTCAAGACAGGTCAGACATTTATAAAACAAGTGAATATTCACAAACAAATTGTGGGAGAAACACACCTTCCCAGCAATAGAAAATCTCTATAAAGTGCATTTTGCCTGCAACCATCTCTTCCCCATGCTGGCCCTTGGGTCAGGATTTGAGGCACTGTTCCGAGGGAGCCCTCAGGGCCACCTGAGCTGGGAGAAGGGAGGCATGAAGCCACCATGGAGCTCCAGGCTACTGGACATACCCTCTCTACCCTGCCCTTCCCTCTTGGCTCCAGGAGTGCACTGCCTGACTCCACTGGCAGGTTGATCTGGGAACGGGCTGACATGCTAGGGATGGTGGAGAAGTAGGCGGAGGTGGTCCTGCCAACCTGTACCTTAGGGAAGAGAGCCAGCAGCAGACAGGCAGGAAAAGGAATCATCCTGCTACCCGAAGGCGCTGCTAGTGAATACTAAATCTGGGCCTCGGCCTTTGGCCTTCCCACTCTCAGATTTGCCCTTCCAGGTTTGCTTGACTCTCTTTCTGGCAGTGGCCCGATTCTCTTTCCTCTCGACTGGGGCTGAGGGAACAGGGAAGCCCCCAACCCAATGCTCTGAATGCACACCATCCCCTGTGCCCTGCTCCCCTCCCACGATGATGGGACATTTCTAGTGAAGGTGACATACGTACAACAGTTGGACTCTAAAGGCAGCTCTCTGGCTGAGAAAACCTGAGGATATCTCAGGAAGAAGCCTGTCAGTGTGATGGACAGCTACAGGAGATGGGTCTGACCCCAGGGTTCTGGTCCAAGGACAGAGGACAGTGAGGGACAGGGCTGGGGCCAAAAGAATTAACAGATCTGAGGCTAGGAAAGGTCACAGGGGAGGTAGAAAGGAAAAGGCCCAAAGGCCAGCTTAATGATACACGTGAGGACAAAAATCCAAACAGGAATCAGCCTCATAGCCACACACACACACACGTACCACACACGCACACACACACACACACTTTGTGGCTCAAGTGCAGGCCACAGGGTGGAAGGAAGACTTGCTTTAGTTGGCCACCGTCGTCCTTTTGCATGACATCTTTCTCAACACAGGCCTTTGGCAGTGGGAAGGAAGAGGTGGGAGGCACAGGCCACTCCTGGAATGCAAGGATTGGCTTCTCTGGGTCAAACCTCCCACCTACTGCTCCTGGAAGGAATGGTGTTCTGGGTGTAATCTCTACTTGGACTTTTGCCAACTGCCCCTGGCAGTCCCCATCCCTGAGTCCCTCTGCCTGAGTCCTTGGAGCTCAGCTACTGGGATAGCTGACATGGCAGTCTGGATGCTGACAAGTCCAGGACAGGCCCTGGAAGCCAACAGAATAAAGACTAGAATGGTTTCCCTGGCTGGGTGTCAGCTGTCCTCACTGGCAGCACTGTGGTGCCTTGGAGTGTGGCCAGAGAAACCAGGGGGCCTTACGCCACTGCAACCTGGTCTCCTCCTGGTAGAGTGAGTCAGTTTGACCCTTGCCCCTTCACAGCTCCTGGGTAGGCTCTGAGGCTGGCTCTTAGCTTCTGGGGAAGGAACAATGACAGCTGGGATTCTCTTTCTAATTTTAGGTTCTAAATCCTGAAAAGGTAGGTGTGCTGTCTTAGGCTCCTATTACAGTACCAGGCATACCCCACACCAGTCAGGTATCTGTGTGTACTTCTGTAGGGTGGTGGAAACTTTTTAGATCTGTCTATGGCCTCATGCTCAGTCCCAGAAGCCCAAGGAAGGGCCTGGGACTGAGCCCAGTAGCAGAGAATTTTAAAATAAGAAACAGAGGCCAGGTGGCTACGTCTGGACAGCATCCATCCACTCCGGCCTGCTCAGCCTCCAGGTCAGAAAGCAGGAACTCAGCAGGGCTCTGGCTGCCTCCAGAATCCCATGCTTTGGACAACAGCCAGAACTGCTGTGCTCCTGCTCCACAGCCTGACGTGAGGAGGGAGGGAAGGAGGTCTAGGGAGGCAGATGCCAGAATCCCAGCTAGGGTCCTACCACTACGTTCTGTTCAGACAAGGCAGCTGGCTTGCAGGAACAGGTCTCAGCTGAAAGTCACTGCCATAACCTCGAGCCTTGTGTCTGGAGGCCGGGAAACAGCACTGGCGTGCTACAGGTACTCCCCCAGCCCAGGCAACATTCAGAATCATGAGTGTCAACAGATGCATGCACACACAAACAGGCACACCACTCCCTCCTCTGCACACGCGCACACACACACACATGCTCGCTCTATCTCTGCCCGGTGATCAGCTTCTCTGCAGGTTGTACTCTGCTGCTGCGGTGGCTGCTTGGGCACCCAGGCTTTGCTCACGGAGCAAGGGCTCTGCAGCTGGAAGAGAAAAACAAGTGCAAAAGGAGCATTCAGGAGGCTGCTCAGTTGCCCAGGGACACAAGCTCCTCTGGCTGCTTCTCTGGGGACATTCAGAGCGGGACCTGAGAAGAGCTGAAAGAGTGAGCTGAAAGGGCCACGGTACCTGGGGACAGGTTGTTGCTGGGATGCCACTGGGATGAGGGAATACTGCCCCTCTGAGGTGCTGATGCAGGACAAGCTCCCCACTGCAGGCCCTCCACCCAGGGCTGCGGACAGCAGAGGAGGAGGAGGACAAGGCTATGTGAGAGTCACGTGAAGCCCTGGGGGATACTTGCTCAGATATGACAAGGGCAGCTTCTGAATCAAGGCACAGCAGCTGCTGCCAGAGATGGAGAATCAGGAAAAAATGGCTGGAAGAGAAGCCCGCTGGGACCAGTAATTTTGAAGAGTAAGGCAATGACTGAGTTTACAATCAGCAGGTGAGCACATTTCCACATATAGATGAAAGCACCCTGGCACAGTGCTGGAAGATTGTGGGGGCAGGAGGGAGAGAGGAGACACAAGGATGACTCATTTTAAAGATTTATGACATCCGGAATCTGGGGCAAAGAGAAGAAACAGCTTCATCCCTGATAATAAAGGAAGGACAGAGTGCGCCTGTCACAATGCTGAGTTGTCTGTTTAAATAGGTTTAGTGTGTCTGGGAGTCTACAGAGACACACAGCGTCCCATTAAAAGTTTGTGCAGTTTAAATGTGGGTGAGGTAGACAATAAGTAGGCTTACTAAGCCTGCCGTGGGTCAGGTACTATACACTTGTGCTGTGGCTGAATTCTGTCCCCCACAAAATTCTTATGTTGAAGTCCTAACCCCCAGTACCCCAGAAGGTGACTGTATTTGGAGACAGGGTCTTTAAAGAGGTAATTAAGTTAAAT
The DNA here is from genome assembly GCF_000001405.40 of Homo sapiens. Taxonomy (NCBI): domain Eukaryota; kingdom Metazoa; phylum Chordata; class Mammalia; order Primates; family Hominidae; genus Homo; species Homo sapiens. Next base: position 45,879,998 of record NC_000011.10, on the reverse strand, counting down.
GAGGTCATTAGTGTGGGCCCTAATCCAATATGACTGGTGTCCTTAAAGGAAGAGGAAATTTAGACCCAGACAGTACAGAGGGAAGACCATGTGAAGACATAGGGAGAAGATGGCTGTTTATAAGCCACAGAGAGGAGCCTCAGAAGAAAAGAAGCCAACCCTGGCAACATTTTGATCTTAGACTTCCAGCCTCCAGAACAGTGAGAGGACACATTTCTCTTGATTAAGCCACCCAGTCTGTGGTACTTTGTCATGGCAGCCTGAGCAGACTAACACAACTTGAGATCCCAGTAACCTTGAAGCTTGCCCTCCATTTTTGTAGATGAGAAAACAGAAACCAGAGAGGAGAAGGAACTTGCCCAGGACAACAGCATTCATAAGTGGCAGAGCCAAAAAAGGAAATCCACATCTGTCTGATTCTCAAATCTGTCTTTTTACTAGCAAGTAATCTCTATACGATAGTATTGCTCATTAAGACTTTTAGAGAAGAAGACTTTTAGAAGAAATTCAACATGGCAGCATGAAGACTAATATCCAACAGACATACATGTGAATTAAGCTGTTATTAGAAAAGGGAAAATGCTCTTAAAGTCAAAGACATTGGAGACAAGGATTCAGTATCATGCGATGCTTTTAAGGCCGCATGGTAAATCTGAAGCAGATTTTATCTGATGATAATTTATCTGGAAGCTGGGCAAAATAAAGAGCAGACATAAGAGTGGGTGCCTGTATAGGTCAGTACTGTGTGTCTTATTCTTTTTTTTTTTTTGAGACAGAGTTTCACTCTTAGTGCCCAGGCTGGAGTGCAATGGAGTGATCTTGGCTCACTGCAACTTCTGCCTCCCAGGTTCAAGCGATTCTCCTGCCTCAGCCTCCTGAGTAGCTGGGATTACAGGCATGTGCCACCACACCTGGCTAATTTTGTATTTTTAGTAGAGATGGGGTTTCTCCATGTTGGTCAGGCTGGTCTCTAACTCCTGACCTCAGGTGATCCACCCACTTCAGCCTCCCAAAGTGCTGGGATTACAGGAGTGAGCCACCGAGCCCGACTTTTTTTTTTTTTTTTTTTTTTTTTTTTAATAGATGGAGTCTTGTTCTGTTGCCCAGGCTAGAGTGCAGTGGCGCGATCTTGGCTCACTGCAACTTCTGCCTCCTGGGTTCAAGCAATTCTCCTGCCTTGGCCTCCCAAGTGGCTGGGATTACAGACACCTGCCACCACAACTAATTTTTGTACTTTTAGTAGAGATGGGGTTTCACCATGTTGCCCAGGCTGGTCTTGAACTCCTGATCTCAGGTGATCCGCCCCCCTCAGCCTCCCAAAGTGCTGGGATTACAGGCGTAAGCCACCGCACCTGGCTGTGTGTTTTATTCTTTAAAATGTGTGTTATTTTCAATAATTTTTCCCTTTAAGCTTGTACTATAATAACCTAGCCATTTTTTTGCTACAAATGTATGTATTATTAAGGTGTACATGTATTTATTGAAATGTGCTGATTCTGAGTATATACTCCACACACAGGGCTCTCTCTGGCCCCTGTTGTTAAACTAAAGAGATGGCTATTCTTCTGAAATAGAAAACTTTCAGGATTGCAGGATATACCACAAAAGGTCCTCCTTGCCCAACACCTCCATTTTTTTTGTGTGTGTTTTATCCATTTTCAGGGATGGGGGAAGATAAAGAGTGCATGAAGATTCCTTAGAATAACTGCTGTTAATCTGGGGTTCCTGGGCCTTAAGGAGCCCAAGGATAGGCTTTGGTGCAGTCCATGGAGCCTCTGGAGTGATGTGCACATTCCTCTCTGTGTGTGAACATATGCAGTTTTCTGGGTATGGGTTCCATCCTCCATCGACTTTCCAAAGTGGGGAGTAACCCAAACAGGGTTTAAGAACCAATGCCTAAGCTTAGAAGATAAGAGGGTGAGGTACAGTCAGGTGGATATAATGATAACAATTCAGACATATGTTGACTTCGGCACCAGTTAGTTTTGGGCAGGCTCATGAAGGGAGGGGGCAGTGTCCTGGACTCAGATAAGCCCTAGTCACCCAAGTCCCTCTATGATGGTTTCAAAGCTACCAATGCAGAAAACCAAGGTTTAGAAGAACCAACTTGGCCTCGCCTACAAAGCTAGCCAAAGGCCTGTTCAACTAGTTACTCGAGCTGCTTGATCAGCAGATAACTAGTTGGTGCCATGCTCTTGTCCTCAAGCTAGGGCATGCGTCTGTAGAAAAAGGGGTCTGGGGAAATCAAATGAGGTCTTGCAAAAAAATGATGATAGCAGGACTAAAGGGAAGGGAAGAACAGCCAAGGGGAGGCACCAAGGGAAAATCAACTCATAAAACATTCACTGAAAAATCAATCTCTTAGTTGTCCAACTCTTTCAACCTGTCATTGATACAAGAAACACAGTGGCGGCTAGAACAAAAAGCGTTAACGACTGTCTCCCTCTGCAACCCAATGTTAGTTAGCATGGCCTCCTGGGTACCTTTGCCCTCACATCCCTTCCCATCCATTAGATGCTATCAAGAACCCAAGTGTATAAGTCTGCCCGTCCCTATGCTCCTCGCCCTGGAGGGGTGGATGCACGTGTGCAGGCATGAGTTTATGCTGGCAGAGGGTCCACAACAGCTGATGGTTTGGAGGAAACTTTGTTTGCAGACTGTCACCGAGTCTCAATGTTTCCCTCTCCCCATCATATTGGGCAAGGCACAGTGCCCAAGAGCTTGAGAAAGGCAGAGGGTTCGCTACCTGCTTCCAAGTGAGGGTCAGGGAAGTACAGCTGGGCCTGGATGGGGGAGAGAGCTGAAGCTCTGAGCTCAATCTCATTCCTCAGGTCAACCACACCTTTACCCTTCCCACAGCATGCAGATCATGCAAGAAAGTGGAAGGGACAGCCATCAGTCAACGCCTACTTATGAAGTGCCAGGGAAAGCGCTAGGGGATATGAGTCTAAACTTCTGATTTTAAAGGCAGGAACAGAGAATCCTGCCTCTGATTTTAAAGGCAGGAACAGAGAGGTGAGACTATTTGGGTGGAGTCTCACAAGAGGCAAGTGGCAGGTCTGGGACACAGACACTAGTTTGAGTGTAATGCTGGCAGGTCTGGGATGCAGACACTAGTCTGAGTATAATGCAGGGCTCTCTGGCCAATGCCACACTGCCTTCACTTCCACTATTTAGCATTTTACCAATTGCTAGTGCCTTTCACCTTACAAGGACAGAGTATACAACTAAACTAGTGTCAAAAAGACATCAAGGAGAATCCAGAAGTCAGGTTTTACTCGATGATCTACCCAGTCAGGCTTACTGCAGAGCTAACAAAAGCCCGCGGGGGAGGGGAAGAGGTGATCCTTGGCCGGGAACCTTTTGTATTCAGTGGGGCTTCTCTCCACAGATCAGTCTGTACCAGCAGAAGGGCAAATGGAACACGTGAGCTGTTCTCCCCATGGCAAAATAATTGGACCAATGAGAGAAATCTGTACACAATTCAAGGCTAATGGAATCCGGAGCAGTCAGCAGCTTTGGGGATTATGGGGAACCATTTGAAACAATAGCTATTTGGGGGCTGGCTTGTTTTTCAGTTTAGTGAATGCTGTAAAATAAAACTTAATGCAGAACAGATAGCTGGTGTGGATCTGAGGTAAGTGTAGAACCTACTGATTGGAGGCCATGCTTTCCTACCAGATCAGTTTAAATTTTAAGTGACTGTACACCCTGTACACTGCCACAGGCCTGAGGCATTAGAAAAACAGAATCCAGAACTATAGAGCTCAGAGCTAAAGGAGACCTCAAAAGGCCCAGGATGTAGCCTTCAGGCTGATGAAGAATGACTATTCACATCTTACACCTAAAGCATGGCAGAAAGGCTATGGATCCAGCCCAAAGTCACACAATTAAAAATTACAGAGGAAATGGAGGAAAGAGGGGCAAGTCTCCCTGCCACTCCCCTCCCCCAACCCAATATAATATGATACCAATTTGGGCTACATAGCCACAGCTCTGTGGTCCATTCAGCTTAGGGTGCTGGCTCTGACTGAAGTAACACCAACATAATCAAAGACACCCAGAGAAGAAAGTGCAAGATGATAATGTGATTCCATTTGCATAGTGCATTTTACATATTCAAAGACTTTTTCGATGGGTAGGGCAGGTGACAAGATGCTATTATCACCATTTTACAGCTGAGGATGCTAAGCATCTTTAGGCCCAGGTGCCTCTGCCAGCACATGGTGAGACATGGTGTACTCTTCTTCTCTCAGGATTTCCAAAGAACACAGCTGTTCCTCCCTAGTCTGTCTTGGAGGGAAGTCTGCACCACCCCAGATCCTCTGACCTCTGCACCCCCAACCTTCACAGTCTAGCCTGGCCTAACTCCCCACTGAGCCACCAGTGGAGGGCAGAGTAAACCTCAAGAATCAGTCCTTAAAATCCCAGTAGGCTGACAATCTTCTGGACTCCAGGGCAAGAGACGGGCATTTACCTCTGCATCCTTGTCATGTCTTCCCTTGGAATCACTGTCAAGCCTCTCAGCTGACTTTCTCTCCCCAACCTGTTCCTCTGCAGGTCCCAGCCCAATGCCTAATTCATCCTCCCAAAATGCCAATTTGATCATTCCTGTTCCAAAATGTTTCTTCACTCCCAAAGAGTACATAGCAGACTCATGTGCCTGCCATTTACAACCCTCCATAATCAGACCCAACTGTAACCTTGTGTCCTCTACAATAATAACAATACCTACAATAATAACTACTGCTTACCAAGCACTCATGACCCACACACTTGAGTAAGTGTCTTGCCTATAAAGCAGTCACCATTAGCTGTCTACCAGTATCCACACTTCCTGGTTAACAGAACCTAAAATGTGTTCAGGAGGCAATGGGCTTCACCCAGAAAATGGATTATGATTGGTCTAAGTCAGTGATTCTCCAAGTATGGTCCCTGGACCAGCAACCCTTATAATACAGAACTGCAGCCTCTTCTGTGCCCCGACCTTACTTTCTTACTCAACTTTATTTTATTGTTTTCATAGCACTGATGGCCTCCTGAAATTTTTTTTTGTGAGACTGAGTCTAGCTCTGTCACCCAGGCTGGAGTGCAGTGGTACGATCTTGGCTCACTGCAACCTCTGCCTCCCGGGTTCAAGTGATTCTCCTGCCTCAGCCTCCGAAGTAGCTGGGACTACAGGCACCTGCCACCACGCCTGGCTAATTTTTGTATTTTTAGTAAAGACAGCATTTCACCATGTTGGCCAGGCTGGTCTCGAACTCCTGACCTCGTGATCCACCTGCCTCAGCCTCCCAAAGTGCTGGGATTACAAGTGTGAGCCACCACGCCCGGCTGGCCTCTTTAAATTTTAAATATTTATTTGTTTACTGTCTGTCTCCTTCCACTAATATGCACCCAAGGGGGAAGTGATATTGCCAGTCTTGTATACAACCATACCCTCAATGCCTGGAATGGTGTCTGGCAAAACATGAGCTCTTGACATGTGTACGGAAGGAGTGCAGCTGCCCTTGCTGTCCCTTCTCTTTCCTCTTTGATCAAGAATTGATGGCTGAAGCTGGGGCTGCCACCCAAGCCCAGACCAGCAACACTATCTCTGGGCCCCTTGTTAGGTAAGAAAAATAAGCCCCTATTTGTTTTAGCCACAGTAATTGAGCTATTATTAATAGACCCCCACATTTCTAGCTGACACATACACATTTAATCTTTTTTTTTTTTTAGACAGAGTTTTGCTCTTGTCACCCAGGCTGGAGTGCAATGGCACGATCTCGGCTCACTGCAACCTCTGCCTCCCGGGTTCAAGTGATTCTCTTGCCCCAGCCTCCCGAGTAGCTGGAATTACAGGCATACGTCACCATGCCAGCTAATTTTGTATTTTTAGTAGAGACGGGGTTTCTCCAAGCTGATGAGGCTGATCTCGAACCCCCAACCTCAGGTGATCCACCCACCTCGGCCTCCCAAAGTGCTGGGATTATAGGCATGAGCCACTGCGCCCGGCCCAGATTTAATCATTTAATTCTTGCAACAGCAACCTAATTTATAGGTGAGGAAACTGAGTCCCATAGCAGTTAAGTCATTTGTACAAGATCACATAAACCTTCAGCTGTTTTTCTTGTCCTAAGCGCCCTGCTCACTGCCTGAATCCAATTCACTTTTCAGGCCCCCTAGCGCAAACTTCTGTGATATGTTCCCTGATTGTTCCAGACCACACCAGCAGCCTTCTGCTAAGCTTGTATAGTCTGTATCATTTGTCCAGGAATTCTAGGTTATTGTTCCTTTTTATCTAAGCAGACTGTTCAATCCTTATGGATGGACAGCACATCACATTTTATATGTTTAATGCTCCCCCTTCTTCACCCACCTGCTGGCAACAATTTCATGTTGAATTGGACACCATTAGCTTACTGAGCAACCTTGACCCAGACATTTAACCTCTCTGTTCTTTGGTCTTCTCATCCGAAAATCAGAGTGTCAGCCTGGCAAGTTCCAAATTTGTAATACAGGATGAACTTTGCTTAGTATCACAGAGCTAAGAGATAACTGAGAGAGTAGTAGGTTGCTGGTACTCCCAGGAACAAGATAGCACACATCTGTCCATCAGCAATGTCTATGTCAAAGAGCCCAGGAAAGGTGAAGGGTGCAGGCATCAAATGCCCATCTCAGTGAGCACACAAATCCAGACACTCAAACCAGATGGCTGCGGCCTGGCCCTGAAGTAAGAGGGATCTGATAAAAAGAACCTATCAGCTCCATGGAGAAAAATCACCCTCCAATCTAATGACGAAGACATGGTGCATAAGGAACAGCTTGAGATGATGACTCAGAGGGGACAGGAATTTACATTTCCCCAAGAGTGGCATAAAAGGCCCTTCCTCCCTTGGGAAAGGAGAAGCCAGTGTTTTGATGACATTCAGGAGGCTTCCAAGATGAGCGCTGCCAGGGAGGTGCAGAGCTGAGGCCACAGGATGGGTGAGAAGGGAGGAGAGGCCGCAAAAGGCAAAGATGATGACAGACTGGGTCTACTGGTCCTCAGGCAGGGCTGGGCCAAGTAAGACACAGCACAGCCCTCTGTCCAGGCTTCTCAAGGTCAGTGCTGCCCTCCACTGGCTGGCCTATAGAACACAGCCTGTCGGAAAGCAGGGGGCCTGGAGCAGCCTCAGACCCTGCAATGCGCCTTTTCCCCGCTGCTTCACACGCAGGTCTCAGCTTTCTTTCTCTTGAGTGTGACTCATTTTAATAGGTAGAAAGCGCCACCCCTCAGCCCCCATGCCTCCCTTTTTCCCTTAGCTGGCAAAAAAATACAAAAGGGCTTGACTTTTAAATCTCTGATAAAAGTCAGAATGGTGGGATTTTTGAGCTGAAATCCTAAAAGTCATGCAGTCCCACCAGATTATTATTATTATTATTATTATGTTTTTAGAGATGGAGTCTCACTATGTTGGTTTGGCCAGGTTGGTCTTGTACTCCTGGCCTCAAGCGATCCTCCCACCTTGGCCTCCCAAAGTGCTGGGATTACATACATGAGCCACCATAGCCGGCCCAATGGTAAAGGTCACACAGATATCAACCAGAAAGTACTCATTCCCTAAGCCAGGATGGAACCCGGCTGCCACTGTAAAATGGTAAAGCTTTAGTGGCTGAGCATTGGGTGGTCCCACCAGATTTTCATCTAGTTTGCTATGTTTCAACCTGCAGCTGGCAGGGCAGTAGGCCCCCCCACTCCCAACTTCCTTCCTGAGGTTGAATCTAGGCTGCTGTCACTCACTCTCAGGCATCCTTGCTCGGCAGCTCTGGGGTTGGCAACTCTGCCACCCGGGCCCGTTTGCTGAGTTCTTCACCAGGTGGTTCCTCGGCTGCTTCCAGCTTGCGTTTGGGGGATGCTGGGCCACTGGGTAGTGGTCTTGGGCCTGTAGGGAAGCGTGTCAAAGGGTCACACAGACTGTGCATGCAGCCAAAATGATCCCACACTATGCAGCAGCAGCTCTTTAGGGGACAGGGAGCACACTTATCAATGGAATGCCAGCATGCTGCTCCTCAGACCTGCCCCTCGGCCTTGCTTTCAGCAGTGACTTTGCCTGGAAATGTCCAAGGAGGACATGACCAAGCAGGCCTGCTGGTAGCAGGACCAGCTTTTGGGCCCCAAATGGCATGGGCTGTGGCCAGAGACTGATTTGGCCTGCCTGCTGTCCTGCTTTGAAGGTGAGGCATTCCCTCTGCAACCCTGAATCAGCCTCCCCAAGCAGCAAAGAGCAGGGCCCCTGTGGAGGAGTCATGCTGCCCATGGAGGCAGCCTAGCTGGGCCAACTAGAAAAACCCGTGTTCTTCCCATCTCATGTTACTCATCTTCATCCCCAAGAAGGGAAGAGGCTCCGAATGCAGCGAATCTGTCCAGTCTTTCTCCTTGCGGCCACCACCCTGTCTGTGCTGCCTCCTCTCTGGCCTCCCTGTGCCCGCTCCGGCCTACACTGTCCAATCTCCACCCAGCAGGCCAGGGAGCTTTTTCAGACCTAAGTCCAATCATGCCCTGCCCTACTGACCATCCTTCAGTGCACTGAAGGCTGAATCCTAGTCCTCGTCTCGGACATCAGGCCTGCCACATGCTGCTCATGCTGTATCTTGTCCTCATCTCATTCCAGCTCCTCACTGGGACATGCCGCTACACTGACCTCCCTTCGGTTCCTTGAATGGACTAAGCTCGGTACTGTTTGTGAGCTTTTTCTTGCTACTCCCTTTGTCTGGAATGTTATTTTCTCAGTGTGTGGCAGGGCTGGCTCCTGCTCATGACGTGGGTCTCTGCTTAACAGAGGTGTTCCCTGACTGCTCCAATCTCAAGTGACACAGAAGAAATCCTTCTTTCCCAGTCCCTCTGTCAAGATACTCAACTTTCTTTTCCTCCAAAGCACTTGTTATCTGAAATGATCCAACTTGGTTTCTTTACTATCTGACTGCCCCAGGTGGAATATAAGCTCCACTGGGCAAGGCCTCCTTCTGGCCTCAGTCCTGAATGACTGAAGTGGTGGCACAGGCCACAGGAGGCCACAGGAGGTTGGTTGCTGCTGCTCACCTGCACTGCTCATGCTGCCAGCCTGGCTCGAGCTGGGCTCTGCCACAGGGTGACTGAGGTCTTCCACACAGGAAGGGACAGATGCCAGTAGACCTGGGAGAGAGGCGAGGAGTAATCAGAGTGCCGTCTCGCAGGATTGCAGAGGGCTACAGGGCAGGATGAAGCAAGTGGGGGTGGGGAGGGTAGGAGCAAGACACTGAGGTTCCATTTCCTCCCACAGCCCCACAACTACTCAGGAAGGCCCAGTTCATCCCAGCCTGCAGTGTCCCATACCCAGCGAAGGTGTCAACCTGAAAGACAGCACTCAGTCTCCCTTTGCAAGTATCTGGACATCCCCATCTGGCCCCCTGAGCCTGTAGGTGCTGTCCTTCCCTTCAGTGAGCTAGGTGTTTGTCTCCTTACAGAGTCCCCGGTAGCGCGAAAGCTGCTGGTAAATCTGCTTCATTCGTTCAATGTTAAGCCGGCTGGTCTCGGCATGGTTGACGATGGGCCGTGGGTAGTCCACACCAATGATGCACTTGGCTGCCTTCTGAATTGACTCTGGGGCATTCCAGGGCTCATAGATGTATCGAGAGGGGAACGCTTTCAATTTGGGCAGGTATCGCCTGAAATAAGATACACCAGATGACCCATCAGCATACCCAGACCCTCCTTCAAAAGGCCCAGGGTATCCCATCCTAGTAGGAGGCCACAGTGGTCAGAGGCCAGAGAGCCTGGTCTGTATCCTCACCTGATGTAGTCCCCACTGGGGTCCGTGCGACGGCCAAAGCCCACAGGGCAGTAGCAGTGGAAGAACTGCTGGAAGAAAGCACTGCAGGACAGCCACATCCAGCTGCCTGCGTTCACGCTGAAATCTGCATCCAGGAGCAGCTCATCAAATACCTAGATAGGGGAGGGGATGATCAGCCTCCTTGGGGACATGCAGCCATGTTTTTTCCCAAGTCACCACAGTGCCCCCAGGAGCCAAAACCCTTCCATTGAAGGCAAGCCACAGAGGATCTGGAGGGGATCTCCTGGACCCAGAAATCCCACCTCATCCCTCAGCCCAGAAGGGGGCTGCCCTTTGACGGGCCTGACCAGAGGGTACAGGCCAGCTTTTCGTTGAGAGAGCACTCACCCGGACCCCGCTCTCCCAGCTGACCCAGAGGTCCCCGCGGGTCAGGAAGCAGGCCACGGCATGCCGGGCCAGGTGGTGGATCCAGCCCTCCTGCCTCAGTTGGGTCATGATGGCATCAATCCAAGGGAAGCCTGTCTTGCCCTCAGCCCACTTGGCCAGGGCCTCAGGATTGCGGTCCCAGGGGATCTGGATGCAGATGGGGTTCCCCTCCATGCGGTCAAACCTGGGGTTGTTGGTAGCTGCCGTGTAGAAGAACTCTCGCCATAGGAGTTGCCCAAATAGGGAGAGGGGAGGTGTGCTGTTCCGCTTCACCTGAGAGGTAGGGGTGGCACATGGATACAAACACTCGCCCAGCTCTTAGCATGGTGCCTCTCAGGTCTCTTCTACAAAGGAATCTGGGCCCTCCAAAGACCTAGTGGCTCAGCTGCCAGATGTGGAGGGACTATCCCCTAGAAGTGGCACAGCATGCCTGCATGTGAAACACCCAGGCCCTGCCTGCACTGTGCCACTGCTCTGAGCAAGAAGAAAGCTACAGAGGGCCAGGCAGTGGGAAGGGGCCTCACCACAGGACTCTGCACTAGGATTCAAACTTCCCAAGACTGGTCATGTTCCTTGTCCTCAAGAGTTCCCTGTTTGGCTCCACCTTCTAGAAAGTCAAAAGGAATTTTCCTATCAGCACACATGAAAAATGCTCAGTCTAGATTTTGGTTGAATAAATTATACACACAGCCTGGATCTGGGGCCATAAGGTAATTAAGAAATCAGACCTCCAAGCAAATAATGACTTCCCTAAAGTCACAAGATTACTCACCAAACTGGCAAAGCTATCCCATGCCACAAAATCTCAATAATGGCAAGGATGAGGAGATAACATTTAAAAACCTAGATACAGCCAGGTGTGGTGGCTAGCATCTGTCACTTTGAGAGGCTGAGGTGGGTGGATGGCCTGAGCCCAGGAGTTTGAGATCAGCCTGGGCAACATGGAAAAACCCAGTTTCTACAAAAAAATACAAAAAATTAGCCAGGTGTGGTGGCATGCACCTATAGTCCCAACTGCTGGGGAGGCTGAGATAGGAGGATCACCTGAGCCTGAAAGGTTGTGGCTGCAGTGAGCTGTGATCATACCACTGTACTCCAGCCTGGGTGACAGAATGAGATCCTGTCTCAAAAACAAACAAAAAAACAAATGTAGACACAACGGCTAGGCATGGTGGCTCACGGCTGTAATCCCAGCACTGTGGGAGGCCAAGGCAGGACAATTGCTTGTGCCCAGGAGTTCGAGACCAGCCTGGGCAACATAGCAAGACCCTATCTCTACAAAGAATGTAAAAAATTAGCTCTACTTGAGAGGCTGAGGCAGAGGGATTGCTTGAGCCCAGGAGTCTGAGGTTTCAGTGAGCTGTGATCAGGCCACACTACACTCTAGCCTGGGTAACACAGCTAGACTTTGTCTCTTAAATAAACAACAGAAACAAAAAACATAGGCACAAGATGAGGTGATCCCTCTGAATGCTGACTGTGTTGCCCTCTCTCCTTCTGGGGACAGTTAACACAGGCTTATTTGCTTCTTGTCTGTATAGCACAGCCCTGTGTGCAGCCCCTCCACACCACTCCCTCCATCACTGATGGGCAACTGCTGTTCCTGGACTCCCCTTTTGAATGCTGTGGACACAGCTCCAGAGCGGGCAGCTATGCTCTTCCACTTCAGACTGGCTCCAGCCTCACCCTCTCCATGCCTCTCACCCTGGGGACCTCGCCCCTGTCCACCAGCTGCCAGAGGATATGCCACCTCTAGGGTCACACCTGAGGCCTGCTTTTCTGCCTGTCCTTCTGCTCTACATGATGGTCTGGGCTTCATTCTGGTGGGCAGTTCACTCTGTGCTTGGCTCTGCCCTCTTGGATATTGAGTCTTCTCTCCTCCTCCGGACTATCTGCACACACTTAGGCCCTTCCAGGGGCCATAGCCCAACCCCCACCCACCAGTGCCTTTTTTAGGGTGACTGACAAGCCCAAAAGGCCTGGCTGCAGGCCTTAGGTGCAATGTGGGCAGGTATGTCCCCCTTACCTTTTTATACAGGTCCCACAGGCGGTAGTAGAAGAGGCGGCAGGAGAGACAACCAAAGCGCAGGTAGGGGCTGAGGCCTGTGGGGCTGGCCAGGAGGGAGTTGGCGTTCATTCGGGGTCTCTCATAGTTGGCAACCCAGGCCTACAGCAGAAAGAGAAGGTGGCAAAAGGAAAGGCTTGGATGTAACAGAGGAAAAAATGGAGGCATTGGGTGGTTAAGGAATCTGCCTACGGTCACAGAACAGCCAGCCATGGAGCCATGGAACACTGTGCTTGTCCAGCCGATTTTGAGACGGAACCACCATCAGACCAAACAACGAGTCTATGTCATTCTCTGACTTGCTCTTTAATTTGTGGGGTGACTGTGAACACGTTGTTACTTCCCTCAGCTACGTATCTATTAAATAAGAACAAAATTTCCAATCTTCTGTGGATTAAAATGAGATATGAAAGAATTCTGAAAGCACTGAATGAACTCTCTAATTATACAGCAGGAAACAAGGCTTCTATGTTACAGAAAAGAATATCTCAGTCCCTTCTCTAGTCACTAGCGGCCCTGAGGTTGTATCACAGACACCAGGGACTTCGCATTATTGTTCAACAGCAGCTGGGGAAGGAGGAAACTTCCAATCCATTCCTGGGGACCAATGGAATCATTCATTTCTGGGGCCATGTGTCATATAACATTACTGGTCATGTTTTTATCATCACTGGTTGCTGGCATAGGACTTTACTTTCCTGACTTGCTGTTCCATGCAGTCTCTCACGACTTTTTTTATTTATTTTTTTTTCTTTTTTGAGACAGAGTTTTGCTCTTGTCACCCAGGCTGGAGTGCAGTGGCGTGATCTCGGCTCACCGCAACCTCCACCTCCCGGGTTCAAGGGATTCTCCTGATCGCCCACCTTGGCCTCCCAAAGTGCTGGGATTATAGGTGTGAGCCACTGTGCCCGGCCTATTTCCACTTTCTTAACTCCCAACATCCTCTCCTCCTCTCCATGATACTGTTTCACAACCTTGACTCTCTTCAGCCTCCTGAGTAGCTGGGATTATAGGCACCTGCCACCACACCTGGCTAATTTTTGTATTTTTAGTAGACATGGGGTTTCGCCATGTTGGCCAGGCTGGTCTCTAACTCCAAACCTCAGGTGACCACAAGGCTGGTTCCCACAAGAGTCTCCTGTGACTTCTGTGCCACTGAGTCCTGCAGGCACTTTCTGACCTTGTATTTTGGGATCTCTCAGCAGCGCTATACCTGCCAACTGTGCTGTCTTATCCTCTTGATTCCTTGGCCTCTGTGACTCCACATCTCCTGGTATCTCCCAGCTGCCTGGCGCTCTTGGTCTTTCATCAGCTCCACCTCCTCTGCCTCTCCCTTAAATGTGGGTACCCAGGGCTCAGCTCTAGGTTCTCTACTCAACTGTGTGCCTCAGCAAGCTCATCCAGGCCCATGGCTCCCAGTTCCACCCCTTTGCAGACAACCACCACATCCATAGCTCTAGCCCAGATTGCTCCACCCAGCTGCCTGCTAGAAACCTCTACTTGGCTGCCTCTCAGGCAGCTCAAGGGAGATGTGCCCTTTTCTTTTAACCCACCCTTCCATTGGCCTCCCTACCTCAGATAATACACTGCTAGCTACCTAGCTGCCCAAGGCACAATCCTAGCCATCACCTTTGTCCCCTCACCAAGTCCTGTCAATTCTACTGCCTAAATATTTCCCAAATCTGTCCTTTTCTTTCCATTCCCTGCTGCCACCAACCTGGTTCAGGCTAAGGTCATATCTAGACTGGACAACTGTGGCAGCCTCCTGACTGGCCTCCCTGCGTCCACTCCCATCCCCCGCTAACTCATTCTCCACGCTGGGACCAGAGTAATGTAATGCCTGTTGCTCGGGATAATGTACACAGTGGGCTTCCTGTTGCTCTGAGGACAGAGCCCAAATCTTCATGAAAGCTTCTGTGGCTCCCCAGCACCCAGGCCTTTCCAGCTCTGTCTCTTGCCCCTTTTTTTTGAGACAGGGTCAGGGTGGAGTGCAGTGGTGTGATCTCGGCTCACTGTACCCTCCGCCTCCTGCTGCCCCTCTTCTTTACGCATCTGCTCTCACTGGCCTTTGCCTCTGCACAAGCAGCTGCCTCTGGACCACTGTCTTCCTTTCCCTCACCTTCACCTGGTTAACTGAGACTCTTCCTTCAAGTCGCAACCTCAAGGCTTCCTCCTCTGCAGGTAACCCCTGTGGTATCAGGTTAAGCACTTCTAACAGATACTAGGTATTTTTGCGTGTACACACCCTTGCTAGCCCCCAGCTTTTAAAATATTTTTATTTTAAATGAAACTTGGATACAGAAAATCACACACATGTGTGACTTAATGAATTATTCTAAGGCAAACATCCACGCAATAGCCACCAAGGTTTGGGAAACAGAGCTTTGACAGCCACCCCAAGAGTCTATGTGCTCATCCCAGGAATAGTTCCCTCCTGCCCCCCAGTATATGCAACCCCTACCTCAGCTTTTATAATAAACACGTTCTGCATTTCTGAAATGTTTACATTTTTCTATTTTGGCAAAACGTTTGAAAGGAAGGACTTTATCTTTTCACAGTTATTCTTTGTGTTTAAGTAGCTTTTTTTTTTTTACCCAAATGTGCATTCCTAGGTATTACAATTTAGTCTTGGCCATTTAAAAAACTTTATTTCTGCCCGGGTGTGGTGGCTCATGCCTGTAATTCCAGCACTTTGGGAGGCTGAGGCAGGAGGATCACTTGCGGTCAGGAGTTTGAGACCAGTCAGGCCAACAGGGTGAAACCCTGTCTCTACTAAAAGGACAACAATTAGCCAGGCATGATTGTGGGAGCCTGTAATCCCAGCTACTCAGTTTTCTTTTTTTTTTGAGACAGAGTCTCATTCTGTCAACCAGGCTGGAGTGCAGTGGCATGATCTCGTCTCACTGCAACCTCCGCCTCCCAGGTTCAAGCGATTCTCGTGCCTCAACCTCCCAAGTAGCTGGGATTACAGGCACTCGCCACCATGCCTAACTAGTTTTTGTATTTTTAGTAGAGATGAGGTTTCACTATGTTGGCCAGGCTGGTCTCGAACTCCTGACTTCAAGTGCTCCACCTGCCTCGGCCTCCCAAAGTGCTGGGATTCTTTTTCTTTTATTTCTGAGACCCCACTCTCTGTCACCCAGGCAGGAGTGCAGTGGCATGACTTCCTGGGCTTAAGTGATTCTCCCACCTCAGCCTCCCAAGTAGTTGGCACTACAGGCACATGCTGCCACACCCGGCTAATTTGTTTTTATTTAGAGATGAGGGCTTGTCATGTTGCCCAGGCTGGTTTTGAACTCCTAGGTTCAAGAGATCCTCCTGCCTTGGCCTCCCAAAGTGCTAAGATTACAGGTGTGAGTCACTGTGCCTGGCCTTAAAAAAAACTTTAATATGTTATTTAATTTTCTTTTAATCTGCACATTTTATGCCATTTTTTTCTTTTCCTTTCCATTGTTCTGGGAAAGAATCCAGGCCATCTGACTTGCCAAGATTCCCACAGTCTGGATTTTGCTGACTGTATACTCATGGTGCAGTTCAACAAGTGCTGTGTCCTGTGTATCACCTGCACATTGGTGGCTAGTACCAGAAACTGGACTGGACTCAGGTTTGATCCCTTTGACAAGACTACAGGGGGCACATAATGCTTGCCTCCTTCTATGGTGTCAGCAGTCACCAATACATAATGCATCATTATTGAGGGTTACAAAATGGTGGTATTCAAATTCCACCATTCCTTTTTAATTTAATAATCAGAATACTTTTATAGAGAGATGCTTGCCCTCATCTACTATTGAGTAACCCAGTGGTAAAGATCATGTAGCTTCCTCTGCTTTTCAGTAACAGCATCTCATATTCCTGTGGAGAATCAGCCTTCCCTGATCCTAGTCCGAGTGGATAAAGCAGAGCTAAACCTACCTTCCAGTTCTGGGAGCGGACTCATGATGCAAGTCTGGCCAGGGAAAGCACCACCTCCTATACCTGGCCACAGTCATTGAGTCAGGGACAGTCACATGACCCAAACCAGGACAATGAAAACATGCCTTGGGACTTTTCCTGGTGCTTTCGGAAAAGAGGCACATACCTTCTTCTATCTAGTATTGCTAAACTGGCATGAGTAGGTGCTCCCTTCAGATTTGGAGAACTGAAGGAAGCTAAAATAAACATCCTGAAATCAGGTTCAACTCCTGTATCTCTAGCACCATTTGTTCTCCCAGATGTGCAGGACACAGTATTTCCTCTGGGCACCACTGAGTCTGAATATGTCCATGGCGTAAGGGCCCTTGAGAGAAGGGGCCCGCTCTCTGGGGGTATGTGGAAAAGGAGCTCCTGTCGGTGACCTAAGGGACATCCTTCTACAAAATGTTCTCCAGCTGATAAAAACTAACCATAGATGATAGCTCTTTACAGGTTTAAGCCTTACTCTACTCCTGCAATCCCATTTGTCATCTCCACCCTTCTGCCCCTTGGCCCAACCTTTGTCTTCAAACTGGGCCCAAGAATCTCTAGGTGAACCTTTTGATGTGGACAGAGATAGCTAGTCTCATCCTTTAAGTCTGTGGGGCTTGCTTTCGTCCCAGGCTGAAGGAAACAACCAGGTAGAAACATCGAGGCTGTGGGCCTTCACTGTTGACTGGACACCTCCAGGGCTGGAGAACATTCTTCCCAAGTAGATTTGCCTTGGCCTCCTTGTTCTATTATCGTCATCATCTGGCTGCTAGGCAAAATACCTAGCCATCTTAGCAGGCATAGAAAAAGCTGACATTTTATAAACCAGCTGCAGGGGGCAGGAAACTAGGAGCTGACTGTTCTCGGACATGAGAACTTTCTCTGCTCCTCTAGCTGCAGGGGAGTGAGGACTTTGTGACACTGTGCCTCTGAGGCCTGGGCTTCTTTCCTCCCCAGTTCTCACTGCACTGGGAGGTGGGCCATTTGCTCTGTGTCCAAGCATATGGAAATCAACACGCTGAAAGAGTTCCAGCAAAAAGGTGCGGAGACACATCAACACAAAATAATCTTATAGATTTTACTAACCAGATATCCTCTTAGTAGGGGGAACCTGCCCACAGATGAAAGAAAAGCAATCCGACATAGCTTTAGAATAACATAGAACAAGGTCTTACTGTGTTATAAGGTGAGCATTCCTAATTCAAGAATCTAAAATCTGAAACACTTTTGGTCCCAAGCACTTTGGATAAGGGATACTCAACCTGTAATTACTAACTTTGTGACCTCAGGCAAGTTACTTAACCTCTCTAAGCCTCAATTTTGTAATCTGTAGAATGAACAGCTTAGTACCTACCTTGCAGGCTATTGGAAAGATTAAAAGAAATGCCAGCAGGTGCTTAACCCAGAAATGCTGAGCCTAGTGACCAGCACATGGTAAGTACTCTCTAAATGGTAGTTGCTGTTAGTGTTGCTGTTGTTATGGCCATCAGGAGGATAGGAGGATTTTTCATTTTCCAAACAATGTGAGCTAAGAGGGACTAAAGGACATGGACATGACCTGTATCTCCTGCTGTGTGGATATCAGTATCTGCAGCTCTGTGTCTCAGAAACGGCCCATACCTTCCGTTCCAAGTGCTTATCCAGGCGGGCCAGAGCTTCTGTCTCTCCTCCCTGCCAGACAGCTGGACCAAGTCCTTCAGTGGGGAACCCTGAAGAGAAGGAAAGGTCACAAGACAGGAGGTTTGACCATTTCAGTGATAGCCCGGCACGGCTGTTCTGTTATTTGAACTTTATGAGAATTGAACCACAGTGTCTCGGTGCTACTGGGGGTTAGATAATCCTTAAAGTTTTAGCGTTTTCTAGGTCAACTTGGTTCTCTTCCCACAGTCACTATTTTCTCTGCTTTCCCCTGCACCCTCATCGCTCCAGGTAGATGACAACAATCCCGGACCTCCTGCCTTTTCAGATTAGCTGGCAACAACTGTGGTTTTCAGGTGAAAAAGGCTAATAGCTTTGTTCAGATCAAAAGACTGGAGGTGTGGCTCACGTCTGTAATCCCAGCACTTTGGGAGGCCGATGTGGGTGGATCACTCGAGGTCACCAGTTCAAGACCAGCCTGGCCAACATGGTGAAACCCCGTCTCTACTAAAAATACAAATATTAGCTGGGCGTGATGGCAGGCGCCTGTAGTCCCAGCTACTCAGGAGGCTGGGGCAGCAGAATTGCTTGAACCCGGGAGGTGGAGGTTGCAGTGAGCCAAGACTGTGCCACTGCACTCCAGACTGGGCAACAGAGCCAGACTCCGTCTAAAAAAGAAAAAAAAAAGGTAAGAAAGAGGGAGGGGTGAAAGAGTGTAGTTAGTAATCTGAGAGGCTGACAGATTCCCTGCTTTCAACAGAAGCAATACTAGCTATCTTGTTACTGAGAAGCCCATGGACACCAGCACCAGGCAGTGCCTGTATTGTCTGCGAGAGGTTAGTACAAAAATAGAGGCATGATCTAGAACCAGAAACAGAAGATTACATGTATGAGTATGAACAGAACAAATACTAGAAGGACACAGTTTAAAATTAATTGTGGTTACCTCTGGGTGGTGGAGTAATAGTGACTGCCATTTCCATTTTTGTTTTCCTGTGCTTTCTAACCTTTCTATAATGACATGCATTACTTTCACAAAGAATTTCTTTACACAAAAGCAGGCACCAGCACAAGTGGCTCTGGGCAGGAAGTACGCACCCAGCTCCTCCAGGGAGGGCACGCCGTAGGTCTCGTCGTGGTTCTCCTGGATCTCGGCCCTGCAGCTCTCCATCTGCTGGCTGGTCACCAAGCCCACTGGCTTCTTGGGCAGCTCCATGCGGCTGATGATGGCCTGAAAGCGCTTGTATGTAAGGGGTGGCTTCTGCCCATTCAGCTCAATGATCCTGGGGAGCCCAAAGCATAGCTAGTGTTACCCACATGGCCCTGTGATGTGGGTCCCTGCCCACCCAAAAAAGAACCCAGACTCTGAAGGCTTTGAGGGTGGCTTTCCTCATCCACTCACAGGTCCCATGCCTGAGTGGAAAGGAGGGGGCAAGGGAGGCCGCATCTCCATTTTACCGAGAGGGAAAATAAAGCCCAGAGAGCTGAAGCAGGTGCCTCAGTAATGGAGCAAGGCAGGGCCAGAGCTGGGACTCAATTCCGGGCTCCCTGGTGTTGACGCAGAGCCGCCTAAAGACAGAGACTGACAAAATCTCTAATCACAGAAAAATCCCTACTAGCCTGCTTGGCACTTGGCCTATCTGTCCAAGCTAAGGGAATCCCCATAGGCCTCTACCACCCATGTAAGCCCTGGAGAAAGTTCTTTGATAAGAGCTGAAGACATGTTTTTTTTTTTTTTTTTTTTAACTCTAACATCATAAGGAATAGCAGACATGTTCCTTTCTTGGAAAATCATCCCCTTCTTAGCCTCCATTTATTAGAACATTGAACAGAGAGGTGGAAGACAGCTTATCCTCCCAAATTCAGAGACTGGAGCTAGAGTTCATAGCCACAACTGATACTTAAAGAGAGTCTTGTAGTTTACAAAGTATTTTTCATGACCAGGGAAAACATAACTGCACTCATGCAAGAAGGAAGGAGTATCAGAGGGCGAAGAAGAGAACGGAGGCTGTTTATATAAGGATGAATTGGGATGGTATGGAGCCACATTCCCGGGGCTCTTCTTGGCCAAGAAGTAGCTTACGCAAGGCCCATCTGGCTGGGTGAGTTCATTTCTCAGTTTGCTCTCCCCACGTTAGTGGAGATATATGGTCGGCTGCTGCCTCTGCTATGCCTCCCTCTCCTCTGGCACGCAGCAGGAGGAGGATCTCCACACCCAGCCTCTCCTCCTGAGGGCCCGGCTCACGTGCACAGCTGTGTGACCTGGCTTCTTGGCAGCCAGCACTGGGTTGGGAAGTGGGGGTGGGGAGCGGCGGCGGCTGCTGGCTTGGCAGCAGCAGCAACAGCAGCAGCAGCAGCAGGAGGGTGACAGCTCTGGCATGGCAGGGAAGGGGAGGAGAGGATTTCCTCCTAGAATCTCTGAAAGCACAGAGGCTGTCACCAGGGGAGGAGGCTCCTCTGTAGTTAGCAGCTCCCTGCAGGGATCTCTAGAGCCCTCCCCGCCACCAAGCAACATGGCCTGGAAACCCAGATAGTCATAGAACCTGGGAACTCTTTTTTTTTTTTTTTTGACACAGGATCTTGCTCTGTCACCCAGGCTGGAGTGACGTGGCATGATCACAGCTCATGGCAGCCTCAAGCCCCTGGGCTCAAGTGATCCTCCAACCTCAGCCTCTTCAGTAATTGGGACTACAGGCATGTCCCACCATGCATGGCTAATATATTTATTTTTAGTAGAGACGGGGGTCTCACTATGTTGCCCAGGCTGATCTTGAACTCATGGACTCATGTGATCCTCTCAAAGTGCTGGGATTACAGGCATGAGCCAGCATGCCCAGCCTAGGAACTCATCTTAGGTACAAAAACTGGACCTGTGTGAACAGAGGTCTGTTGGAGGGGTAACAGACAGGGTCCACTGAGGTCAGAGGGCAGCTGTTGAGCAGGATGGAAGTGGGAATATGAGGCACAGGTGGGACTCGGGCATACTAGGAGCAGATTTGTAAATACCCTGAGTGTGGGTCCTCACTGCTTCCATGCTTTGGGCCTAACAAGCCTCTCTGCCACCTCAATGGGGTAAAGCTCTTTGTGACCTGTTCTACAGGTCCTGACTCTGGCCTATTCTCCTCCAGCTTCTAGAAGATGCCATGCCTCCTGGGTCAGGTAGCCCTAATGCTGAACCTCTCTGAGTTCCGCTCAGCAGGGGCCCAAATTACTAACTCTCACAATTGGTAACCTGATCCCTGGGCCCCATCTCTTACCTGTCCAGGTCATAGAGGGTATGAGAATTCTCCGTCACTACTTCCACACCAGCCTCCTTGGCCATCTTCATGATGGCTGCATCCCGTTCTTTCCCAAAGGGTTCAGAGTCATATTCAAAGGTCAAGCGGGTCACTCCCCATTCCTGTGGGGAGAGGATCTGTTATGCTCAACACTGTGTTTGGGGAGGAGGGGGAAGCTGGACTCTCAGTTCCTTCCTGGGAGAGAACAGAGCTAGTCTAGAGACCTATCTGATGGGCAGCAGAAAAAACTAGGAACAGGGATTTGATCTGGAAAGCAAACAAGCTGAGGTTCAGAAAGTTTGAGGAGGGCAGGCAGTGTGGCGAAGCCAACAGCACAGCAACAGTGGAGTTGGGAGAGAGGTAGGCAGCCTTGTGCACTTGCTGTGTCCTTGAGGTAGGAGAATGCAGCAGGAGGCCATAAATACAACGCTCCTGGGAAACCCCCAGTCCCAGAGAGTGGCACTGACTCACAGGTGGGACAGGACCACAGCCTTCTGCCTGCTCAGCAAGCTTTTCCCAGAGCTCCTCACAGCCCTGCAGACTTGTGGCCTAGTTTTCTTGGCAGAGTTGTGCTATGTGAAGTGTCTTAATTGTTTCCACAGCAACACTCCTGAGGCCAATAGCAAACAGAGCTAATAGGTTCCAGCCCTGAGAGAGTCAGGAAAGGGGAAGCGATCCTTAGTCTGGAGGTCAGAGGAAACTGACCAGAGGGGCTACATGTTGAAAAGGAGGAAGTTCTTTCCTAAGCCTTTAGTCATTTCTGGTAGGAATTTCTAGATCTCATAGCAAGCTGGCCCAGTGAATGGTTGTACAGTCAACCCACAGAAAGCCCTAGAGCATGCAACTTGCAAGAAGAAAAACACATTCTCCAAAGTCTCTGGTCATAGTCTCTGAAAGCTCTGAACCACAGGGGCAAATGTCCTAGCCATGCACAGGCTGGTCTGGTCCTGACTCAGCCCTGCCCGGGGACTGGGTCCTTAGCAGGGCCAGTTATCCCTCATTCGAGGATATCAGCATTAAACATTGATTGAGCCCTTGCTATATGCCAGGTACCATGCTTATAGTTCATATAGGTTACATCACTGAATACTCATTGTAACCTGTGAATAACAATATTATTAAATTACATTTTCTCCAAGAAGCCTTCTTGACCTCCTCCTTCAATATAATTCTTCTGCACCTTGTCTTTTTTCCACTGCAGCATGTATTATATGACAATGATACACTTGCCTGTTTCCCCTATTAGTGTGAACTCTCAGAGCAGAAACCATGTTGTCTCACTCATCATCATTACCCTTATACCTAGTATGGGGCCTAGTACCTAGCAGAAGCTCAATAAAAATACATTACATGACTGAATGGATGACCTAGCTATATCTCTGGGATATAAGTGGGTTGGCCTCTGAGTTGCTGGGGGAGAAAAAGGGCAATGTCGAGGGGAGAAGGGAGGCAAATGTATTTATATGGTATGGTGGGTAAGGATACAGCTCTAGAGTCAGAATCCAAGATCGTCACTTATTAACTTCACAACCAATGACTGTTTCCTCTCCTGTAAATCGGGATAGCAGTAGCCACCTCTTAGGCCTGCTGTGAGGAAGAACTCAGTTGATGTAAACAAGCACTGGGAACAGCGCTTGACTCATAGGCAGCCCTCAATGAATGTGGGCAATTACTAGCACTGTGTGATTTGTACATGTATGCACAATTATGTGTGGGGTTACGGGGAGGGGAATTGAAGGATGATGTATTCACTAAGCTGTTTGCCTTGACATGACTTTTCCTTTTGTCTCGGAGTTAGGGTGGGGAGGGGCATGACAATCATTGTGTGCTGCTGAGGGTGATGGCAGTCTGTCCCACAGCCCTCTGTCCATGAGTTCCTGTGCTTCTATGTGGGCCTTAGAATATACTTTTTAAAGGGATTGAGGGAAAAGTGGACTGGCCCCGTTACTGCAAACAGAAACCTATGTGGCACCAAAATGAAGATTTCTATCAATCATTTACCCCATGGGAAACAAGAAAGCTTCCTCAGAAAGGCTGACCTTTTTTTTTTTTTTTTTGAGACGGAGTCTCGCTCTGTTGCCCAGGCTGGAGTGCAGTGGCACAATCTCGGCTCACTGAAAGCTCCGCCTCCCGGGTTCACACCATTCTCCTGCCTCAGCCTCTCGAGTAGCTGGGACTACAGGTGCCAGCCAACATGCCCAGCTAATTTTTTGTATTTTTAGTAGAGACGGGGTTTCACCATGTTAGCCAGGATGGCCTGGATCTCCTGACCTCGTGATCCGCCTGCCTCGGCCTCCCAAAGTGCTGGGATTACAGGCGTGAGCCACCTCGCCCGGCAGAAAAGGCTGACTTTTCCCAATAAGCAGAGCAAAGCAAGATGGGAAATGTACCTTGCTAGACATGAAACCCCACCTCAAAGTCTTGGCCTAGAAGGAACCCTAATAAATCTGGCTGGCTTGAGCCAAGAAAACATTGAAGGAAGCCAGTGGCATCCAGAGTGGAATGACTTACCACATCCTATGTCTGGACTGAGCTGAGAGCTTTCCAACAAGACACTGGTTTCCCAGAATTTTTTTCCTTAACACAGTTTCCATTCCAAGAGCAAGCTAACTGGCTGCCTTTGCTCCCAACTTCTCTAGCAGCAACAGCCAGACCAGCCCTGATGTTTCCATTCCCTCAGTCGGAATATCATATCACTCAGGCTGTGGGGAAACCGTCAGGGACAGAATCTCACTGTCTTCTCTGGGGCTCTGCACGCTTACCTTGAACAGCCTTGGGAACACGTCGGCTGGCTGTCCCCGGACTACAAACAGGCGGGAGTTCAGTTTCCTTAAACTTGTGTCCAAATCTTCCAGAGACTGAAGTAGGAACCTGTGGAGTCCACACAGGCCTTGTTAGTGATAACATCATGAAGAGTGGCTCTCTTTCCTAACAAAGCAGGGAGAAACTGGTTCGCTGTTTATGCCCAACAGGCAGCCTCATGATCACTAGGGCTGGAGAGGCCTGGGTTCCAGCCCAGGAGGGATGTGGTAGTGGATCAGCGCTGCTCTGCTTCAAACCCTGGTCTTGCCACTTACTAGCTGTGTGACTTTAGGCAATAACCTAACCTCTTTGCCTGTTTTCTCGCCGGTAATGTGAAGCTGATGTTAGTACCCATCTCATAAAATTGCTAAGAAAAGAAAATCGAATAATGTGTGAAAAACATTTAGCACTGTGCCTGGCACACAGACATCATGAGATAAATGTGAGCTGTTCCTAGTGTGGTGTTTCTGTGTGATCAGAGGCTAGTCACTTACTCCCTCGCAGTCTCTGGGGCTAGATATAAGTATCTGCCCAGCATGAGGTTGTTGTGAGACTCACGTGGGAGCCATCTGAAAAGCCAGTGCAATACTGTGGTATGAAGCATTAAGGTCCTCTTAGCAGAGGACCAGACTGCCACAGCCGGGAAAATCCTCCTTACTCTGGTGGAAAAGACTCCTTGACTTTCTGCATGCATGCTCTGGGCCATGCGTATTTCTGCTGCCACAGCCTCACAGCCTGCAATGGGTCCCTAGTTCCCAGAGCTTTGTTTGGCAGGTGGCTCACTCTCCAGGCCTCTCCAGGGCTCTGGTGATCAGGTTCTCATCCCAAGAGGGAGAAGGCCTTAAAAGGTACTTCTCAATAGCTATCTTCACATTTTTGTGGGGGTGGGGGTGGGGAAGACCGCAGCTAGGCAAGAACTTCAGCAGGAGACCTGGATCACCAGGGGAAAGGGAAAGGACATTAACATTTGCTGAGTGCCTTCAGCGTTTTATTTTTAAATTAAATTAACATTATAACCAGATAAACTATTCATGTGGCTCAAAATTCCAGTGACAAAGTGGTACATAGTAGAAAGGGTTTTCCCCTCCCTCACTCCCCAGAGGCAACCAAGGTTATCAATGGGATTTTGGTTCTGTCATGCTTTTTAAGTGCATTTCTGCATTTAATTCTCTCAACTATTTTGAAGGAAATAGTACCATCCTTATTTTATAGATGAGGAAACTGAGACACTCAGAGGTGAATTAATTTGTCTAAGACCATAGCTGTTAAGTGACAAAGCTGGGGATTCAGGAACCTAGGGTGGTCACTCTGAAACCCACATTTTCCTCTCTGTGCCCTTTTTTATTTATTTATTTACTTTTTGAGACAGAGTCTCGCTCTGTCGCCCAGGCTGGAGTGCAGTGGCGTAATCTCGGCTCACTGCAACCTCCCCAACCCAGGTTCAAGCGATTCTCCTGCCTCAGCTTTCCGAGTAGCTGGGGTTATAGGTATGTGCACCACACCCAATTAATTTTTTAAACAATATTTTTAGTAGAGATGGGGTTTCACCATGTTGGCCAGGTTGGTCTTGAACTCCTGACCTCAAGTGATCCGCCCTCCTCAGCCATCCAAAGTGCTGGGATTACAGGCGTGAGCCACCGTGAGGGTTCTGTGCCCCATTTCTAAAGATTTCTAGTTGCACACCAACTCTGTTCCAGGGGCTGAGATTCTGCAGGCCCTCAGGAGTTTGGAATCCTGTTCTCTAATAGCAATGTGACTACAGGTAATCCACTGGCATTCTTATCTTCTTCTTCAAGAACCCACAGGTCAATCTGCATATGTCACAGATACCTCTGAGGCACCTGCTATCTACCCCTTGGGTCTCCACCCATCCCCAGCATTTTTCTCTGTCAACAATAGAAATGGCACATCACAGTCACATTCCCTGACTACTGGAGGCTTACAGAAGCAGTGACTATTCCCAGGCTGCCAACTAGAACCAGCCCCCACTGCTGCCTCTGACGTACACAACTTGACACACTCCTACGGCCAATGCCACCGACCCACATTCTAGCATGGGCTGAGCCCTGGCCTCGGCTCAAAGCATCATGTTTGCAAAAGAGCATGAGGAAGACTCTCTGAGAGGTTGGGATGGAAGACAAACAGGTTGAATGCTGCTTTATGCAAACCAAAAGCTCCACCTCTGTGAATTTCTGTTTTTGAAAAATTGTCACCTCCAGAAAAGGAACAGGGAGCTGCAAGTGCGTCACTTGTGTTGGCCTCCCCCAAGCCTCACCACTCTTCTGGAAGGAAAAGAAGAGAAATCCATGCAAATGGTCTCATGCCATCTGAAACCTGGACCCTGCCAGGTAGAATGCCTAGGGCTAGGAGCAGTGATTTAAATTTCATAACCCCAGGACACAGGGTCCTCCATCTGCAGCTCCCAGGAGTGTCCTTGCCATGCGCTTTGGGGGTCTTTTCCTTCACAGTCCACCAGGCTGCATAGGACTTTGATTTGAAGCTATAAATAAGGTTGGAATGCACATGAAATCTAGGTTCCAGAACATGTAGCAATCTGCCTTCTATAGAACTTTATTTTTAGACCTCATTTACTAAAAGGAGAGATTCCTCGTAGCATCTCTAAAGTACAGCTAATCCTATGAGAGCCCTTTTCTTCTTTCACAAAAGATGTTTATAGCAGGAAGCAGAGATGTGAGGCTGGTAGAAGGCCCAACTCTGAACCCAGCAACTAAATAAAAATAATGATAATAATGGCAATGATTAACATTTAATAAGCATTTACAATGACAGGCACTATTCTACTTGTTTCACATACATTACCTCATTTAATTCTCAAACAGCCCAATCAAGTAGGTAATATTATTATTCCCATTTTATAGATGAGGGAACTGAGGCATAGAGAGATTATGAAACTTGCCCAACATCATATACCTAGTAAGTGGCCAGAATTCAAACCTAGGCAATCTGTCAGGCTTGACATGTTCGTTTTTAGCCAGCCACTGCCTCTCAACAAACAGAGCACTGAGGCTGTGCTGCCCTGGGCTCAGCCATTAGGGAGCACCACAGGCCAACTCAAAGGCCAGCAACACCTCTGCTGCCAGATCTTTCCTCCTCTGAGTGTGGTCTGACAATCAGCAGCATTGGCTGTGAAACACCCAGGAGTCTGTTGAAATGCAGAATCTCAGGCTCTAACCCAGACCTCCAAAATTAGAATCTGTATTTTAGCAAGATCCCCTGGTGATTCATTTGCATATTAAAGTTTCACAAGCACTACTCTAGAAAACTGAACTTTACTTCTAGTCTCTGTTACAAGTTGCCTTTCTTTGCTTCTAGTTTGTTTGTACTAAACTTTCTCTCTTGAGCATCCATATTTCTGCCTCCCCTTTGGCCTGCTAGAAATGCTCTGCTTCTTCCAACTTCCCTCCCGAGTCAACCCGGGAAGGGAGGGCTCAGGACAGCCACCACACGGAGGCAATAGACAGGGATGTGAGGAGGGTCCCCAGTATCTCCAGACTCCAGGCAGCCAGAGAATGCAGAGAATGAGAAGCCACCACTAGGGTACTACCTTTGAGGCCTGCCAGGTGACAGCTGTCCCTCACATTTGGAGCAGTGCTGCGACTGGGCAAAGGCTCAGTGGGCAGGTATATGCATTCTTTCACCAGAGAGAACCTTGGGCCTTCTGTGGTCCCTTAGAACCCTCCTCTTTACTCCAATTTCTCTTTACTCCAATGAGGGGACTCTGAAGGAAACTGGCCTGGGCATTGGAGATGGTGGTGTTGGGGGCTGGCACTTCACCCTTGGCAGCTCTTAGCTGAGCTCACATGGCCAAAATTCAGAGCACATGGTCCTGGGAGAGCAAAGCTTACCCTTTGGATTAGACAACATGTGCAACTGAATTACATTATTATGTAAGTGCTCTGGAGCCAGAGGCAGGCAGAACTGGAGAAAACCAGACTGGGATTTCCAAAAATATAGAGAGGACACTATAACTCAGGGACTCTACAAGGCTAGCCTTTTAGAATAAAACAAGCAGATCCTTTGATTAAGTACTCATATTTAGGGAAGGCCTTCTCTAGGAATGGCTGATCCTGTGTTGAGGAATATTTTATTTATTTGTTGTTAATGGGGGGAGGGAGGATAACAGTGAATTCTTTTGGGTCCAGGCTGTCCTTGACCAAGTTCCTCTGCTTCAAGGCAAGGTTATCTAACAACGATGATGATACCACTGGCTGGCACAGATTGGCTACATAGGATATTAATAGAAATTAATTTTTCCTAAGTAATTAAGAGAGCTTAAGCCCCATGGAAAAGGATAACCTAAACTCACAATCTCTGGCAGGGATTTATTTCTAAGTATCTGAGTGATATTTAGAAATACTTAAATATTAAATTCTTATTATTTTAAAAATATATTTATTCTTTCCTAATTTCAAAGAGAAAGATGAAGGTTTTTATCCCCTTTGGGCAAACAGAAACATTTCCTTGGCAGCAGAACAGTAAAGTGCCTCTCTCAGGTACCAATGTGAATAGCTCAGAGAAGCTCCTGTTTCCCTGCCAGTAGACTAGCGTTCTCAATCCACTTCCCAACAGTCCAACAGTGTTCAGCTCTCAGCATCTGGGAAGAGAGACACACTTGTTCTCATGGGGCATCCTGGGAAGTTCCCAGTTTACCTCATTTACCAATTCTAAGAGAAATGGGCTGAGAGGGAACATATTTTATTTCTACAAATTCCCTCTGTCCCAGAAGCTCCTGAAAGAGGCGCAGCACAGAGCCAGGGACAAAATGATTTAAATAAAGTGGAAGAGGAACTGTTGCTAACACCTATCCAAGTTGCAGTGGGGAGAGAAAGGTAATGAAAAACCACAGAGGTCATTTTAAAATCTAGGAACTGCTCACATCTTCCTTTAGTTTATCTTCTTGCTGCAGTACCTCCTTCTAGATGTAGCAAATCTGGGGAAGGTGAGGCTGGGGAAAATGTGAAAGGGCTTAGCCAAGTAGCACTTGGAAAAAAAAAAAAAAAGTCCTGAGGCTCATATAGCTACAATTAGCCCGTAAACTTCCCACCATCACCAGGGCAAGAAGTATGCTAGGCTTCTTCTTGCTAATCAATATGTGTATTTCTTGGTTGCATTTCTCTGTCCGTTTTTACTCTTAGTGCCATTCATAGTTATTTTAATCTGATTTCCTCTGCAGAAAAACATTGTGTGGGAGTCAGTGTAGAAGGAGCAGGAGGGAAACAGAGTCACAGATTTTGGGTCCTCCCCTCCTTGCAGATGGTCCCTTGCCCTTCCCAGGGAGGCTTCTCAGAGACAACTTAAGCAGTTGCAGAGCTAGGACATTATGCTGCAGCACAATTCTCTTAGACCACTCTTGGAATCCAGAAACAACCACGGGACGATTACACATACTACAGTCATGTCAAGATATGGCTGGCTCCAGCCCTCCCCTCTATCCCCAACTTTGTGCACAAAAGAGAATGCAGCTCTGCCTTCAACTGATCCAGGAAGCAAGCAGAATGGTGGAGGTGGTAGGAGTGTGTCTGTTTCCAGGCCCAGGAGCAGTTATTATATTCAATCTGTTTGTGTTACTTCATCTCTTTCTTCTGAATGCCAACATTAATTAGACTTCCTGCCAATGCACTGCAACATACTTCCTAGGTTGCCCGTCTCAGGACTGAGGTTCTCTAGTCCAGTGCTTCTTAAGCTTTGCTGCAATAAGAGCTTTAAAAACCTTAATGCCCAAGGCCGGGCACAGTGGCTCATACTTGCAATCACAGCACTTCGGGAGGTTGACGCAGGTGATTGCTTAAGCCCATGAGTTCAAGACCAGCCTGGAGAACATGGTGAAACCCCATCTCTACAAAAAATACAAAAATTAGCCAGGCATGGTGGTGCATGCCTGCAGTCCCAGCTACTTGGGAGGCTAAGGCAGGAGGATCGCTGAGCCCAGGAGGTCAAGGCTGCAGTGAGCTATGATCATGCCACTGCATTTCAGCTTGGGTTGTCACTTGAGCAGGACCCCGTCTCAAAAAAAAAAAAAAACAAAAAACAAAACAAAACAAAAAATCCCCAAACCTTAATGCCCAGGCCATAACCCAGAACAATTCTAACAGAACTGGGAGAAAGGGGCTGGGCACAGTGGCTCATGCCCTGTAATCCCAGCAGTTTGGGAGACCAAGGTGGGCAGATCACCTGAGGTCAGGAGTTTGAGACCAGCCTAGCCAACATGGTGAAACCCTGTCTCTACTAAAAATACAAAATAATTAGCCAGGTGTGGCGATGGCCACCTGTAATCCTGGCTACTTGGGAGACTGAGGCAGGAGAATTGCTTGAACCCGGGAGGTGGAGGTTGCAGTGAGTCCAGACTGCGCCATTGTACTCTAGCCTGGGCAACAAGAACAAAACTCCGTCTCAAAAAAAAAAAAAAATAGAATTGGGGGAAAGGGGCCCAGGTATCTTTTAAAGACCCTTATGGGATTCCAATGCACAGCAGCCAAGATTGAGAACCACTGCTCTAGTCTGTCCCCTTATCTTATGTTTCTCATGGCACTTCGTTTCACTAAATTATGGTTGTTTGTTGGTAAAATGTAGGCTCCAGGAGTTCTGGAGCACAGACACATCTGCTTATTCACTGCTGTATCCCTAGCAACATCTAGAGCAGTACCTGGCAGATATTAGGCACTTATTAAGTGATCAATTAATATCTGCATTCTTACACAGCCTCTGACTTCAGGATTTGACTCAGGCATCTGAGCCACATTCCTTTTCTTCTTCACTAGATTGATAGCACGATCACAAAATGATGACCCACAAAAATCCATAAACACCTGGTTCCTAGCAAACTGGAGTTTAATCAACAGGAATTTTATTGTTGATTTTTAATCTTCCCTATCAAAAAAGAGTAGGCAGTACTATGCAATGTCCCCCAAAACCCAATAAAAGAAGAAACTCTGTGACAATGTAACAAGAAGGTAGTCGGATTCCATTTGCCTGGCTCCGACTGGTGCAGGGCAAAGTCTGAGGCTTGGCTTAATGTGCACACTAGGGATGGTCATTTGATGATGCTTGTCAAACCCAACCTCCTATCTGTAGAAAACTGGAGCAGAGACAGAGCAATAAGGCAGCCTGAAAACTGTGGGCAGGCTCTCCACAGGACTCCTTAGTTGTTCCTTCTGGGCAGGAGGGGACACTGAACAGGCCCACTGCTAGCAGCACTCACTCTCTTAGCAGGGCACACACCTTGGAGAGAAAAGAATGGTGTGCCGAGAGCCACGGTATCCTGGAAATAACCCTGTCCATCGATGCAACAAGGCCACAAGCAAACATTCCCCAGAACAATGCAAACAAACCGAGCGACTGCCACTAGGTGTTCTGAAGAGCGATGGGTACATTATGTCTCAAAACTCTTTAGTTTGAATACTGTTTACAGTGAAAATACACTAACGACCTGTTCATCTTTTTCCATGATCATGTCGACTCCATCTCCTGGGGGGTCATCAGAGGGGCCCTTGATATCATGGCTTTCCTGCTCCCTAACCTTACCACAACAGTTCATAAAAGTCTCATCTCTAATGGCTCTACTGTCCTCTAAAATCATGACAAGAGGATGACGGGGTGACACTTTGGATTCTTTTAAATTTTTCTATCGAGGTCAAAGCTCCAGAGCAGGGCTTAAAACATTTTGGAGAATCC
Source organism: Homo sapiens (assembly GCF_000001405.40). NCBI lineage: Eukaryota > Metazoa > Chordata > Mammalia > Primates > Hominidae > Homo > Homo sapiens. The sequence continues at coordinate 45,848,358 of NC_000011.10, read as the reverse complement.
CCTGGATTCTCTGGAGCTTTGAACATAAAGCGACTCCACCTGAAGACGCCTTTGGCTTCTTTATTTATAATATAGGGGAGAAGACCTTATTTAATGCTAAGCCAGGGTCACTTGACACCCCTAGAGGCAGGACGGTCTGGGTGCAGGGTAGCCAGGATGGGTGGTAGGGCGGATTCAAACGAGCCAGAGGCTTCGGAGTGATCTCCCCGAGCCCAGCAACGGGCTCTTGAAGAATGCGAGCAAAAACCCGTCCCGCCCTCACACTACGTTATCTCCCTTCCGCCCCTCCCTGAGTAGACCGTAAGAGCCCTAGACCAGGAGCCCCTGTTCTGCCACTCACTGGCTACAAGTCCTTGGGCAGGTCGACTTTGGGTCTCCAGGGCTCAAGGGTCTCATCTGTACAACGGGGATCATGATCTCCGTTCCACAGGCAGTTGTGAGGCTCAAAGGGGTAACAGTGCGAACGCGCTTTGTCAGAGGCTGAACCCTGGCCCACCGGCGCGTTAGGACCATGACGAATTACTTCCCCGGTCTCGGCTTCTCCCCTCTGGCCTTCCAGCCGTGGCGGGGTTGGGGGGATCGTGCTGTTCGCCGGTCACCCCAGGGTCAGGGTCCTGGCTGCGTCCCCGCCACCCAGCCCCGGGTCCCCTCACCTCCATCGGTTGATCCCGACTGAGGAGGAGGCCGCGAACCACGGGTCGAGAATGTAAACGCAGCGCACGCAGCGCGCCCCGCGCACGGCCGCCAGCAACGCCGGGTTGTCGTGGAGTCGCAGCCCTTTGCGGAACCAGTGCACCGAAGAGGCGCTGTCCGTGCCGGGCGCTGGCGCCGGGGCCACAGCTGCCGCCGTCGCCACAGTCGCCGCCATGACTGTCCAGACTGCTCCAGCCACCCCCGCTCCGCCCCGGTAGGCGACGTGGACCCCGCCCATAGCCCGCCCAGTGACCTATGACGCCGCAACTCCACCCTTAGTCCCCGCCCACAGGGCCCCAGAGCCCCTCTGCCATTGGCTGAGTGCCTTCCACCTGGCGATTGGCCCAGAGGCGCCGGAACAGGCCCGCCCCCTCACGTTCCTACCATGTGTGGGTCCGCCCGGGTGGAGCTGGCATGCGGACAAGTGACGCAGGCTGGGGCTGTCCGCAGGCTGGGGCTGTCCGCGGAGTGCCGGGAGTAGGCCAAGTCTCAAGGGACAGCGGATCTCTTACCCACGTCCTGTTCAGGGCCTGCTTCTAGAAGAAGCTGCCTGGGCTGGTAGGGGTTGCTGTGACTACAGCCAGTGACTTGCAAGACTGACAGCTGACCTTCCTATTATCACCAACATCGTCACCATCACCATCTACATCATTCTACTACAGCTGCCATTTATTAAGTGCACTTTATATGGCAAGAGACATGATCATCTCCTTACGTAGACGGTCTCATTTACTATTCTCAACTCAGCCCAGTTACATTCATTTAGCGAACCCCAGTGAAAAAGCTGCTGTTGTTTTCGTTTCACAGATGAAGAAAACGGAGGGTGCCGCAGGTTGAGTGACTTATTCAATATCATAAAGCTGCTAAGAGGATTTCACCCAGATTATTCTGATTTCGAAATTTCTGCTTTTATCCACGAAGCTATACTTCTCTTTGTGCGAAGATCCTTGGTAATTCCAAGTGGCAGAGTCTAAGGACGGGGAAGGAGTGCCCTAATATGCAGCAGTAGAGGATTTGGGAGTAAGGACTGGGAATGTGGGGGACTTGAATTGAGATAGTAATTATGCCATCAGATGAATTTATTTTCTTTTAGTCTGTTTAGTAGATCCAGTGTGTGCAAAGCACTGTACTGGATTCCGGGTAGGGTTCAGAGATGTGGAGGACACTGTCCCCATTCTTCTGGGACGCCAGGTGGAACCCTCTTGGGCTAAGACGGCTTAGTCAAGCTGCAGCTTTGGGGTTATCAGGTGGAAAACAGTCTGTTTCAACTTGACCCTAGGTTGAGCCCATGCTTGGAACCCTTCCTGGACCTGGGACAGAGTGATGAAAGCATTTAGTAATTTAGTCTGCAATTTAGTGGCATTAATTGGCACCACTCTCTAAACCAGTGTCACTGCAATCCTAGGCATTCTCTGTCATTTCCAGGGCTTTTCACGAGCTGTTCCAGCAGTCTAGATCACACTCCCTCTTCCATCTTTGTTTCTAACTCCAGTTTGCTCTGTATCATTGTTCAGTATAGATGTCACCTTCTTGCTGTCTGATCCCAACCTGAATAGTGCCCCATCTTATTCTGTGCTTCTTTTTGGTCACTTGTCTTGGCACACAATACTGAAATTTCTTGCTTAAAAGTCTTTCTGCCCCATTAGAGTATAAACTCCTGGAGAGCAGGGGCTGTGGCTTATTTACATACAGTTGTATGTCTGAAGTCTAGCTCAGGGCTTGGCACCTAACGCTCAAGGATTATTTGAGTAAAAATTGAACTAGAGTCTCATATTGGCAGGCTCTTAAAGGTTTATCCTAGTCCGCTTACCTGACCCTTTCCTTATTTTTGAATTTCCTTTCCAAATTCTTGCTGAATAAATCGATGCAATCTTTCATTACTTTTATTTTAAGGTTTTGTGTTCCCCCTCTCCTATGCCCTCTTCTCTCCACAAGGTTGGTGCTTTGCTAGGAATGAAACAGAGTGTAAGGAGGTGGTTCTCCCTTAACCTCAGAGATGGGTCCTCTTCCCTTTTTCTCCTCTAAATTCCCATAATGCTATATCTGTATTCCGTGAACCCTGTGAGGCAGGGACTGTGCTTGTCTTACTTTTCAGTGTCTTCTCAGCTGGTACTCTGGTACCTAACATATAGTAGGTGCTCAAAAAACATTTGTTGAATGATCAAAAGTCACTTCCCTCCCCTCCCCTCGCTCTCTTATTAAGCTATCATGAGAGGCAGTGTGATGTAATGGTTAAACCTGAGGCTTTGCACATTGGAGTTGCTGAGTTCAAATTCTAGTTCTGCTTTTATTCTCTGTGACCTTGGATAAGCTAGTTAACCTCTCTGTTCCTCACTTTCTTAATCTTTGCAATAGGGTGATAATAGCACTTAGGATATAGTAAGCATTTGTACTGTGTCAGCTACTGTTATTCTGAACAGCAGGACCTGTGTCTGGTTTTGTCTTCCTTGTAATGCTCAGCCCTGGGTCTTACATGTAATGTGGGCTCCATAAGTTGCTGACTACATAAAATATTTTACTTATTTTTTTAAAGTCCTTGAAATTTTGCCAATAATGAAAAAACAAGTAATCAACCTCAGTTCCCAAAACCTAACAAATCAATTATTTCTTATCTTCATGTTGCCTTCTAGACTTTGTCCACAAACATTTAAGTTTTAAAACTTTAATCAAAGCAGAGGTTCAGTGCTCCCTGGGTTGTGTTTTTTTTTTTTTTTTTGTTTGTTTTTTTTTTTTTAATTTGAGATGGAGTCTTGCTCTGTCACCCAGGCTGGAGTGCAGTGGCGTGATCTCAGCTCACTGCAACCTCTGCCTCCTGGGCTCAAGCAATTCTCGTGCATCAGCCTCCCAAGTAGCTGGGAGTATAGGTGGCAGCCACCACGCTGGGCTAATTTTTGTATTTTTAGTAGAGTCAGGGTTTCACCATATTGATCAGGCTGGTCTTGAACTCCTGACCTCAGGCAATCCACCTGCCTTGGCCTCTCAAAGTGCTGGGATTACAGGTGTGAGCCACCGACCGTGTCCAGCCTGTTCTTTTTTTTTTTTTTTTTTTTTTTGAGACAGGGTCTTGTTCTGTCACCCAAGCTGGAGTGCAGTGCTGTGACCCTAGTTCAATACATTTTCAAACTCCTGGGCTCAAGGGATCCTCCTGCCTCAGCCTCCTGAGTAGCTAGGACTACAGGCACACACTACCATGCCCAGCTAATTTAAAAAACATTTTTTTCTTGGTAAAAACAGGGGTCTTGCTATGTTGCCCAGGCTGGTCTTGAAGCAATCAACTCCTAGCCTCAATCGATCCTCCCTCTTTGGGCTCCCAAAGTGCTGGGATTATAGGCATGAGCCATTGCACCCGGCCCAGCTTTTTTAAAACTTAAAATATTAAGCATGTTGTATATTGCTGCATCATTACTTTTGTGTTTTTTTGTGGTTTGTGTTGTCAAGTTGATAAAGATGAACTATTAATACTTCATTGAATAATTGCATATTGCTTCAGTATATTAACAGTGTAACATTCAAGAATCGGGAAGTAGGGTGGGTGCGGTGGCTCACGCCTGTAATCCCAGCACTTTGGGAGGCCGAGGCAGGAGGATCATTTGAGGTCAGGAATTGATTGGCCAACATGGTGAAGCCCCGTCTCTACTAAAAATACAAAAAGTAGCCAGGTGTGGTGGCGCGTGCCTGTAATCCCAGCTACTCAGGAGGCTGAGGCAGCAGAATTACTTGAACCCGGGAGGTGGAGATTACAGTGAACCAAGATCACGCCACCAGACTTCAGTCTGAGTGACGAAGTGAGACTTCGGAAAAAAAAAAAAAAGAATCGGGAAGTAAATCTGACACTAGATAGAATACTAGAGTGCAAAGTCCACTTTGGGTTTTTACACTTTAAAAGGGACACAGAGAAATTGGACAGAGACCAAAGAAACCTGTACATTGCTAAGGAAGTGAAATGTAATGGGGTACTATTGTCTCTTCGAGAGAAATAAAAGCTAATTTTTGATCTCATAATAATGCACTCTAGTGTACACCTTGTAAAAAGTACCTCCAAAGAGTGGTTGTCATGAGGATGCCAAACAACCTAGTTTACACTAGGAAGAGTGAAAGATTGGAGAGACTTAGGATAAGGTGCTTTAAGGATGAGATGAATTAGCCAGGAACTGAGTGGCGTCTTTCTCCCCCGAAGATACTTACGCAGATAGATCAGTCCTGTTTTGTCTCTTTTTGTTAATGTCCTGCATGGAGACTGGATTAGACAACTTTCTACTTTGGCTTTGAACTGCGCTTTGGGTAAATATTTGATGATTGGCTGAAGGTAACCAGGCGCGGCGGGAGGGAAGTCCCCGGCCAGTTTAAGTTATCCGCGCCCTCTAGTGGTAGGACTGGGACAGCGGCGGTTCGGTTTGCGGCTGGGCGGGGAACACCAGGACCAATCCAGGGTGCAGAGGTGGCATGCCTGTTCCCAAGGCTTCACGCAAAAGCCTATTTTGATGTAGTGACGTAAAATGTTTGTTCTTGGAACTGTTAAGCTTGAGAAGCAGTAAAGCTTATTGAGAGCACAGACCGTAAAACTAAACTCCCTGGGTTCCATTTCCAGATCTGACATTAACTAGCAAATTACTTAATTGGGCGAGCTAATTAACCTCTCTGTGCCTTAGTTTCCTCATTTGTAAAATGGGGATGATGATACTTATAATAAAAGTACAATATGAAATTAGGGAAAGGTCAATAGACTAATAAGTCAGAATTGAGAATCCAGAAACAGGTCCACATGAATCTGGACATTTTATTCACGACAAAGATGTCTCCGTAAAGAAGTGGGGAAAGTAATGGGTCAATCAGGTATTCCATTGTAAAAAAGTGAAACTTGACTCCATCTCACAACATACAAATCAATTCCAGATAGATTATATGCTTAATGTGAGGGGTAAAACGATAAAGCTTTAAGAAGATTGTATTGGAGAATATCTTCGCAACCTTGGGGGAAGACAAACATTTCTTGAAAAAGACATGAAAAGCACTAACCATTAAAGAAAATGTTGATGAGTTGGACTGTGTTAAAATTAGGAACTGTTAATCAAAAAACATTATTCGGAGAGTGAAAAGGCAAACCATAGAATGAGAAAAGATACTTACATAATATTTATAATTCTTAAAGAGCTCAAATCCAGAATATGTCAACAGCCCTTAGAAATCATAATAATAAAAAAAGATAGGCAATCCAATTTGAAACTAGGCCAGAGACTTGAATAGGCACTTTCTGTAGAGTCCTAATTAGGCAAAAGGAGTCAGACTGGTGGGATTGAAGGAAAGCAAAAAGAAAAAGCAGATAAACTGTAAGTCTACCTTTCTTTGTGGCCCAGGACACATAGCCCTCCTGTGCAAATAACTCACAATCTTCCTGTGCCCAGCTATCACCAGTCCCTTGGCTGATAGCTGACTGCAACCTTGGCATTATCAGCACTGCACAAAGCCCTCTTCAGTACACAGCACAAGCACCATCCTATAAAATCCCCAGCAAGCCTTTGTCTCTTTGTAGTCAGCTCCTCTCTTGCTGACCTGCCCATTGTACCCTTGCAATGTCTTTTCATACTTTCTCTAATAAATCTGCCTTTCTTTACCTACAACTGTCCTCGTAAATTCTTTTTACTGCCTGCACAACACTGGCCCCAGATAGTGGCTACCTGCGACACTTTCCACACACCCCCGCCCCAAAGGATGGATATTTAAGTGGGCAATGAACACATGAAAAGGTACTCACCTTCATTAGCTCATTAGGGAGCTACAAATTAAAACCACAATGAGGTACCACTATAGGCCCGCAAGAATGAATAAAGTTAAAAGGATTGATAAAACCAAGTGTTTGGGAGGATGTGAGCAATTAAAATACACTGCTGTTGGGAGTGTAAATTGATACAACCACTTTAAAAAAGTGTCTGTTATATATTAAATTCGAAAAGCCAAATACCTTACAAATCATGAACGATATATTCTATGACCCAGCAGTTTCACTCCTAGCATATACTTAACAGAAATCCGTGCACATGTGCACCAAAAGACATGTGCAAGAATGTTCATAGCAGTATTATTAGTAATAATAATAAATCAGGGATAACTCAAATGTCCATTAGACAAAGAATAGCTAAAAAATTGTGCTGTATTCAAACTTAGGAATACCATACAAAAAACCTACAGTTACAGGCAGCAGTAACATGGGTGATTCTCACAAACTTAATATCAACTGAAAGAAGTCAGAAACCAAAGAAAATATTTATATAAGTGATATGTTTGGCTCTGTGTCCCCACTCAAATCTCATGTTGAATTATTATCTTCAGTATTGGAGGGACCTGATGGGAGGTGATTGGATCATTGGATCATGGGGGCGGATTTCCCCCTTGCGGTTCTGGTGATAGTGAGTTCTCACAAGATCTGGGGTTTTTTTTTTTTTTTTAATTTTTACGGAGACGGAGTCTGGCTTTGCTGCCCATGCTGGAGTGCAGTGGTGCAATCTCGGCTCACTGCAAGCTCCGCCTCCCGGGTTCACGCACGCCATCCTCCTGCCTCGGGACTACAGGTGTCCACCACCACGACCGGCTAATTTTTTGTATTTTTGGTAGAAACGGGGTTTCACCGTGTTAACCAGGATGGTCTCGATCTTCTGACCTCGTGATCCACCCGCCTCAGCCTCCCAAAGTGCTGGGATTACAGGCGTGAGCCGCCGCGCCCGGCCCAAGATCTGGTTGTTTAAAAGTGTGTAGCACTTCCTCCTTCGTTCTCTCTCTCTCCTGCACCCATGTGAAAATGTGCTTGCTTCCCATTCGCCTTTCCGCCATGACTATAAGTCTCCTGAGGCTTCCCCAGCCCTGCCTCCTGCACAGCGTGTGGAACTGTGAGTCAATTAAACCTCTTTTCTTTATAAATTACCCACTCCCAGGCAGTTCTTTACAGTGGTGTGAGGACAGAAAAACACAATATGTATATATCCACTACATAAAGTTCGCAATCCGACAAAACTAATGTGTGAATAGCCAAAGAAGTAGAAACAACCCAAATGACTATCTTCTGATGAATGAGTAAATAAAATGTCTCTGTATGCAATGGAATATCATTTGGCAATAAAAAGGGAGTGTTGGCCGAGCGCAGTGGCTCACGCTTGTAATCCCAGCACTTTGGGAGGCCGAGGTGGGCAGATCGCCAGGTCAGAATTTCGAGACCAGCCTGGCCAACATGGCGAAACCCCATCTCTACAAAAAATACAAAACTTAGCCGGGCATGGTGGCGGGCGCCTGTAATCCCAGCTATTCGGGAGGCTGAGTCAGGAGAATCGCTTGAACCCAGGAGGTGGAGGTTGCAGTGAGCTGAGATTGTGCCATTGTACTCCAGCCTGGGCGACAAAAGCAAGACCCTATCTCAAAAAAAAAAAAAAAAAAAAAAAAAGGGGTGTTGTGTTGATACACATACCAACATTGATGAACCTTGAAAACATTATGTTAAGTGATAGAAGCCAGTTACAAAATACCACATATTGTATTATAGAATTCCATTTATATGAAATGTCCAGAATAGGCAAATCCATAGAGACAGAAATTGGTTTTCTAGGGCTAGGAGGGCTGGGGGTGAGGAAAATGAGGAGTAAACACTAATGGGATGATGAAAATGTTCTAAAACTGATTGTGATGATGGTTGTACAACTCTGTGAATATACTAAAAACCATTGAAGTGTGCTTACTTTTAATAGGTGAATTGTATGTTATGTGAATTATTTTAACAAAGATATTATTAAAAAACTTACAGACTGTTATTAATATAAATAAAAAATAAAATAAGCCTCAGAACCAGAACGGGACTTTTATTATTATTTTTTTAAGACAAGGTCTCAGGCCAGGCACAGTGGCTCACGCCTGTAATCCCAGCGCTTTGGGAGGCTGAGGCGGGTGGATCACCTGAGGTCAGGAGTTCGAGACCAGCCTGGCCAAAATGGTGAAACCCCGTCTCTACAAAAAAACAAAAATTAGCCAGGCATGATGGCTCATGCCTGTAGTTCTAGCTACTCAGGAGGCTGAGGCATGAGAATCACTTGCACCCAAGAGGCAGAGGTTGCAGTAAGCCAAGATCACACCACTGCACTTCAGCCTGGGCAACAAAGTGAGGCTTGGTCTCAAAAACAAACAAATAAACAAGAAAAGGCAAGGTCTTGCTCTGTCGCCCAGGCTGGAGTATACATGTCATGGCTCACCACAGCCTCAACCTCCCACGCTCAAGCCATCCACCCACCTCAGCCTCGCAAGTAGCTAGGCCTGCAGGCACGTGCCGCCACACCCTGCTAGTGTTTGTATTTTTTCATAGAGATGGGGTTTCTCCATATTGTCCAGGCTGTTCTCAAACTCCAGAGCTCAAGTGAAACACCCACTTCGGCCTCCCAAAGTGCTAGGATTACAGGCATGAGCCACCATGCTCAGCCAGGACTTTTAAAAGACAAGTATTCCACTCAGAAATTCTATTTTTTTTTTATTATACTTAAAGTTCTGGGGTACATGTGCAGAACGTGCAGGTTTGTTACATAGGTATACACGTGCCATGGTGGTTTGCCGCACCCATCAACTTGTCATCTACATTAGGTATTTCTCCTAATGGTACCCCTCCCCTAGCCCCCACCCCCTGATAGGCCCCAGTTGTGATGTTCCCCTCCCCGTGTCCACGTGTTCTCATTGTTCAACTCCCACTTATGAGTGAGAACATGTGGTGTTTGGTTTTCTGTTCTTGTGTTAGTTTGCTGAGAATGATGGTTTCCAGCTTCATCCATGTCCCTGCAAAGGACATGAACTCATCCTTTTTTATGGCTGCATTGTATTCCTGGTGTATATGTGCCACATTTTCTTTATCCAGTCTATCTTTGATGGGCGTTTGGGATGGTTCCAAGTCTTTGCTATTGTGAACAATGCCGCAATAAACATATTCGTGCATGTGTCGTTAGAGTAGAATGATTTATAATCCTTTGGGTATATACCCAGTAATGCGATTGCTGGGTCAAATGATATTTCTAGTTCTAGATCCTTGAGGAATCACTGCATTGTCTTCCACAGTGGATGAACTAATTTACACTCCCAACAACAGTGTAAAAGCATTCCTATTTCTCCACATCCTCTCCAGCATCTGTTGCTTCCTTTTTAAGGATCACCATTCTAACTGGCGTGAGATGGTATCTCAATGTGGTTTTGATTTCCATTTCTCTAATGACCAGTGATGATGAGCTTTTTTTTCATATGTTTGTTGGCTGCATAAATGTCTTTTTTTTGAGAAGTGTCTGTTCATATCCTTTACCCAATTTTTGATGGGGTTGTTTATTTTTTTTTTGGAAATTTGTTTAAGTTCTTTGTAGATTCTGGATATTAGTTCTTTGTCAGATAGATAGATTGCAAAAATTTTCTCCCATACTGTAGGTTGCCTGTTCACTCTGATGATAATTTATCTTGCTGTGCAGAAGTTCTTTAGTTTAATTAGATCCCATTTGTCTATTTTGGCTTTTGTTGCCATTGCTTTTGGTGTTTTGGTCATGAAGTCTTTGTCCATGCCTATGTCCTGAATGGTATTGCCTAGATTTTCTTCTAGGGTTTTTTATAGTTTTAGGTCTTACATTTAAGTCTTTAATCCATCTTGAGTTAATTTTTGTATAAGGTATAAGGAAGGGATCCAGTTTCAGCTTTCTGCGTATGGCTAGCCAGTTTTCCCAACACCATTTATTAAATAGGGAATTCTTTCCCCATTGCTTGTTTTTGTCAGGTTTGTCAAAGATCAGATGGTTATAGATGTGTGGTGTTATTTCTGAGGCCTCTGTTCTGTTCAGTGGGTCCATGTATCTGTTTTGGTACCAGTATCATGCTGTTTTTGTTACTGTAGCCTTGTTGTATAGTTTGAAGTCAGGTAGCGTGATGCCTCCAGCTTTGTTCTTTTTGTTTAGGATTGTCTTGGCTATGCAGGCTCTTTTTTGGTTCCATGTGAAATTTAAAGTAGTTTTTTCCAATTCTATGAAGAAAGTCGATGGTAGCTTGATGGGGATAGCATTGAATCTATAAATTACTTTGGGCAGTATGGCCATTTTCATAATATTGATTCTTCCTATCCATGAGCATGGAATGTTTTTCCATTTGTTTGTGTCCTCTCTTATTTCCTTGAGCAGTGGTTTGTAGTTCTCCTTGAAGAGGTCCTTCACATCCCTTGTAAGTTGTAATCCTAGGTATTTTATTCTCTTTGTAGCAATTGTGAATGGGAGTTCACTCATGATTTGGCTCTCTGTTTGTTATTGGTGTATAGGAATGCTTGTGATTTTTGCACATTGATTTTGTATCCTGAGACTTTGCTGAAGTTGCTTATCAGCTTCAGGAGATTTTGGGCTGAGATGATGGGGTTTTCTAAATATACAATCATGTCATCTGCAAACAGAGACAATTTTACTTCCTCTTTTCCTAATTGAATACCTTTTATTTCTTTCTCTTGCCTGATTGCCCTGGCCAGAACTTCCAATACTATGTTGAATAGGAGTGATGAGAGAGGGCATGCTTGCCTTGTGCCAGTTTTCAAAGGGAATGCTTCCAGTTTTTGCCCATTCAGTATGATGTTGGCTGTGGGTTTTTCATAAACAGCGGTTATTATTTTGAGATACATTCCATCAATACCTAGTTTATTGAGAGTTTTTAGCATGAAGGGCTGTTGAATTTTGTCAAAGGCCTTTTCTGCATCTATTGAGATAATCATGTGGTTTTTGTCATTGGTTCTGTTTATGATGGATTATCTTTATTGATTAGCGTATGTTGAACCAGCCTTGCAACCCAGGGTTGAAGCTGACTTGATCATAGTTGATAAGCTTTTTGATGTGCTGCTGGATTCGGTTTGCCAGTATTTTATTGAGGATAAATGTTCGCATCGATGTTCATCAGGGATATTGGCCTGAAATTTTCTTTTTTTTGTTATGTCTCTGCCAGGTTTTGGTATCAGGATGATGCTGGCCTCATAAAATGTCTTAGGGAGGATTCCCTCTTTTTCTATTGTTTGGAATAGTTTCAGAAGGAATGGTACCAGCTCCTCTTTGTACCTCTGGTAGAATTTGGCTATAAATCCATCTGGTCCTGGACTTTTTTTTTGTTGGTAGGCTATTAATTACTGCCTCAATTTCAGAACTTGTCATTGGTCTATTCAGGGATTCGACTTCTTTCTGGTTTAGTCTTGGGAGGGTGTATGTGTCCAGGAATTTATCCATTTCTTCTAGATTTTCTAGTTTATTTGCATAGAGGTGTTTATAGTATTCTTTAATGGTAGTTTGTATTTCTGTGGGATCAGTGGTGATATCCCCTTTATCATTTTTTACTGAGTCTACTTGATTCTTCTCTCTTTTCTTCTTTATTAGTCTGGCTAGTGGTCTATTTTGTTGATCTTTTCAAAAAACCAGCTCCTGGATTCATTGATTTTTTGAAGGATTTTTTGGGTCTCTATTTCCTTCAGTTCTTCCCTGATCTTAGTTATTTCTTGTCTTCTGATAGCTTTTGAATTTGTTTGCTCTTGCTTCTCTAGTTCTTTTAATTGTGATGTTAGGGTGTCGATTTTATATCTTTCCTGCTTTCTTTTGTGTGCAATGAATTTCCCTCTACACACTGCTTTAAATGTGTCCCAGAGATTCTGGTACGTTGTGGCTTTGCTTTCATTGGTTTCAAAGAACATCTTTGTTTCTTCCTTAATTTCGTTATTTACTCAGTAGTCATTTGGGAGCCAGTTGTTCAGTTTCCATGTAGTTGTATGGTTTTGTCCACTCAGAAATTCTAAAGTCTAAATACATCATTTACATCAACTTTGAATGAAGTTTTTCACTGATGTTATGGGGTCTTTTATTTACCTGAATTATGTACCTTGGTTTAGTGTGTACAATGTTTTAAATAAATTTACCTGGCCAGGCGGGGTGGCTCACGCCTGTAATCTTAGCACTTTGGGAGGCAGAGGCGGGTGGATCACCTGAGGTCAGCAGTTCGAGACCAGCCTGACCAACGTGGCGAAACCCCGTCTCTACTAAAAATACAAAAATTAGCTGGGCATGGTGGTGCACATCTGTAATCCCAGCTACTCAGGAGGCTGTGGCAGGAGAATCACTTGAAACTGCCAGGGGTGGAGGTTGCAGTGAGCAGAGTCGTGCCACTTCACTCCAGCCTGAGTGAAAGAGCAAAGCTCCGTTTCAAAAAAAAAAAAAAAATTTAGTCTATTGGTGTCCATATTTAAAATATTCTGAGCTCATAAATTAAAAACAACAACAACAACAACAATCAATAAAAACTAATCTATGGTATTATACATCAGACATCAGGATAGTGGTTACCATTGAATAGGAAGGATGGGATAGTGTGGGGGCTCCTAGGGGAGATTTTAGGGTGTTGATAATGTTCTGCATGATGTGTTCATCTTATGGTAACCCATTGAGCTGTATTTTTTTTTTTTTTTTTTTGAGACGGAGTCTTGCTCTGTCGCCCAGGCTGGAATGCAATGGCGCAATCTCGGCTCACCACAACCTCCACCTCCCGGGTTCAAACCATTCTCCTGCCTCAGCCTCCCGAGTAGCTGGGATTACAGGCGCCTGCCACCACGCCTGGCTAATTTGTTTTTTTTTGTATTTTTAGTAGAGACGGGGTTTCACTATTTTGGCCAGGCTGGTCTCAAACTCCTGACCTTGTGATCCACTCGCCTCGGCCTCCCAAAGTGCTGGGATTACAGATGTGAGCCACTGCGCCTGGCCAGGCTGTATTCTTTTATAATTCATTCTTTTGCTTGTATATATGCTACACTTTAATTTAGAAGTTTAAGAAGAAAAGGTGGTGGCTCTGGGTGGGTCTGGCATGGTGAGCTCAGAATCCCCCCATTTGTTTCTGCCCTCTCTGGCTGTGTTAGCTCCAGAGAGTGGCCCCCAAGGGTTTCCCTGTAGTGCCTTGGTTTCTGCACAGAGACATCCCCTGCTACCCAGCTCCTGTGAAGAATAGCGGTTCTCTGGAAGTTGCCCTAGAAGCCTTCTGAGAATGTTCTGCTGGTTCTAGGAATTGAGGAAGCTGGACCTGTGGGACCTAAGCTCTTAAAGCCACAGGCAGGTTTTCACTGGAGGCAGGAAGTAGCTAGTAGCATCCTTCTGTTAAGTCTTACTGGGGCTTGCACTATTTGTCCAACAGCACGGGAGGAGGAGACATTGAGTAAAGTTGGGCCTGGCCTCCTGCCTGGCACCCTGACCTGGTAACCTCGAACAAAGGGCCAAATAAATGGGCATGTGAGTGCTTTCTTATCTTCGCCACAGCTGACTGTGAGTAGATGGGATGTTCCTTTCCAGCTGTGGCCATCAGATCATGGAGTCAAGGGATGGTGGAAGGGAACGGGAGGTGTGAAAGAAAAATATCTTGGGCCCCCAAAATCACTAAGCAAAACTCCAGCTGGAAACCTGCCTCCCATTCTATTCAAGGTCACCCCTCTGCTCACTGAGATAAATGCATATCTGATTGCCTCCTTTGGAAAGGCTAATCAGAAACTCAAAAGAATGTAATCATTTGTGTGTCACCTATCTGTGACCTGGAAGCCCCCTCCCCTGCTTCGAGTCTTCCTGTCTTTCCAGACTGAACCAATGTACTTCTTACATATATTGATTGATGTCTCATGTCTCCCTAAAATGTGTAAAACCAAGCTGTGCCCTGCCCACATTGGGCATCTGTTGTCAAGACTTCCTGAGGCTGTGTCACGGGCGTGTCTGCAATCTTGGCAAAGTACACTTTCCAAATTAACTGAGACCAGTCTCAGATTTTCTGGGTTCACAGGAGGCTATGCTCAGATCACCTGGGACTGAGCCCTTACTCACTTCCACCACTCAGAAAAGCTGCCCTTAGTTTCTCCTTGAGAGACAAGGTGCTGCCTCCATAGTGGACTCTATATTAATAAAGTACAAACAGGCTGGGTGTGGTGGCTTGTGCCTGTAATCCTAGCACTTTGGGAGGCTAAGGCGGGAGGATCACTTGAGGCCAGGAGTTTGAGGCTGTAACGAGGTATGATGGTGCCACTGCACTCCAACCTGGGTGACAGAACAAGACCCTGCCCAAATAAATAAATAAGTAAATAAATAAATAAATAAATAAAGCAAACACAAGAAAGCAAAACCAAGAGGAGGGTCTCCAACCAACAGAACAGGGGCACGTAACCTTGTTTAATTTCAAAACAGAAATTTTACAGGTTGTTGCTCAAGAAAACAGTAACCATTCTTAAAGCTCAAGGGAAGAAAGAGGAGTGTGTGTGTTTGAGGGCCCCTTAGGGGCTTTTAATGGGATTTGGAGTCAGATAGACCTGGATTCAAATTCCAGCTCGGATATTTGCTGTGTGGCCTTGGACAAGTTACTTACCTTCTCTGAGCTGCAGTTTCCTTATCTATAAAATGGAGATAGTAATCTTACCTTCCTCTGAAGGCTGTTGCAAGGATTCTGATTGCTAAATTGTGTAATGCACACCGCACAGTGCCTTGCACATAGAAGCTTCTTGTTGAATGACGGTCAGGATGATCACGTTATTATCGTTACTGGCTCAGGTATGTTTTTCTCAATCTTGTTATTTTGGACCAGACGGTCCTTTGCTGTGGTGGCTGTCCTGAGCACTGTAGGATGTTTAGCAGCATTCCTGGCCCCCACCCACCAGATTCCATAGCAACTCTCCAGCTGTAACAGCCACATGTCTCCAGACAGTGCCAAATCGCCCCTAGTTGAGAACTACGGAGCTGGAGGTAAATGCCTTGGAGATTGAGGGAGCGATCATGTGGGTTGATCCAAAAAATCTGACCCAGACAGGAGGACCTGATGTGGTGGGGGATGGAAATGGAGGAACAGGATGGGCCAAGGGTTAAGGGGCCAAGTCAAACCAGCAGATCCCAAATGAGCAGAGAAGGCGGGGGTAGGCTCTGAGCAGAAATGGGCCCAAAAATCCCAAAGAGGGTAGGTCCAACAGTTTCATCTGGGTTTCTGTTTATTTGTGTAATGGAATTTGTTTTTCCAGTTGTAAAAGTAGTGTAAGTTCATTTTAAACAAGTTGGCAAGTCCACAGAAAAGCCAATCAGAAAATAAAAATCTTGGCTGGATGTGGTGGCTCATGCCTGTAATCTCAGCACTTTGGGATGCCGAGGTGGGTGGATCACCTGAGGTCAGGAGTTCCAGACCAGACTGATCAACATGGTGAAACCCCGTCTCTACTAAAAATACAAAATTAGCTGGATGTGGTGGCACATGCCTGTAATCCCAGCTACTAGGGAGGCTGAGGCAAGAGAATCACTTGAACCCGGGAGGTGGAGGTTGTTGTGAGCTGAGATTGTGCCATTGCCCTCCAGCCTGGGCAACAACAGTGAAACTCCGTCTCAAAATTAAATAATAATAATAATAATAATAATTTAAAAAGAAAAATCTTAAGTAATCCCAGCACAATTACACGATAGAGTGTGATGTGCTCATTTGCTCTTTTTGTTCTTGTTGTTTAAGAAACAAACATTTCTTAGTGCTCACTGTGTGCAGGCCCTGCTGGGTGCTGGGGTGTCTGTGTGGGTGGGTGGGTAGGACTGTTCACATGCTCTGGACAAGACAGTGTGGGGGACAGCCTTGACTGCAGGTAGGCACAGTAGGGGTGGTGTGGTGGGGAGAGCAGAGCCTGTTCCTAGGGATGCTGCTGGTCATTTTTGTCCTCTTCTACTGGCCTCCTCCTTTGAGGATCCTTGCAGTGTCCTGGTCCTGGCTCCCTGGTCTGGATCTTTTTGGAATCTGCCCGTTCCTTTCTATCCATGCGGCCCTGCATAAGCTGCCTCCATCCACCTTGTTAGTTTCCTCCTCATGCTCCACTTTGCTTTCTGTGTGCACCAGCCACCCTGATGTTCTGTCCTTGCCTCACCTCCATCCTGTTTCATTTTCTTCAGTTTTTAAAAATTGTGGTAAAATATACACATAGCATAAAATTTACCATTTTAATCTTTTTTTTTTTTTTGACAGGGTCTTGCTCTGTCACACAGGCTGGAGTACAGCAGTGTGATCATGGCTCACTGCAGCCTCGACTTCTTGGGCCCAAGCCATCCTCCTGCCTCAGCCTCCTGTTGTAACAGTAGTGTAGCTGGGTCCCAGCTGTGTAGCTGGGACCACAAGTGTGTGCCACCATGCCTGGTTAATTTTTGTATTTTTTTTTTCCTTTTGGAGAGATGGGGCTTTGCTGTGTTGCTCAGGCTGGTCTCGAACTCCTGGGCTCAAGCAATCCTCTGATCTCAGCATCCCAAAGTGTTGGGATTACAGGTGTGAGCCACCGCACCTGGCCTGACCATTTTTAAGTATACAATGCAGAGGCATTATGTACATTCAGTGTTGTTCAACAATCACCACTATCCATTTCCATAACTTGTACATTATCCCAAATAGAAACTCTGTACCCATGAAACAATAACTCCCCATTCCCCCTGCCCCAAGATCTCAGTTACCTCTATTCTATTTTTGTCTCTATCAATTTGCTTATTCTGGGAACCTCATATGTCTGGCCTCTTTCACTTTAGCCCATATTTTCAAGGATCATCCATGCTGCAGCATGTATCAGTACTTCATTCTGCTCTATGCTGAATAATATTCCATTGTAGGTCTACATCACGTTTTGTTTATCCATTCATCCATTGACAGATACTTGTTTCCACCTTTTGGCTGTCGTGAATAGGGCTGCTATGAACATCGGTGTACTCTTCTTTTTAAACAGCTTTATTGAGATATCATTTACATATCAAAAAATGCACCCAGTTAAGTGTACAATTCAATGCTTTTTATTCTAGTCACAGAGTTGTGCAACCACCACCACCATCTAATTTTAGAAGATTTTCCCTCACCTCACACCCCCAGCTCTAGGCAGCCAGGGATCTATTTTCTGTCTATAGAGATTTGCCAATTCTGGACATTTCCTATAAATGGAATCAGACAATATGTGGTCTTTTGAACCTGCCTTCTTCATTCAGCATAATGCTTACAAGGTTCATCCATCATCACCTGTTTTGTAAGTGAAATTGTATTAGAACACAGCCCTGCTCATTTGTTTACATCTGATCCACGGCTTTGAGCTTCACAGACAGAGTTGCGACTTATAAAGTTGCACGGCTCACAGAATCAAAAGGAGCTACTATCTACCCTTTTACAGAAAAAGTTTGCTGACTCCTGGTTTATGCCCTCCAAGTTGAGCTTTCTGGAGTCTAAACTGATAAAGGCACCAAAAGATAAAAAGCGAAAAGAGGCAAAACTGATGCCAAGAACCCCAGGCCTATAAAAGCTACCATTATTGGGCCCCCACCATAGTGTAAAGCATCCCAGCCAGCCAGGCAAAGAAACACAGCAGAGGCAGAGCCCGCCTCACCTGGGAGGAGGAAGGAGAACTGTTCAACACCAAAGACAACTTTTTCTAGCAGGCTCTAATCACTCGGGGCACCTTATAGAAAGTGCATTGGCCTTCCCTGGGAAGAGCAAGTGAAGACGCCATTAGAGGAAGGGGGTTCAGCAGGCTGGATGCATGGCCCATGGTGACTCTGGCAAGCTGGTTCAACATACAGCCAAGCTTGGCAGATCCTGAGGTATCAAAGAATTCCCCAAGGCTCTCACCAAACTGTTGTGGGCCAAAATGGTTAGTACTCATTTTTTTATTTTTTCTTCTTTTTTTTTTTGAGACAGAGTTTCACTCTTGTCACCCAGGCTGGAGTGCAGTGGCACGATCTCAGATTGCAAGCTCACTGCTCGCCTGCCACCATGCCCGGCTAATTTTTGTATTTTTAGTAGAGATGGGTTTTCATCATGTTGGCCAGGCTGGTCTCGAACTCCTGACCTCAAGTGATCCAGCGGCCTTGGCCTCCCAAAGTGCTGGGATTACAGGCATGAGCCACTGCGTCCAGCCTGTTGTTATTATTATTATTATTGTAACAGAAAACTTGTTATTATAACTATTATTATCAGCAGTAGCAAAAGCAACCGTCACACAACTCCTCTAGTTCTCTCCCGCTTCCCTGCCTTGCTCATTAGCAACAACACAGCAGAGAAGGGCGGTAAAACCTTTCACACACTCAGAGAGCCTGTAAATGTTTTTTATTTACAGGCTGCTGGAAAATGGTAGAAGCAGCCAGACCAATCCCCTATGGGAAGCTTCTCTTCTGTGGAGGTGGAAAAAGAAGGGCATTTGAACTGGGACAGAAAACAGGGACAATCCCATTAGCTCTGGTTGGTAGAGATGCTGCCACCTTTGCCCTGTGGGTTCTGTGTCCTACTCGACCTCTCACTGATGTGATAAGCTTCCAAAGAATTTATCCTCTAAGAGGCTGTGAAATGATGGCCTGAGGCTGAATTTGGTCCACATATGTGCCACACAGCCCACACGCACAGTCTTTTATAAATTTGAATCTTCTTTTAAACTCAGGAAATTGCACATAAACTTTCAGATTTCCGGCTTCTCTTTCAAAATTAGAAATTCCAGCCTTTGAGGCCCACATTCCCAAATGGCAAAAAATGATGAGAGCTGAGGAGTGGCTCCCCCATGCAGAACTGTCTAGTTTACCATCGTCTCCATCCAGCTTGCTTTCCTCCTTTATGTAACTAGTTGTCCCCTTTGGGCTTTTCATTAGGAATTCACTCTTATGATAGCAAGTTTCATCTTCCCTGAGACTGCAGCAGCAGGGAAGGAGTGGAGATCCACTTAGGGGATGAGGGCATCAGAGATGGATGCAGCACTAAGGTCCAGGCATCTCTAGTTCCTGCCAGCACAGCCCTCTCCCACCCAGCAGGCTAGAAGGCTGTCTGGCAGGCGTCAGAGCTGAATCCATGAGCCCACATAGCAGAGGGGAAAAAGCCCTGCCATTCTTTCTCCTGGAAGCTTCCATCTAATAATCACACTTGCTCTTTGTGTGCCAATGTGCTAAGCAATGCAGCATGCATTATCTCATCCGATCATTGCACTGCCCTCTAGAATAGAAATTATGATGATCCTCACTCTAAGATGAGGCAACCAAGGCTTAGAGACATCAAGTCATTTGCCTGTGGTCACACAGCTAGGAAGTGGCTGGGAAACTGAGGCTGTAGAGATGTTACCTTGCTCTTGCAAAGTCACATAGCCAACAGATGGCAGAGCAGGGATTCCATTTCAGGGCCAACTGACTCCAAAGCCTAGAAGCTGGAAAACTGGAGGCCAGTGGGGCAAACTAGTTTAGCTGGTAGTATTTTTGAAAATTTGGACTTTTGGCGTTTTGCTGGTCTCACTGGTCCCCACTTTCTCACAGGTCCCACCAATACTGTTGCCTCACACCCTGGCTTCTTTCCCCACGCATGTTGCCTGCCTGGCCTCAGGAGGGGTGACGACCTTCACATCCTCTGCACGTTCTCTTACCTCCCAGAGTTCAACTCTGATGGGCTTGAGCTCTCAGTTCTAGGACAGAGATGAAGGTCGGTGTTTTTCTCTGTTGATCCTACCCCAGTAGGTTTTGGGAGTTGAGAGCAGAGACAAATGGAATATGGTTTGGTTCATGTTCAGTTCCATGACTATGATGCCATTCCAGAGCCCGAGATTTAGAGATTTAGAGGATTGATAGGGTTGGTTCCAGGACCCACTGATTCACTGGGGTGGTGGTTGAATTGATTGTATTGTTCTAAATCATTTCTCTCCCTTTGAGATTCCATCCAAAGTGAGTATGCTTTAAATCAGGGGTTTTCAAATACATGTTGTTTCAGGTGTGGGTTCTGTGTCTCATTTACTTTTCTGGGAGGAGGTAAGCAGGAAAACCAATGGGCAGGCATTATGGCAGGAGTTTGGGATCAGGCTGAATGGGGCTGAACTGTTTCCCAGATTAACCAGAAAGTCCAAGGAGTGGATGAAAGTCCAGGAGTGGAGCCTAGGTTGGTTCAAGGGGAAGCAGGGAAGTCATAGAACCAATGAAAGGCTGGGAATAGGTTGAGAAGCACAGTACAGAGTAAAAGGAAAAGAAGGGGATTGGTTGGAGGTTGAGAACCCAGGCAGGTGCCCAGGAGCTTGCTCTGACAGGTGCTGTTGGGTGAATAGTTTCAATTCAAGCCCCGCTGGGCTGCATCATCCCATTGTTCTAGTCATGGGTTCTTAAGGCTTAGAACAGGACCGTGTTAACCACACAACAGAAATGTTGAGCTAAGCCAGCTAAGACACTTCAGCAGCATGGGAGAGAAAACATATTAAAAGAAGCATAAATGGTGCCTAAGTTAGTTAGTTCCAAAGTTCAGTGATGTCACCGAAGACTCAGGTGTCCTAAAGTGATTGCCGTCATGGTCCCAAATGGCTGCCACAGCTCCAGCCATCATGCTGAGCATCCCTCAAGAGACCAGAGAGGGAACATTCCTGTTTTGTGTCTCTTTTGAAGAGTTAGAAAACCTTTCCAGAAGCCACTAGTAGACTTCTTATACCTCACTGGCCAATCCTGCTTAAACTAATAACTGACAAGGAGGCTGGGATGATCAGAATTCATTCTCATGAATCGAGATTTAGTGCCACCTCTCCCTTCTCCAAGTCTTCTCAGAACAGAAAGGAATAAAACTGTGGCTATGTCAGCGAGGATGAAAGATCAGAGATTGGTCCACAGGGACTTCTACTCACTCCCCTCACTGAAATCCTATGGCCAATGTGTGCAAGGCTCCCCCTACCCCTGTTAGTCTAACTACGTCTAAAGCATATCTTCCGTGTGCGAAGGGACACATCCAAAGCTGCCCTACTTGAAGCAGGAGTGAAGGCCAGGAGCCCACTTGGCTCCCCCAGCTTCCTGGAGGCACTGGATCTTTTCCAGCATCTTTATTTTATTTATGTTGAGATGGAATCTCACTCTGTCACCCAGGCTGGAGTGCAATGGCTCAATCTTGGCTCACTGCAATCTCAACACGGGAAACCTCACCCAGCCTGGACACGGACAGGATTGACAGATTGATAGCTCTTTCTCAATTCTGTGGGTGGTGGTGCATGGCCATTCTTTGTCTGGTTAATTCCGATAACAAATGAGACTTTGAAATGCTAACTAGTAGAGACGGGGTTTCACCATGCTGGCCAGGGTAGTCTCAAACTTCTGACCTCAAGTGATCCACCCGCCTCAGCCTCCCAACGTGCTGGGATTACAGGCATGAGCCACCACGCCCAGCCCCTCCCTCTATTTTATAGACATGGAAACAGAGGCATGGGGGAAGTTAAGTGATTTTGGATACACTGCTAAAAACCAGTGTATCTCAAATGCAGTGGAAACATGGCCTTGCCTCACAGGATTAGGACTAAATGAAGTGAAGGATGTAAAGAGGCTAGCTCAGGCCCAGCACATATTAGGCACTCAAGAAGGGCAGGTCCTCCCTCCTTCTGGCATAGGGGAATGAAAGATGAGGTGAGGCAGGGACCCAAGGTACTGTGACCTGGGGAGGCAGCAGGGCTGGACTCACTGGCTGGCTGGAAAATCAGATAACCCTTCTGTGGCTACAGAGCAAGATGTGTGGGTGCCAGACCCCTGGCCTGGTAGAAATGACAGCTGGCCTTACCCCCAGCCCACAGGCACCCTCCACCTGCCTGAAAATCCTCTGAGAATGAATTCTGTCTTCCTCCCGAGCCAGCCTGTACCTGGACAGAAAGCTGATGGGCAGTGGAGGGTGTAGAAATAAACAATGACCAGGCGGGGCACGGTGGCTCACACCTGTAATTCCAGCACTTTGGGAGACTGAGGTGGGTGGATCACCTGAGGTCAGGAGTTCGAGACCAGCCTGGCCAACATGGTGGAACTCCGTCTTTGCTAAAAATACAAAAAAATTACCTGGGTGTGGTGGTGCATGCCTGTAATCCCAGCTACTTGGGAGGCTGAAGCAGGAGAATTACTTGAACCCGGGAGGCGGAGGTTACAGTGAGCTGAGATCATACTACTGCACTCCAGCCTGGGTGTCAGAGTGAGATTCCATCTCAAAAAAAAAAAAAAAAAAAAGAAAAAGAAAAAGAAATAAACAATGACCACACAAGTAAGACCACACAGAGGCTTTTTATTCAGAGCCATAGCAAGGGAGTTGGCCACCACTACATATATTCGGCAAAGACTCAAAGTCAGGCAGAGTGAGGAAGATTTGCAGTGAGAAAAAGGGAAGGCTTCAGGTGTGCCCTCACCGGAGGCTGCTGGCATGGGGGTGCTGGAGGCAGCTAACTAGAAGCTGGACATCCTACGTGATTGATTGGTCCTGAGTTGGATGTGGCGGTTGTACTGGTGGGGAGGGTGTCAGGGGGACACAAGGAAACTGGCAGTCACTGGCAATCATTGACCAAGTCCTGATCCTTCTGGGCCAATTGCTGCAGAGGTGGTGGTTTGGTTTCCAGGGCTGATCATGATGGAGGTTGTAGGAAAGAGTTCTATTATCATATACGGTTTGGCCATTGTCCGTTTGTATATTTGGTCTCTCGGTGTGCAGAGAGGGAGGCCTTTCTATGTGATTTGGGACATGTTGCTAACCTCTCTGTGCCATGGTTTCCTTACCTGTGAATGGGATGTTAATAGTACCTGTTTCAGATGTGAATATATATCAAGTTCTTAGACTAGCAACTGGCATGTGGCGAGTACCCAACACAATATTAGTTATTATTTTAAAAATTATGGGCATAATTGGTGTGGTTCACACCTGTGTAATCCCAGCACTTTGGGAAGCTGAGATAGAAGGATTGCTTAAGGCCAGGAGTTCGAGACCAGCCTGAGCAACATAGCAAGATCTCATCTCTTCAAAAGATAAAAAAAATTAGCTGGGCATAATAGCTGGCACCTGTAGTCCCAGCAACTCAGGAAGCTGAGGCAGGAGGATTGCTTGAGCCCAGGAGTTCAAGGTTACAGTGAGCTAGGATTGTGCCCCTGAACTCTAGCCTGGGTGGCAGAGCAATTTTTTTTTTTTTTTTGCGGTGTAGTCTCACACTGTTATCTGGGCTGGAGTGCAGTGGCGTGATCTCGGTTCACTGCAACCTTCACCTCCTGGGTTCAAGTGATTCTCCTGCCTCAGTCTCCTGAGTAGATGGGATTATAGGCACCCACCATGATGCCCAGCTAATTTTTTTGTATTTTTAGTAGAGATGGGGTTTCACTGTGTTGGCTGGGCTGGTCTCAAACTCCTGACCTTGTGATCTGCCCGCCTCGGCCTCCCAAAGTGCTGGGATTCTAGGCATGAGCCACCGCACCGGGCTGACAGAGCAATTTTTAAAAAGTATTAGTATTATTATACTCAATGGAAAGGGCACTGGCCTGGGAGGAGGGCTCTGGGTAGCTCTGGTCCTGGTTCTGCCCCATCGCACTGTGACCTCAGCCTTCTTGAGGCTCCTCTGAGTCTCAGTCTTGTCAGCAGAGCAGGGGGCTGAGCTCTGACTTCCAAACTGGTTCCCAGCTCTAATGTTATCAATTCCCCACTGGGTGTGTAGTGACAGCCTGCCATCGCCCCTCCCTTCCCCATACCCACACTCCATCTACGCTCCCAGCACACCTGGATGGGCAGCTGCGGCGCAGCAGGCTCTGCTGTCCCCATTTCAGCTGGTTTCAGGTCCTAAATTTAGTCCTTTCATAGAAGCCACGGTGTGTGGGAGGAGGGCTCCCGGTAGATCTGGTCCTGGTTCTACCCATCACACTGTGGGTGAGGGCTGTATGTGGTGGGGGCAGCTCTTCCACCCATGTGGTGCACTCCGAAGAGAATCAGGCAGGAGGCCAGGAGGGCTGAGCACTGCATTCCATTTTGTCATCAATGCACTTGTTGCAGGACAATCAAAGACTGGAGAGACGGAAAAGAAGTTTCAGGAGAGTTTATTAAGGTGATCACCGGCCCAGCCGGACATATGTCCAGAAAGTCTGAGCCCCAAACAAAGGGCTTTTCCTACTTTTAAACATCTTAAGGGGGGAACTACGTGAGGCGGGAAGCGAGTTACAGAAGCAAGAAACAAAGGCAGCATTACAACATTTCTTACATCTTGAGAGAAACATGTCTTGCAACCTAAACTTACCAGTCTTGTGACCCTGCAGCTGTGCAGGAACTCGCTGGGCCTGTAATAAACTTTGAGGAATGTGGAGTTGGGGAGTATAGATAAGGTTCACTGTCCACAGAGAGGAGACAGGCTGTGAACATTCCCTTTTAACTTGAGTGTAAGGGGGAAGGGGTCACACTTTGCAGCAACTTTAAGAGAATTTTAAAATTTCTGTTACTACTACTATTAGGTTATAGTTGATTTCATTAATTCCTTCTTCATGCTGGGCGAGTCCTTTGACCCTTTGGGGCCTCAGTTTTTCATCTGGCAACTAATTTTTTTTTTTTTTTGAGACAGAGTCTTGCTCTGTCACCCAGGCTGGAGTGCAGTGGTGTGATCTTGGCTCACTGCAAACTCCACCTCCCAGGTTCAAGTGATTCTCCTGCTTCAGCCTCCTGAGTAGCTGGGATTACAGGCGCGCACCACCAGGCACAGCTAATTTTTGTATTTTTTATAGGGATGGGGTCTTGTCATGTTGCCCAGGCTGGTGTCTAACTCCTGACCTCAAGTGATCTGCCCACCTTGGTCTCCCAAAGTTGGGATTATAGGCGTGAGCCATTGTGTCAGGCCTGGCAATTAAATTTTATATATGTTGACACCTTAAGCCACCATGTTATCTTTTTTTTTTTGAGACAAAGTCTTGTTTTGTTGCCAGGCTGGAGTGCAGTGATGCGATCTCGGCTCACTGCAACCTCTGCCTCCCGGGTTCAAGGGATTCTCCTGCCTCAGTCTCCCGAGTAGCTGGGACTATAGCCATGTGCCACCGTGCCCAGCTAATTTTTGTATTTTTAGTAGAGATGGGGTTTCAGCATGTTGTCCAGGATGGTCTCAATCTCTTGACCTTGTGATCCGCCCACCTCGGCCTCCCAAAGTGCTGGATTACAGGTGTGAGCCACCGTGCCCGGCCTATGTTATCCTTTAAAGTAGAACAACTTTCCTTTCTTTCAGAGGAGGAAAAAAATCAGAGAGAGGTTAAGTGAGTTCGCTAAGCCCACACAGCTAGCACATGGTTTGAGTCTAGATCTTTAGACCCTAAGACCTAGTCTTTTTTTTTTACCTTTAGATAATCTCAACTTTACTTCCATTATGGGATTACTATGATGATAACATGAAAATAATAAATTTTATACCAGGGAGGCAACATGGTTTTACAGTTGAGAGCCAGACTGCCTATGTTTGATTTCTAGTTCTGGTACTTATTAGCTGTGTGACCTCAGACAAATTACTTAACCTCTCTGTGCCTCAGTTCTTATCTGTGAGATGGAAGATAATAATTGTACCCACATAGGGTTGTTATGAGGATTAAGTGAATTAATATTTGCGAAACACTTTCAACCATGCCTGACCTCCAGTAAAGTTTATTTAAATGTTTGCTTAATTTAAAAAATAGCTCTCTTGCCAATCAGCATATGACCTTAAGCAGGAAGAAAGTGTCTGTGATTAGGATCAGGAGACTCATGGTCTACTTTAGGCACAGCCACTACTTTGCTTTGTGGCCTCAGAGACTTTAATTTTTTTGTGCCTTAGTTTCCTCAGCTGCAAAGTAAGGAGCTTGGGCAAGTTCAGTGATGAACAGCATTTTATGAACAAAGATCAAGTCAGAAAAAAAATCAAAACTTTTTTTGCCACATTAGTTTTACCCATTAGAGTCGATTGCGAGGAATATTCCAGTGTAGTGGGTGCAGCATTGACTATTGTCCCAGCATGCTGTGGGGCTCACCCATGGGCCCCCTAGCAATGCTCTGGGTGACCTATGTGTCCTTGCTTGGGGGTGAGGGTGTCTGACCCAATCACACCCTCCTCCCAGGAAGTGGAGAGTCGGATCTGAACATTAGACTGGGACGCATTAACAGGTGCTCTGGCTGGAGGGCTGTAAACTCCTGCTGCTGATGGCTACAGAATTCTGGTTCCTGCTCTTTTTGACAGTTGGCTTTTCTGATCTTGAAATTCCATAAGAAACCCCAGTTTCCTTCAAACAACCCCCGCCCTATTTATTTAGGCTAATGTATCAGTTATTTATTGCTGTGTAATAAATCATCCCAAAATGTAGAGGATTAAAACAACAATTTACTATTTCTCTAGAATCTGTGGGTGGACTGGGTGATTCTTCTGCAGGTTTGACGTAGGGGCACTTGTGCAGCTGTGTTTATCTGGTGGGGTTGAGAGCAGGGGCTGTTGACTGCGGTGCCTCGATTCTCTTCCATGTGGCCTCTCCATTCGGCTTGCTTGGGCTTCCTGATAGTATGGTGGTCTCAGGATTGCCAGGGGAGAGGCACAAGCTCCCACTCCACTTAAGGCCTGGCCTCCGAAGCCCCAGCACATTACTTTTTCTGTTTTCTTTTTTTTTTTTTTGAGACAGCGTCTCACTGTGTCACCCAGGCTGGAGTGCAGTGGCGCGATCTCAGCTCACTGCAAACTCTGCCTCCCGGGTTCACGCCGTTCTCCTGCCTCAGCCTCCCCAGCAGCTGGGACTACAGGCGCATGCAGCCACGCCCGGCTAATTTTTGTATTTTTAGTAAAGACGGGGTTTCACTGCGTTAGCCAGGATGGTCTCAATCTCCTGACCTTGTGATCCACCTGCCTCGGCCTCCCAAAGTGCTGGGATTACAGGGGTGAGCCACCGCGCCCGGCCTACTTTTTCTGTTTTCTACTGGTTAGAGCAAGTTACACGATCAGCCCTGACTTAAAGATTCAACAGAATCCACCTCTTGATGGGAGATGAAGAATGCACGTATGGGGCTGGAAGGAACGGAAAGTGACCAGGTATGCATGGAACTACTGTGACTAATTTCAGTTGATTTCTTATTGCAGGCAAAATAAATTTAACTAGTTTATCCTATGACTTAGGAACTCCCACCCCCATACTCTGATCTCATCTCTTAGCATCTCTCGGCCACCCTGGCCTTGCCTTTCCTTACTCACGCTGGCCATACTCCCACCCCAGGGCCTTTGCACCTGCTGATCCCTCTTCCTGGCACGTTCTGACCCCAGATCTTCTCCTGACTGCTCCTTTGCCACATTTCAATCTTTACTCACATCTTTACACAGAGAGGTCTCTGATCCTCTGATCTAAAGTCATCCCTCGATACCGTCAGTCCTTAACTAGGCCTTATCTTCTTTGTGGCACTTGCTATGTATTGTTTATATTTTGTCTTTTTGTTGACTGTTCTTCTTCTCTCACTAACCTCCAAGAATGTAGGAACTGTGGTCTGTCTCAATCTCTGAGGTATGCCTGGCATATGGTAAGTACTCAAAAAATATTTACTGAAAGAATGAATTTTAATGCTTTGTAGATATGATAATATTAATATTCAAAAAGTCCTGATTAGAGGCAGCTTAATGGAAGTCATAGATGATTCCATGAAGGGAGGCAGGCTCATATCTAGGCTGGATAATCTCAATGATCCTGATCCTTTCTGATTCTGAGAGTCCATGACTCTAAGTGAGAAAGTGGTGGGAAAATTTAAAGGCACAGTATAAACCTCTAGCTATTACTACTGAGAGGGCACACTGGGAGTTCTGTGAAGAACCGGGCTTAAACTTTCATTATACCTCAGATCTAATGTGGCTCCTGGCTGAGCTACACGAAATAACACAGACACGTCCCATTTGTTTTTCCTACATATCATGAGCTACAGGGGCTGCTATCAATGCACAACCATAGAAAGATTATGCTATGGTCTGAATGCTTGTGTTCCCCTAAAATAAATATGTTGAAACCTAAGCCCCAGTGCAATAGCATTGAGAGATGGGAACTTTAGGAGGTGATTAAATCATGAGGATGGAGCCCCCATGAATAAGATTAGTGCCCTTATAAAAGAGGCCAGAGCCAGCTTGTTTGCCTCTTCTGCCATGTTAGGATGCAGCAAAAAGACACTGTCTATGAAGCAGAGAATGAGCCCTACTAGACAATGAATCTGCTGGCATCTTGATCTTGGACTTCCCAGCCTCCAGAAATGTGAGCGATACATTTCTATTGTCTATAAATTACGCAGTATAAGGTATCTTGTTAGAGCGGCTCAAGTGGACTAAAACAGGCTGTGTGGTGGTCTTAATACATAGCCTCATTATCCTTTGAGCCTCCTCCCATGAGAGGTGGGGTTTCTGTCCTCTATTCTTGATTCTGGGCTGGCTTCTGATTGCTTCAACCAGTAGAGAAGGGCAGAAGTGAAACTATGTGACTCCAAAGTTGGGGCAGAAAAGTGCAGGTAGCTTCTAACTATTCCTCTTGGGACACTCAGTCTGGGGGAAGCCAACAGCTTGTAAGAAGTCTGACCACTCTGAGCCTCCCATACTGAAAAGGCCATATGTAGATGCTCCAGTTAACAGCGCCAGCTAAGCTTCTAGCCGACATCCAGTTGCCAGCCATGTGATGAGTGGTCTTGGACGTTTAGCCCAGTTGAGCTTTCAGACAACTGCAGCCCAGGCCAACCTCTGACTGCAACCACATGACTTGAAGCAAGAACTACTCAGCTGTGCCCTTCCCCAAATCATGAGCAAAATGAAATGGCTGTTTTCAGCTGCCAAATTTTGGGGTAATATGTCAGGCATCCATAGTATGTGGAATAGGCCATTTCTTTAGTGCTTTCTCCTTCACAAAGACCTCCATAGTCCTAACATCTCAGAGTCGACTTGACGTCCCCACTGGATCATGTCCCATCCCAGTCTGCGGACATCTCAAACTTAACATGTCCAAAAATAAACTCTTGGTCCCAGGCCTGTCTCTCACTGCTTAGTCTTCCCTGTCCAATAAATGGCACCTCCATTCCCAGTTGTGTAAGGCAGAAGTCTGGGCATTGTCCTTGAATTCTTTCTTCCTGTCAACCCCACAGGCAATCTCTCTGAAAGGTCTCTTGGCTTTACTTCTAAAATGCAGCTCAGGCCGGGTGCAGTGGCTCACACCTGTAATCCCAGCACTCTGGGAGACCGAGGGGGGCGGATCACCTGAGGGCAGGAGTTCAAGACCAGCCTGGCCAACATCATGAAACCTCATCTCTATTAAAAAAAATAATTAGCTGGGCATGGTGGCACATGCCTGTAATCCCAGCTACTTGGGAGGTTGGAGCTGGAGAATCACTTGAACCCGGGAGGCAGAGGTTGCAGTGAGCCGAGATTGCGCCACTCCAGCTTGGGCAACAAGAGCGAAACTCAGTCTCAAAAAATAAATAAATACATAAATAAAATAATAAAATGCATCTCAAAGCTGTTCTCTTCTATCTCCGCAGCCACCACCCTAGTCTAAGCCACCACTGTTTCTCTCCTGGCCACACTACAACCTCTTGACTGGTCACCCTACTTGTGCCCTTGCCACCCTTGCCTTTGGTGTCAATTCATTTGCCTCACAAGGGCCAGAGAGATCTTCGTAAATTATAAATCAAATCATGGCACTCCCAGTGGCTGCCCATGGCACTGGAAATAAATCTAAACCCCTTGCCTGGTGCTCAATTTGGTACGCCCTGCCTGAGCCCAAGCCTCTAACCCCTCTTTCCACTCTTCCCCATGGTGAGTGGAATCAAAAGGAAACAGCATTTTGAAGGAATGTCAGAAAGCTGCCAAATTTATCTCTACCTCCTTTCCTATTTCTGGGATTTGTCCTCCCCTGTGAGGTTGGACCCCAGTGGAGACAGCCAATCAGCTTCCTCAAGTCTGCTCCTGCCACCCTGGCCTTCTCTCTGGTCCTTGACCACCTTCAACTCTTTTCCTTTTGCAGGGCCTGTGCATGAGCTGTGACCTCTGCCTGGAATGCCCTTTCTTCACTCTTCCCATGGCTGGCTCCCTCCCACCATTTGGGCCTGAGATTAAATGTTATGCTCAGAGAGGCCTGTGAATATTCCATCTAGAGAAGGTTCTCCCCAATCATCTACACTTTGCCTTTTTGTTTTGCATTTATTTGAGTGTTTATTTGTTTTTAGTGTCTTGTCCACTGCTTCTCCCCTAGTGCTTGGGCAGAGTTAGCACTCAATGAAGAGACTGTTTGTTGATGTGCACAGTAACAGTAGCTTGCTATTGTCCCGTACTAGGCTGAGCACTCTATA